>NC_000001.11:177123980-177427011 GCF_000001405.40 Homo sapiens | reverse complement strand
CTAAAACCTTTGTCACTGTGCAGATTTCCACAGAATAGTCTACGTCTTTATTCATCCCTGACCGCTCGTGAATTTTTGTGAATGTTTATAGAAATGGGCGTGGGGAAAAGGATGGGTTTTCAAAACTTGATTTTCTAAGACCTGACAAAAGAGTAAATATTTTTAGATTTGCAAAAAAATACAATTCAGAGCAGTGAATCAATGCATCTTGGTGTTCTGAGTGATTTGAATTTTCTAAAAGAGGAAGCACTTGAGCAGCATCTGTGCCTGTTCTCTTTGCCACGTCTCTGATTCCCTTTGAGGCACTGGGAAGTAAGATGACTCTGAGCACCAATTGCTCACAAATTTCTTCTTCTCTTCCAAAATAAATTAGTGCTAGCAGGTCTCCCAATATGCAGATGCTGCCTTGTTGAGTCAAAGAACATTCCAAGTAGAAGCATTTGCATTCTGGGGACTAGCTTCTATGCTTCTAAAATGAGACTCTGTGGAGAAGCCAGACATGCTTCCCAAATCTATTAGGATGGATGGGATGTGATTCCTTGCCCATTTTATGCTATTTTATTTGTGCTTGATTTGAGACCCTCTGGGAGATACATGCTATATACGAGATGAATTTTGCCCAGATTATCTACCTAGATGACTATACCAGTTTTCTGCCTTTTCTAACTAGTGAAAACTGAATGCAGTTCTGCCTGCATATGTGGGGGATGAAGGAGCAGGATGGAATTGATGATGTGAGCTGAACTTCTGTGGCTTACCCTTGGCTGCTTTGACTTTAGGGACATGGCTTTTGCACTAATAAAAAATGCTGCCAATCAGAGTGTCACATTGAAGGGTACAGTACATTGTGTCCAGAATATTCTTTATTTAGATGGCAAAAGTGTCAGAAAAAAGAAAGACCTGAGTCAAGTGGGTTGATTGAACTCAGGAGAGACGTAGCTGACTGGAAGCAGTTTGGGGAGGGCAAAAGAGCATTTCCCAAGTAGAAATGTGGCAGTTGAGATGAGTTCTGGGGACAAACACATGAATTCAAAAGGAAGGCCATGTGAATTCATTTTGGAAGAGTGCCGGAAACAGAAATTAAAGAATTGTAAAAATGACTCAAAGTTTTGGTAAGAAGAATCTGGTTTGATATTTTTACCTAAGCAGTTAACTGCACAGATTAAGAAATGGTTGACTCCTTGCAACTACAGTAGAATCTGATTAATCCAGAAACTAGCATTAATGGTACGTAAGTACCAAGGAAGAGGACAGGCCACTTTCCAGACACTGGCATTGCCAGAGGCATTGTTGCTGTATATCTGTATAAATTTTTGTGTAAGTTGGAGTAACAGTGGGTAACTGCAGTGATCAGAAAGCTAGGCACAGTCCCAGTAAACAACTGTCTTTCTTGACATGATTCCAGGTTCAAATAGCCTGGAAAATAATTTTTTACTTTAGGTTATATGCACTGCTATAGCAGAGTATGTTTCAGGTTCAGTTTCTTTATTGGTCTCTCTCTGTCTCTGTCTCTGTCTCTCTCTCTCTCTCTCACACACACACACACACGCGCGCGCGCGCGCATGCACGCACACCACATGGCTTTGTTTGGAGGCTATATGACTTCTCTGGATGACTCAGAATTTTGCTGGTGTAGGTCATCCAAGACCATGATGGGAGCAGAACAGGCATGCCTTAGAAAAGACCATGACCAGCTAAATAGGAGGTAGGGGCCTGGCACTCACTCTTGGGCCTGATAGAACTGGCTGACCAGAGGCCAGCTTAGATGGGAAGAGCAGCTACACAGACCAGGACAATTAGAGTACAACATTATACTGGGCGTTACAGGCAGAAATGGTAGGAAAACTATTATTACTCCTTTCATTCTGAACTGTACCCAGTTATGTTTGATCATAGCCCTCTGAGGCAGCTATTACTCTAAAGTTAAATTTCCTAAAAGCAGAGTCTGAGTCATGGATTTTAGTGCATGTGATTTACAGAGACAATGCTCTAAGGAGAAAGGGAGTGAGGGAAGTAGGACAGGGGAAAGAGCTAAGTAAGCATTTGGTCCCTGATCCCACTGGAGCTTGGGAGCATAAATTTCCTTTGGCATAGTGGTGGGCATGGCTTAACATCTTGAGTAAGAGGCTTCTGTTTGGCTAAGGGCAATTTCCCACAGAGGATTACTGTCCAACACTCTCAGCTGCTGACAGATGGGTACTCCAACCTAGGAAAGAGGATCTGGAAGGAAGATGCTGTAGACTTTACCCTTTACTTCACAGATAGGGTAACTGAGACTCAAAGATAGATAAGCCTTGCTCCAGCTAGGGAACTCAAACAGTTTGAGAGCAAAGATTGCAGCATGGAAGCTGATTGGTATTTGCCTTATATTATTCTGACTACGCATGTGACCCTGGTCCACGGGTAGTGTTGGCATCCAAAACAGAAATGAAAGCCCTACTTGAATCCTGGCTCCGGCCAAGGCCAGCGTGGAAGGGCGAAGATAATTTTATATTGTTGAGACACAATTCTCCATGAATCTCTTGCATGTCCAGACATTTTGTGAAAGGAGGCACTGATTGTCTTTGTTCCTATCTTTACAGTGACGTTTATTTAGCCAACAGCCTTGGAAGACAGACATGGTGTCTTTTTCCACAGTAAGGGAAGGATGCTTACTGTTTATTTATTTATTTATTTTTAAGACACAGTCTTGCTGGGTCGCCCAGGCCGGACTGCAGTGGCGCTATTTTGGCTCACTGCAAGCCCCGCCTCCCAGGTTCATGCTGTTCTCCTGCCTCAGCCTTCCTAGTAGCTGGGACTACAGGTGCCCGCCACCACGCCCAGCTAATTTTTTGTATTTTTAGTAGAGACGGGGTTTCACCATCTTGGCCAGGCTGGTCTTGAACTCCTGACCTCATGATCTATCCACCTTGGCCTCCCAAAGTGCTGGGATTACAGGTGTGAGCCACCGCACCCGGCAGGATGCTTACTGTTTATTAGGTAGGGTTTGGGTTCCCTAAACTCCCTTTTCCTCTCCTGCAACACAACACACTAAGTATGCAGGTGTCACCTGGCCCTCTAAGCTTTGCATTATGGGAATTGGGCTTGGGGTACTGAGGCAAAAATGATGGTTCTCTGGCTGCTGCTGATGCTGCTGTTGCTGAGATTAATAAAAATATCCTTTATTTCTGGCCCAGGAGCCCAATATCTTTTACCAATATCCATGAAATTGTGGCAGGCTAACTTGCTAGCATGCAGGTAAGGTAAAATCCTGGACCTATGACAATTATTTTTGACCAATATATTACCACTTATGGTTTTAGAAAGAAGATTTAACTTTGTGATTGGTGATTTAAATTTCTACCAAAGCTAGGTTTATTTTTTTTCCCTACTAAAAGCTTTAGATTTTTTCTCTCTCAAATTAAGCATTTATTTTCATGCCACACAATGGTATGTCTGAGATGAGCTTTTAAAACAATTGTTTGCTCTCACAGGGATGAAGAGCCTCTTCATTAGGTTAATCAGTTAGATTAATGCAATTGGGTAGATTACATTAATGGTCCCACTGCTTTACCCCTTTGGTCAATGGGATGTTAGCAGATGTAACTCAAGCAGAGTCTTGAAAATGCTTGCATGATTCGGCTTGCACTTGTACCTCTGCCAGCCCTATGAAGAGGGCCAACTGGATTACTTTGCTGGTCCCAGGATGATGATGAGAGGCACGTGGAGTATACACACCCCCAGCCCTACTCAGCCAAAGACAGTGAACCCCAGCTGGCCACAGAGAGGTGAGGGAGCCAAGCCAAGGCTAACTAAACAATTCTGTTAAGCCCAGCCTAAGTCAGTCAGTCCACAAACTTGGCTAAGTAAACACTTATGGTTGTTTTAAGCTATTAATTTTTGGGGGTAGTTTGTTACACAACAAAAGCTGTTTCATAGTTTCTCAATTGCAAAGCGTGAATTGCCTTCAACTTTTCATTGTCGTGGATTTGAGAGAAGGATGCTCAGAGTCAGCTGCTGCAGCCGCAACTCAACATCTCAACCCTCAGAGATACAAGAACTCTGTTAACTCTAGTTTTAATAGGTCAGACTGGGAGGTTGTCTCCCTCTCTCCCTCCCTCCCTCTCTCCCTCTTTTTTCATTTGTTACTCTTACTTTTAGTAGATAGGTGCTGAAGAAACAAAGATAATCAGCTCTTACTTTTAGTAGATAGGTGCTGGGGATATAAAGACAAAAACTCATAACCAATGAGGACATTCATGCAGAAAAATAATATAGCAGATATAAGTGCTAATGGAAGTGTGTGCAGTCTGATCAGACTACAAGACAAATCCAAGCCTCTGAGGAATGGGCATGGGTAGCTTCACTGAAGCGGTGTGGTTTCAGGAGCATTGAGTAGGCACTGCTGCAGTTCTTCCCAGCTCACTTGCTCGTGCATTCAACATGGATTTTCCCAATCAGGAAACATATTTTGACTACCTACTCTATGCTCTGCACTTTGCTAGGCACAGGGGATACAAATACTAACTAAATTCAGTTGTCCAAGGAGTTTATACTTTTAGCTTAATTCTAGTAGCTTGACGTAATGTCTCCCCACCCCGCCACATTTGTAATGCAGCTATCTCTGAGGATAGTAATATTTTAACCTGATATCAGTATTTTAATCTTATGCCTGCCTGCCTTCCGTCTTTCCATCCTTCCTTCCTTCCTTTTCATTTCTTGACAGAAAGGGTCAGACTGGGCTGTTGCATGGTGGTCTATCTATATTGGGGTAAGACAGAAGCCCAGGAACTGGATAGATTTATTGGGTCTCAGTAGTAACCAGGAAAGGCCTCTACTGTCTACTAGAAAACATGTTTTTAAGTCCTTCCCCTTCTGAATTCTCAACATGCTACAAATAATACACTGCACTCTGTCTTAAGTTGGTCCTTATAACCAAGGAAATGGCCCTCATTCCCAGCCTTAAGGTACTATGAGATGGTAGCTCAGGGGCTCATTGCCCTGATAGCCTGTTCTTGGATAATATGTGTAACCTCAGCTCACAGGTTTCTCCTTACCATGTTATATGCCCATTAATGATGTCATCTGAGACTGTATTAACAATAGTTATTCCCAGACATCCTATCCTTCCTCAGCAAATGGCTCATGCCAACACTTTCTGCATCTTTTCTGTTAGTGTTTGGAGAAATACTCATATCATATGTACAAACCAACTAAATTCATTCAGTTGCAAGTGATGAAATTCTTTTAAACAAACAAAGATAGATGTATTGACTCGAAAAACCAAATCATGAAATGATAGTGCTGGCCTTAGGAGCAACAGGAACCAGAGCTGCCAAAATGTACATTTGCACATTTTGCTTACTGCGCAGGTGCCCAGCCAAGGGAGCAAGTAGGAGCTGGGATCCAGCCCTTGTGCCATTCCCCAAGCTGTGCTCTTTGGCATGAGACTATGTACCCCATAGGTACCTTCTGCTCATGTGCAGGGCCAGGCCTGCCCAAAGGCAGTGCATTTCTCTCTACTTGGTCCACTCAGAGGAGATTCTCATCTTTTACCTATCCTCAGAACATTGTTTTCCCTTCTATTTCAATAAGAGCCTCACTATAGAGCTTGTGTGAATGAGATTCTCACAGCTTAAGTATGTTTGCAGGATACTCCTCACCAGCTAACCAAGTGTGATAATTGACTTGGCATGGTGATAGCATTGGTGTTGGTATCATTCACAGTCATTAGATGTTCCTTAATACTATCTGGGAGCATTATTGTCATCCTGAAAAGCAATATCATAAAAATTGTGGAAAGGAGGAGGTACAAGTCTAGCAACTATAAGTCAGGACCTTCTGAGGAAGAATTTGACTTTATATCAGAGGTACTTAGGAACAGAATTGATGCTGAGAAAAAACGTAAATCACCATTGGCAAGAGTAACTTGAGAAGCTCTTCAAAAATGCAGAGGAAATAAGAAAATGTGAAAGAGGATTATGAATATAGAAGATAGAACACAGAAGCTTTATCAGATAATTAGAAATGCTTTTGAAAAGTGTTCCAAACATTGGAAGCAGGTTAAATTAGGAAAGATAATGAAAATATTTCTTGATTTTTAGAAAAGATCTCAAATAGGTAAAATTAATAAAATGATACTTATATATAGTTAGGCACAAGGTTTGAATTATAAAGGGGAAAAATTCTCATGAGTACCCCCAACAAAAGTAAGAAAACAAATGAAGAGCTTATCTACAGAAGAAGTAATACTAGTTGGCAACAGACATTTTAATTTTTTTCAATAATAAATGCTGGAATACAAGGGAGCCACATCTGGAATTGTGGTAGCTGTGAGAGGAAGGAATGTTACCCCAAATTCAAATCGTTCTCATAGAGGCAAAGGACCAGTATATACCACCAACTAACTCTTTATGAAAAAGTTAATTGAACTTAGTCTCCAACTAAGTTTTAATAATGACATAATGAAGCCATTTTTAAAATACAAATCTTTATTAAAAACTTCATATGGAACTCCTTGCATGCATAGATTTCCTATTTATAGTTTTAACTGTTCTTAAGCAATCCAAAGACTTATGAAGCAGTTTTCAATTGTGTTGAAGTAGAAAGGTGCAAGGTGAGTTGAGCTGCAGAGCTAGGAAGCGAATATTATTATCCCACCATCTACATCTGCATAGATAGGGCTGTTTTCCTTACCTTAGTACACATTCAACTCCCCTAGAGTGATTAAAAGTAAAATTATTTCTTTGTTAAAAAAGGCCATCATCTGAGAGACAAATATTAGCTGAAGTAAAAAAGGCAATCAAGTAATACTCTAAGGACCTGCTCAGTAAACACAACTAGAAACGTGCTTATTATTTTACTCTACAAATATTTATTGAGCACTTACTATGTACTGGCCATTGTCCCAAATCTGCAAAAATAATGATGAATAAGACAGATATGATATTTGCTTTTCTAGAGCTAACAGAGAAATCAAACAATTAAGCCAATTACATAATTAAAAATTGTGAAAGGTATGAGAATAAGGATGAGAATTTCCTTTAGACAACATAAAAAGGACAGGTGCTTAAAAAAAAGAGATTACTGTCAAATGAGTCTTGAAGGATGAGGCAATTTTCATCATGAAGGTAGTTGGGGGCCTTTTTGCCATATAAATTTAGCACTTGTGCAGTTATTGTACCAATAAGCAGTGGAATAGGATGACCTGGTTTACATTTTTGAAAGATCCCTTTGTCTACCATAAGGAGAACAGGGCAGAGGAGGGTAAGGATAGAAGAAGAAATATCTGTGTTCAGGGTGGGAGATGGTGACATCCATGTGGCAGGTAGAAGGATGGCATGGAAAAGGTAGCAGCAGTGGAGAAAATGAGATTGTGTTTTAGTCTGAGACATATCAAGTCTGGGATGTCTGTATAACATTCAGATGGAATGTCAAGTAAGTAGTTAGGGATGTAATTCCTGAGGTCAGAGAAGTCAGAGGTACAAGTACAATTTATATTTGAGAATCAGCAGCATATAGATGACATTTAAAGCCATGGAAATTGATGATGCCATCAAGAAAGAAAGTGTGTATGCGGAAAAAATACCAGAATTGAATACTGTCTACAAAGCAAAACAGGGCAGACAGCAAGTCAGCACCTACACTAGGCTTGCCAGGCCATCATTCCTTGGGAAAAATTCTTGGATATAGGCATTTTAACATATGTTCAGATTCTCCATTGGTTATTGCATTTCCGGTCAAGGTCCAGGATCTAACAAGCACAGATATTGAACTACAGCCCTTGGTCTGTGGGACTTTTAAGCTGTCTGACCAAGGAAGCATCAGCCCTTCACCTGACACAATTAGTGCCTTGATTCAACAGCATTTGAGTGGTGGAGCTTTGCTCTAGCCCTGTTCTGCAAGCTCCATGTTTATGGCTGATGAAGCACCAGTCCTACTTCTGATGTGAACAGGGAACTGAGATCTAAGACTTGGAGTTGCAACTGTATGATGTGGTTGTTTACTGGCAGGATTTTCTATAACAGCATTATTGTTTGGAGAAACGTTAGACCCTCCCATGGTCTGGTCAGGTTCCTGGGGTCTAAGCCTTCTGATTGATTAGCATTTATTGACCAAAGCCCTGGGCTATAGCCAGTTTCCATGGAGCTTTGCTGGAGTCCTACAAGAAATGAGTCTTAAACAGGTTAATCCTTTACTCCCAATCTGCCTTCTGAATCCAAAAGGTGGTGTCTATGCACTATACCTCCATGTCAGAAATATATACTATTTCAATCCTGAGAGCTATGAGACCAGTCACTGACATCACTTTAAGAGACATGGGAAGATGGTTAGTAATAGTTGACTACCCCCAGGAGGCAGGTCATTCTCACCCGAAGACTGAGGGGAATTCCATTCATAATAACAACCAGGAGGGGCATATTCTCCAGTTTGAAAAGTATAGCCATGTCAGCAGCATCTGGAGCTGTAGCCCAGGGGTTGACCAAATGTTAACTAAAATTTGCAGCATTATTCTCAAGCCTTCTCTAATGATTCCTGAAAAGAGGAAGACTGCATGGCTTGTTCAGTCTCCAGTCCTATGATTCATTGTTGATAGTTACACTGGTGGGGTGCTATGTGGTATAATTCACTGGAGTTTGCCAGAAGGCACCAGAAGTAGGCAAAAACGTTGGTGTTATCAGGATACAGTAAGTGGCTACCAACTCTTCACCAGCCCATTCAGTACAAAGTAGTAACTCCAGCATCATGACAGATTAGCTGAGATGGTCACCACCTGTGAGAAACACATCAAAGGACTAAGTGGCCTAGGTGACAATTCTTCTGGAAATATTCAAGTTCAATTACTATGTATCCATATTCTGCCTCTCATGATTTCAGTCATCTCCTTTCAAATAGAAAAGGGGTGTCTCCTTGTTCTGGAAGTATCCTTACTCTCGGTGCCA
Source organism: Homo sapiens (assembly GCF_000001405.40). NCBI lineage: Eukaryota > Metazoa > Chordata > Mammalia > Primates > Hominidae > Homo > Homo sapiens. Next base: position 177,418,090 of record NC_000001.11, on the reverse strand, counting down.
TACTTGAGGCCAGTTATCTTGTCAGGGACCTTGGGGTCACCCTACCACCTCCATACAGTTCCAGATTCATAGTTCTGTGACACTGAATGCATGCATTTGCACTCAGAGTAAGCAAAGTGACATAGTGACACAGCAAGGTGTCTGGCCTCAGAAGTTCGATACACAGGGAACAAGGTAAAATTAATGTGGGCTCCCTCAAGTCACCTGATTGACTGGAGTACCAATCACCAGTTGGGAGGAAACAATGCCTTTACAGTGGTGTCTTCCCACTCCTTAGCACAGCATGTGGGCTGGACTTTACCACTTCCTGAGGGAGTCAGGGTAGTCGTAGTAGTGCCACTAATTAGCACAGTCGAACTAGAAACTGGCTTTTAAGCAAGTCTGGAAAATGTTATTTTAGGCATTACATCCTCAAGTTCAGAGAAGAGCTGAGAATGGCAGCAAAGCTACAAAGTTTAATAATATCTGATACAGTCCACCCCTAGGATTCTCAGTGTCCGAATACACCCTTCTATCCATATTGAACTTCTAAACAACAGTATCAGCAGCATGCAATGACCCAAGAGCTGTGTTCATGTATTATATGAATAAAAAGTTACCGTTTGTCTCCCCTAGAGATACAAAATCCTATGGATACACTTGTGGAGAATGTTCATTCCTTCCTTAGCACAGTCCAAATTCTCTTTGATATTATATAATGCAAAGACTAAATTAATCATTACTATCAATACATTGTATGTAAGACAATAGGAGAAGGAGAGAATTATAAAAGTGGCCTGAATCATTTTTGCTTACATTCTGCTAGCCAGTCATCTAGAAGAAAAATGGAAATTATCTGGTGAACAATAGCATTGCCTCTGTAATGCAAGAGAGCACAACGTTTCAGAAAAGAGAGACTTTTGATTAACCACATGTATCTATCTCTTATTTCCCTGACTCTGGAATAAGCCTTCAAAATGACAAAACGGGAGTTTTAAATACGTAGAAGTTGAAAAGGGCAAAGAGAATAGGAGGTTGAAAGACAGTGAAAGAAAGGCATCAACAAAATTTGGAAAATGATCAGTTGAATTAGATGGAGAAGTGGTAAATGTTTGAAAAGCGGGATGACAAAGAGAAAACCCATCTCCAAACCCCCTGAAAACTTCAGGTATTGGAAGAAAAGGGTGCATTGGTTAGGAATAATTCCAATAATAATGGGTGGGAAACAATCTTAAAACCTCGGGGGCATACAATAATCCCTTGTTATTCAAACTTCAGAAGACTAGTTGGTTCACTCATGCATTTGTGGGCCAGCGGGGGCTTTTCTCAAGGCTGGGCCTGGCCCAGCTCCTTAGCTGGGGCAACTCTTCTGCGCTTGTCTCTCACCCTCCCCTGAGGCCAGGAAGCTGGCACAATCATGTCCTTCTCACAGGAAGGCAGAGGCACAGGAGGACAAGTGAAAAAGCTAGGGTTAGGCTCAGAACTGGCACACTGTCACTCATACCTCATCTACTGGCCAAAGAGAATCACATGGCCAAGCCTAATAATCATATGGCCTAATAATCACATGGCCACAACTCTTGAGTGAAAGGAATTGCAGAGTCACATGGCAAAGGACATGAGTGAAGAATTAGTTCCACTAGTACAATCTGCCTGTCTTAGCTTGGGCTTCTATAAGAAAATACCATGGACTGGGTGGCTCCTAAGCAACAGAAATTTATTTCTCACAGCTCTGGAGGCTGGAAAGAGCAAGATCAAGGTGTTAGCAGATTCATTATCTGGTAAGAGCCTGCTTCCTGGTTTATAGACGGTGCCTTCTCACTGTGTCCTCACATGGTGGAAGGGACAAATTAGTTCCTTGGGGTGTCTTATAAGGGCACTACTCCCATTCAGGAGGGCTCTGCCTTCATAATCTAATCACATCCCAAATGCCTGACCTCCAAATACCATCACGCTGGGGATTAAGCTTTTACACTTGAATTTTGGAGGGCCATAAACATTCAGCCTATAGCACTGCCACAGCAGGACTGAGAGGATGACCTGAACATGAGAGAGCTGCATGGAAGTCTTGTGAGGAGCAGTTAGAACCTCAGGTTTCTCTCTCCAGTCCCATGAATAGCAGAGGGCTGGAGGGGCAGGAGAGGCAAATGTTAAAATAATAGGAAAAAGTAAAAGTCTACATTTGGAAAAATGAAACACTAGTCTCCACTCCCTATTTATCTCCCAGAACTCCAGGAAGTCTGGAAAATACATTGGTAGTCTTTTCTGGAAAAGCTGGATGGACCCAGAGAAAAGACCAACAGATAGTGCTCTACTGGAGCTGAATTGATGGAGGGACATGGTAAATGAAGGAAATTTCTAAAACAAGCAGTTAGTAATTATATATAATTATAAACATAAATTATATATATATGTGTATATATAAAATTAGGTATAATTTTACATATTTACAAAACATGTAAAATTACTATATATGCTATATATAGTAATATAACTATATATGCTATATATAGTAATATAACTATATATGCTATATATAGTAATATAACTACATATGTAAAATTACTATATATACACATATATAGTAATTATACACATGTATAGATTTTACATACCTGTATATAGTAAAATTATATATGATTTTACAGCAGTAATGAATTGGACATGAAATGGAATCAGCCCATGAAGACAATTATTTCAAAGGATGGTGATGAGAAATGAAGTGGTAAATGGAGGGATATGTGGATTATATATATATATATTTATTTAGTTAGTTAGTTTTTGAGACAGTCTTAGTCTGTTGCTCAGGCTGGAGTGCAGTGGTGCGATCTTGGCTCACTGCAACCTCCACCTCCCAGGCTCAAGCAATTCTCCTGCCTCAGCCTCCTGAGTAACTGGGATTACAGGTGCCCACCACCACATCTGGCTAATTTTTTGTATTTTTAGTAGAGACAGGGTTTCACCATGTTTGCCAGGCTAGTCTCGAACTCCTGACCTCAAGTGATCTGCCTTCTTCAGCCTCCCAAACTGCTGGGATTACAGGCGTGAGCCACCGCACCCAGCCTAATATTTTTAAAGTCTATTTTATGATGCAGGAGAGATAAGGATGAACGCTCAAAGTCTTTGAGAAGACAAAAATTTGATGTCCTCTAGAATACAGGTAATTCTGGACACCTCAGAAACATTAGCGGCATGTATCTCTGTTTAGAAACTGAGAGATTCTGTTTCTGTTTGTTACTTTGCAACATTGTGGAGATACACACACACACACACAAACACAGAGCAGGTGGTTATATTCATGCTGTGGGATAGGTGATTTTTTTTCATGTACTTTCCAAACTTTATATAATAAAGATGCATCAATTTCGAATATGGGGAAAATGTTATCTACTCATTTATTTATTAATATTTATTTGTTTCTTTCATAAAATGAATGTTTCTGAAAGGGCAGATAGACTACCAAGGAAGTGGTACTTTAAGTAAGTTGACATAATTTAAAATACTCTGTCTTTTGGGGAATGATTTTGCCTTAGGGGATGAATGGATGGCTTAACAGAATCCTGAAAAAAAAAAATCATTCCATCTCTTCCCTTCCTCTGCTCCTTTCTCTGCATAGTGGCCTTTCTTCACCACATCACAGTTGTCTCAGCCTCTCTCTCACTGTTTCACATGTTTTGTCTCTCACTCCCTCAGGCTATTTTCAGTTTGCCCCCTCCCACGGCCTGATCTATTTTCATGTAAAGAACATGATTTCTGAGAGTTCTACTTCATTTTTTTCTGGTCCCCCTGTGGACTGGCCTGAATACACTTTGTTAGGGAATTATGTTGCACCAACTGCAGGGAATGAATTAAATTACTAATGGATCATTCTCTCTCAGGACTCAGGGGAAAATGCAAGTAAGCTGGCTGTGTTATCTCAACTCCCATGGTTCTGCTAGGTATGCTAGGACCCCAGACTCTGGCTTTCTTACTATGTACTGGCCATTGTCCCAAATCTCTCTAGCCTCCCCGTCATCTCTGGAACCAAACGGATTTGGATTGGCACCTCTGCCTCTGACTAGTCATGTGGTTTTGGATAAATTCTTATGCTCCCTAAGCTTAGGTGTCATTTTTAGATGGGGGTAATAATACACACTCCACTGAATTCAAGGCTGGAAAACAGCTACCCCAGGTACAATAGGGTTCAGTGAATAGACATTTCCATCCTTTCTTCCTACTTAATTTTTCTACTTTTTCTTTTCCAGTTTATTTTCTTAACTAGAAAACTATAATGCTCCTGTCACAACATAAGGGATGTCCTGCCTTCAACTCTGTAGTTGTATCTAGGCTAAGCTCAGACACAAATATAGATGGAAATAAAGGAACTTAGCTCTGGGACAATGACAGCTGAGAGAGATTCTCTCTTAAGAAAACCTTTCTCAATTAAAACAAACAAAAATATAGCAGGCTGCCTATCTTCCACACCTGTATGATCTTAGCTATTTGTTCTGACCCAGGAACTACAATAGGTTCTTTCAGGCTTAACCTTGTTTAAACCTCAGGCAGCCTTGTGAGATATCATCATCCCCAAATCACAGAGAAAAGAAGTGAAGCTCAGAGAGGTTGCTCAAGGTCAAATGGCTGGTGAATGCTGAAGACAAGATTCAAAACTACAAGAAATCTGAACACTTCATAAGCTCTGAGGTAGATTCATCTGCTTTAATTTTGCAGCAATTTCCTGTCCCTGTTGCAAGAAGGGACACAATAGGAAACTGAACTTGAAGATACTAATTAATACAAAACACTGATATCTCTGTAGTTATTAGCATTGTTCTCTTTGAAAGGATTCTTCCTTTATTTCTTTTTTGTTACCTTCCTCTTAATAATTTATAACTCAGTGGAGTGGTTTTTTGGGATTACCAAGGAATTCATCCATTTGTTTGTTTATAACCTCTACACCCATCAACCTACTGTGTGCTGGAAACTGTGTAAGACATTAAAGATACACAGATATTGATGAGGTCACAGTCTTGCATGGAGAGACAAATATAAATGTACTATGACCGAGTCCTGTGGGAGGGGAGCATGGAGGAATGCTGATGCTATGTAACTGAGAGTGGATGCATCAGGTAGGAGGCATTCAGCCGCAAGTACTAGAAAACCCAGTTCGAACTGGTTTAAACAATAAGTAAAAATTATTATCTCACAAGACATAATGTCCAAGTCATGGTAGGCAAAAGTTACAGCATGACCAGGGCTCTGATTCCATTTCTCTGCTCCCCTCTCAGCTCTGCCTTCTTGTGTCGGCTTAATTTGACCTCAGCTCACCTAATGGATGCAGTATGATGGCCAGAAGCATCACCTTGGGCAATAGTTTTCTTGTTTGTGTCTAACAAAAGAGAGAGAAAAACTTCGGCTCAAATTGTGAAAACTTATTTCCCTTCATTCAGTACAGGTCACATACCCACTCCAGGGACAACAGCATTCACATGGGATGTAAAGGAACAGGATTATCATTATGGGTTTTGGTTAAAAAAAAAAAAAAAAGACCCCTTCCCTGAAATACACTTCACTGGAATCATGTACATGGTATAGAAAGTGAAACAAAGAAAGAATAGATGCTGGGTAGGTAACCAACAATGTCTATAGCAGTAGAATTCAGAGAGGGAGTGGCATTTGAGCTGGATGTTGAGGGGTGAATAAGAGCTCACCAGATAGCAAGGGTCAACAGTGCATTTCTAGTGAAGGAAACAGCTTGTGCCTTTGTGCAAGAGCCTACCACACTTGACGCCTGGGCTGCCAGTTCCATGGGAGCAAAGTGGAAGAGGGAAAGGGGGCTTGGAAGAGGTGGGGGCAGTCTAGGAAGGATCACACATCCCTTACAAAGTATTTGTTTTCAGTCTGCAGGCAATGGAGAAAAAATGATAGTATTTATTTGACGACAGGGAATATGAGGTTAAATTTCTTCCAGGAAGAGGTAGCCTCACAGACTGGAGTATAGAGAACAGAGAGGCTAGCAACAAGAAGAGAGCTGCAAAGTTTCAGGTTAAAGATGTTAAGTTCCTGGCTAAATCAAGCTGGATGTGGATGCAGAGCTAGGGACATATAAGGAGCCTTTGTGAAATCACATTTCCTCCTGAAATCCCTTCTCAGGGTCACTAAAACACAGGAATGAATTGACTGTGATGATGGAATGACAGAAGCAGCATCAGTGAGAGTGAGGCTGGAAGTGCACATATCTAATCCTGGAGCCAGAGGGCCAGGGGTTTCAGGTATAAGGAGGGGTGGGGGAATAGTTCACAATTAGCTTCCTTGCTTCCTGGGCTTTTCTGGGTCTGCAGTGTTTATCATTTGCACAGAGGCTTCTGAGTTAATAATGTGAGACTTGTGATCTTAAGAAGACATAAGGAGAGCCTCAGCACCCACTCAGTGGACCATGGGGTTCCTCCCTCTGGTTTGTGGTGAGCTGTTTCTTCTCTGCACATTCACTGAGATGCTGGCAGATTCCTGATCTTGTTACCAGGGGCTGTTTCTGCAGTTGCTGAGGCTGATATAATCCCTGCTCAGGATGGATTAGGGACTTGCGGCTCAGGCCAATTAGAACGTTTGTCAGGCAAAACCCACTGCCAGTGAGTAACAGAGGAGAAGCCTCTCATTCACTCCTAGCCCATCGTCTAGAGATGCAGGGCTTGGGGTGGGTCTTCCTAGGTAGTCTTTTATTTTAGAAGTCAAGTTCTTCTGTAAATTATTTTTCTCCATCCCATTGAATTACTAAGGGACTCCTCCAACTCTAATCTAGGTTAGAAATTTATCTTGATGGCACAGAATCTGGGTGGACGTCGTAGATAGCAGCATGGCCCTCCCCCTTCTGTGGCATAGCATCAGGAGGAGGCACTCTCCTTGCTAATTTCTCCTCTCTAATGGATCAGTTCTGGCAGCATCAAAACATGCTATAATATCTCACATAACATCAAGAACAACAACAAAGACCTCTTAGACCCCTGGTACTTTCCAACTACCGCTCCATTTCTCTCTTCCCCTGTATAGGAAAGCAACTCCAAAGAGTTGCCCAAATTGTTTCTATTTCCTTGTCCCCCATTCTCTCCTTAGTCCACAACAATCATGTTTTCATCTCTACTGTTGTATAGGAATTGTCCTTATCAAGACATTTGTGATTGCAGTCTGGGTAAATGCAATGTTAAGTTCTCAATCCCCATTGCTTAGTCTCTTACAGCACTTGACACATTTGATCATTCTTTTTTGAAACTTTTTTTTACTTAGCCTTCAGGTCGACATGCTTTTCTAGTCATCTGCCTGTGTAACTAGTTGTTTCTTGATCTCCTTGGCTGTATCCTCCTTCTTTAATTAGCCCCTAAATGCTGGAGTGTCCCAGGTCTCAATCCTTGGACCTCTTTTCCTTCTCTTATCTACTCACTCTCTGGATGAGCTCATCTAGGTTCGTGACTTTAAACACCATTAATATGCCAAAGACTCAAATATGTACTCTTGCAGTCCTGAGCACCATATTTATGTATCTAGCTACCTCCAAGATGCCTCTGTGTGGATGTCTACCTGGCAACTTGTGACGTTGTCATCTACTTTATAATACTATAACATAGAAAGTGTGCTCCAAAAGTGTATATTAGTTACTTTAAGCTACAGAGAGTTGCTTTAATCAGGAATCTGCACTACAGCTGGCTTCGTTGCAGAAAGGCCATCCTCCAGAGGCAGCTACCACAAGCACTTCAGCTATCTTTAACTCTGATCAACACCAGACATTTTGCTAATTAGCATGCTGAAGTCAAAACCGGGTTTTCATTTGTGAAATTAGTGGCTTGTTAATCAGCATAATGGATGTTAGAAATGGGCTTTTATAGGTCGAATTAGAGGTAATCAAGATATGGGAATTGGCTAAAATGTCATAGGGACATTTTCTACCCATATAAAAATAAAATATTAGAAGCTCTCAAGGCCTATAGGCTGTACTTTTAGAAATAGTACCTGAAGCTTAATTCTTTTTTTATTTATACAATTTTCAAATGATTTTTTTGCTTCAAAAAAATGCTAAACATTTTTTAATGAAAGTAAAACTGTCAAATGCGAATGTTAAATTCAGCCAGATGTTGACCTCAACTGTGAATTTAAATCTTTTTTATTTATTTATTTATTATTTAACTTTAAGTTCTGGGATATATGTGCTGAATGTGCAGGTTTGTTACACAGGTATACATGTGTCATGGTGGTTTGCTGCACCTATCAACCCATCATCTAGGTTTTAAGCCCCACATGCATTAGGTATTTGTCTTAATACTCTCCCTCCTCTTGCCCCCAACCCCCCCGCCCGAGAGGCCCCAGTGTGTGATGTTCCCCTCTCTTCGTCCATGTGTTCTCATTGTTCAACAACTCCCACTTATGAATGAGAACATGCGGTGTTTGGTTTTCTGTCTTTGTGATAGTTTGCTGAGGATGATAGTTTCCAGCTTCATCCATGTCCCTGCAAAGGACATGAACTCATTCTTTTTTATGGCTGCATAGTATTCCATGGTGTATATGTGCCACCTTTTCTTTATCCAGTCTATTATTGATGGGCATTTTGGTTGGTTCCAAGTCTTTGCTATTGTAAATAGTGCTGCAATAAACATAAGTATGCATGTGTCTTTATAGCAGAATGATTTATAATCCTTTGGGTATATACCCAGTAATGGGATTGTTGGGCCAAATGGTATTTCTGGTTCTAGATCCTTGAGGAATTGCCACAGTGTCTTCCACAGTGGTTGAACTAACTTACACTCCCACCAACAGTGTAAAAGCTTAATTCGTAAACACTTCCATTTCCAGCCATTAGGGCAAAGGATTTCTGGGTGTCTGACCTTGCCTTGGAGAATCATGCTGCTATAAAGACACATGCACACGTATGTTTATTGCGGCATTATTCACAATAGCAAAGACTTGGAACCAACCCAAATGTCCAACAATGATAGACTGGATTAAGAAAATGTGGCACATATACACCATGGAATACTATGCAGCCATAAAAAATGATGAGTTCATGTCCTTTGTAGGGACATGGATGAAACTGGAAACCATCATTCTCAGTAAACTATCGCAAGAACAAAAAACCAAACACCGCATATTCTCACTCATAGGTGGGAATTGAACAATGAGATCACATGGACACAGGAAGGGGAATATCACACTCTGGGGACTGTGGTGGGGTGGGGGTAGGGGGGAGGGATAGCATTGGGAGATATACCTAATGCTAGATGACGAGTTAGTGGGTGCAGCGCACCAGCATGGCACATGTATACATATGTAACTAACCTGCACAATGTGCACATGTACCCTAAAACTTAAAGTATAATTAAAAAAAAAAAAGAAAAGTAAAAAAAAAAAAAAAAAAAAAGAAGGACAATTGGGGAGTGAGCTGTCTCTTTGTGAGCTGTGCCCCTGTTCACCAATTCATTCTTGTAACTTATTCTTCTTGCATCCCTGTAGTAAGTGCTGAGGATGCAATTGTGAGCAAGCCAGACAAATTATCTGCCCTCATGGAATTTACAGTCCAGAGAGTCACAAACAGCAAACAAGAAAGTTTGTAATGAGAGTTATAAAGAAAATAATAGAAGACCAAGATAGAGAATGTCAGGGGACATTATTTTATAGAAGGTGGTTAGAGACAGCATCTCTGAAGAGATCATCTTATGCTGAGACCTGAAGGATGAGAGTGAGCAGGGTGTATGGTACAGTGCATGGCAAGTGCAAAGGCCCTGAGGTAGAAAAGGTGGCTGACTCCTAGGACTAAAAGACCTTACATGGCTAGAGAGCTGTGAGTGAAGGTGGGTTCTGTGTCCAGGGACTGGGCATCCAGGTCTTACCCAAGGTGGGTTATATACATATTATAATCCACAGTATATATTCAATTATAAACCAGTATATATATGGTATATTATATATATGTTATAACCAACACATATACACACACATATATATTTTCAATTGTAAAACTGAAATATTTTGGGTTATAGTAAAATTCTTATATTTTAAAAATTGCTCTGTAGGCTAGGTGGAAATGGATCAGGTGTCAAGCCAGCATGAAAGCAGAGAGGTTAACTAGAAGGCAGTTGAGATGCTTGAGCTAGAAATGGCAGAGGTTTGGACTGAGACAGTGGCAAGTGAAAGGGAAAGACATCACCAGATGAGGGCTCTATTTTGCAGGTGGAATAGGCAGGAGCTGGGAAAGAGTGGAGCAAGGGTATCCAGGGCTAGATACATGACAGGCCATCAATAAACACAGAATTATATTGTATCCTTGGGAAAAGAGGAGAAATAAGAATGTTTCCCAGACTTCTAGCTTTCACAACAGGAAGGAAGGGCATTGTTGCTTTCTGAGATGGGAAAGACTGAGAGAGAAATAGCATTCATAGGAGTATTTACTTCTGATTTGAATATTTTAATTGTGAGATGGCTTCCGCACATCGCGTTAAGTAAATATTTGAATACGCCACACCAGAGAGAGGAGAATTCTGGGCTAGATCTAGCAGTTTAGGATCCTTTTGAATACAGAGGGTGTTTAGAGCTGTGGGAATGGATAACATCATCCAGGAAAGACTAGAGAAGTGAAGATATTCCAGAACGAGGCCCTGGGGAAATCTAACGGTCCTGGTCAGTTAGAAGAGGAGAGGCTAAGAAGGAAATGAGAAGAGTGAAATAAGAAGTCCAGGATAGTGAGTTATCCTGGAGACAAAAGAAGAAAATGTTTCCTGTAAGAAGTTTGTCAGTTAAGCTGACTGCTGGTGAAACACTAAGAGGGATGACGAGGGAAAAGCGTAGATCGCATTTGGCAACACAGAGGTTGTTAACTTTGACAACAGTAGTTTCCGTTAAGTAATGGCAACGGAAGTCAGGCGTTAGTTGAAGAGTAAATTGGAGATGCAGAGAGTAGAGGAAGATTGCTTAGAAAAACCTTTTAGGAAGCTTGACTGTGAAGAGGGGCAGAAAAATATTGCATACTAGAGAAGTATGTGGGGTCAAGGGAGAACGTACCACTTTTTTTTGTCTATTAGGAGATTATAGAACTTCTTTGATACTAATAAGACTGTTTCAGTAGAGAGGGAGAGATTGTGTGGAAAAGAGGGGAGAGGTTGCCTTTAAAAGTCAACGGAGAATGAGATCCAAAGTAGAACCAAAAAGACACAGGAGCCAAGATGGCCGAATAGGAACAGCTCCAGTCTACAGCTCCCAGCGTGAGCGACGCAGAAGACGGGTGATTTCTGCATTTCCATCTGAGGTACTGGGTTCATCTCACTAGGGAGTGCCAGACAGTGGGCGCAGGTCAGTGGGTGCGTGCACCGTGCGCGAGCCGAAGCAGGGTGAGGCATTGCCTCACTCAGGAACCGCAAAGGGTCAGGGAGTTCCCTTTCCTAGTCAAAGAAAGGGGTGACGGACGGCACCTGGAAAATCGGGTCACTCCCACCCGAATACTGCGCTTTTCCGACGGGCTTAAAAAACGGTGCACCATGAGATTATATCCTGCACCTGGCTGGGAGGGTCCTACGCCCATGGAATCTCGCTGATTGCTAGCACAGCAGTCTGAGATCAAATTGCAAGGCGGCAGCGAGGCTGGGGGAGGGGTGCCCGCCATTGCCCAGGCTTGCTAAGGTAAACAAAGCAGCCGGGAAGCTAGAACTGGGTGGAGCCCACCACAGCTCAAGGAGGCCTGCCTGCCTCTGTAGGCTCCACCTCTGGGGGCAGGGCACAGACAAACAAAAAGAGAGCAGTAACCTCTGCAGACTTAAATGTCCCTGTCTGACAGCTTTGAAGAGAGCAGTGGTTCTTCCAGTAGGCAGCTGGAGATCTGAGAACGGGCAGACTGCCTCCTCAAGTGAGTCCCTGACCCCTGACACCCGAGCAGCCTAACTGGGAGGCACCCCCCAGCAGGGGCACACTGACACCTCACACAGCCGGGTACTCCAACAGACCTGCAGCTGAGGGTCCTGTCTGTTAGAAGGAAAACTAACAAACAGAAAGGACATCCACACCAGAAACACATATGTACATCACCATCATCAAAGACCAAAAGTAGATAAAACCACAAAGATGGGGAAAAAACAGAACAGAAAAACTGGAAACTCTAAAAAGCAGAGCACCTCTCCTCCTCCAAAGGAACGCAGTTCCTCACCAGCAACGGAACAAAGCTGGACGGAGAACGACTTTGACGAGCTGAGAGAAGAAGGCTTCAGACGATCAAATTACTCTGAGCTACGGGAGGACATTCAAACCAAAGGCAAAGAAGTTGAAAACTTTGAAAAAAATTTAGAAGAATGTATAACTAGAATAACCAATACAGAGAAGTGCTTAAAGGAGCTGATGGAGCTGAAAACCAAGGCTTGAGAACTACGTGAAGAATGCAGAAGCCTCAGGAGCCGATGCGATCAACTGGAAGAAAGGGTATTAGCGATGGAAGGTGAAATGAATGAAATGAAGCAAGAAGGGAAGTTTAGAGAAAAAAGAATAAAAAGAAATGAGCAAAACCTCCAAGAAATACGGGACTATGTGAAAAGACCAAATCTACCTCTGATCGGTGTACCTGAAAGTGACGGGGAGAATGGAACCAAGTTGGAAAACACTCTGCAGGATATTATCCAGGAGAACTTCCCCAATCTAGCAAGGCAGGCCAACGTTCAGATTCAGGAAATACAGAGAACACCACAAAGATACTCCTCGAGAAGAGCAACTCCAAGACACATAATTGTCAGATTCACCAAAGTTGAAATGAAGGAAAAAATGTTAAGGGCAGCCAGAGAAAAAGGTCGGGTTACCCTCAAAGGGAAAGCCATCAGACTAACAGCGGATCTCTCGGCAGAAACCCTACAAGCCAGAAGAGAGTGGGGGCCAATATTCAACATTCTTAAAGAAAAGAATTTTCAACCCAGAATTTCATATCCAGCCAAACTAAGCTTCATAAGTGAAGGAGAAATAAAATCCTTTACAGACAAGCAAATGCTGAGAGATTTTGTCACCACCAGGCCTGCCCTAAAAGAGCTCCTGAAGGAAGCACTAAACATGGAAAGGAACAACCAGTACCAGCTGCTGCAAAATCATGCCAAAATGTAAAGACCATCGAGACTAGGAAGAAACTGCATCAACTAACGAGCAAAATAACCAGCTAACATGATAATGACAGGATCAAATTCACACATAACAGTATTAACTTTAAATGTAAATGGACTAAATGCTCCAATTAAAAGACACAGACTGGCAAATTGGATAAAGAGTCAAGACCCATCAGTGTGCTGTATTCAGGAAACCCATCTCACGTGCAGAGACACACATAGGCTCAAAATAAAAGGATGGAGGAAGATCTACCAAGCAAATGGAAAACAAAAAAAGGCAGGGGTTGCAATCCTAGTCTCTGATAAAACAGACTTTAAACCAACAAAGATCAAAAGAGACAAAGAAGGCCATTACATAATGGTAAAGGGATCAATTCAACAAGAAGAGCTAACTATCCTAAATATATATGCACCCAATACAGGAGCACCCAGATTCATAAAGCAAGTCCTGAGTGACCTACAAAGAGATTTAGACTCCCACACATTAATAATGGGAGACTTTAACACCCCACTGTCAACATTAGACAGATCAACGAGACAGAAACTCAACAAGGATACCCAGGAATTTAACTCAGCTCTGCACCAAGCGCACTTAATAGACATCTACAGAACTCTCCACCCCAAATCAACAGAATATACATTTTTTTCAGCACCACACCACACCTATTCCAAAATTGACCACATTCTTGGAAGTAAAGCTCTCCTCAGCAAATGTAAAACAACAGAAATTATAACAAACTCTCTCTCAGACCACAGTGCAATCAAACTAGAACTCAGGATTAAGAATCTCACTCAAAACCACTCAACTACATGGAAACTGAACAACCTGCTCCTGAATGACTACTGGGTACATAACGAAATGAAGGCAGAAATAAAGATGTTCTTTGAAACCAACAAGAACAAAGACACAACATAGCAGAATCTCTGGGACACATTCAAAGCAGTGTGTAGAGGGAAATTTATAGCACTAAACGCCCACAAGAGAAAGCAGGAAAGATCCAAAATTGACACCCTAACATCACAATTAAAAGAACTAGAAAAGCAAGACCAAACACATTCAAAAGCTAACAGAAGGCAAGAAATAACTAAAATCATAGCAGAACTGAAGGAAATAGAGACACAAAAAACCCTTCAAAAAATTAATGAATCCAGGAGCTGGTTTTTTGAAAGGATCAACAAAATAGATAGACCGCTAGCAAGACTAATAAAGAAAAAAAGAGAGAATAATCTAATAGACGCAATAAAAAATGATAAAGGGGATATCACCACCAATCCCACAGAAATACAAACTACCATTAGAGAATACTACAAACAGCTCTACGCAAATAAACTAGAAAATCGAGAAGAAATGGATAAATTCCTCGACACATACACTCTCCCAAGACTAAACCAGGAAGAAGTTGAATCTCTGAATAGACCAATAACAGGAGCTGAAATTGTGGCAATAATCAATAGCTTACCAACCAAAAAGAGTCCAGGACCAGATGGATTCACAGCCAAATTCTACCAGAGGTACAAGGAGGAACTGGTACCATTCCTTCTGAAACTATTCCAATCAATAGAAAAAGAGGGAATCCTCCCTAACTCATTTTATGAGGCCAGCATCATTCTGATACCAAAGCCTGGCAGAGACACAACCAAAAAAGAGAATTTTAGACCAATATCCTTGATGCACATGGATGCAAAAATCCTCAATAATACTGGCAAACCGAATCCAGCAGCACATCAAAAAGCTTATCCACCATGATCAAGTGGGCTTCATCCCTGGGATGCAAGGCTGGTTCAATATACGCAAATCAATAAATGTAATCCAGCATATAAACAGAGCCAAAGACAAAAACCACATGATTATCTCAATAGATGCAGAAAAGGCCTTTGACAAAATTCAACAACCCTTCATGCTAAAAACTCTCAATAACTTAGGTATTGATGGGACATATTTCAAAATAATAAGAGCTATCTATGACAAACCCACAGCCAATATCATACTGAATGGGCAAAAACTGGAAGCATTCCCTTTGAAAACTGGCACAAGACAGGGATGCCCTCTCTCACCACTCCTATTCAACATAGTGTTGGAAGTTCTGGCCAGGGCAATTAGGCAGCAGAAGGAAATAAAGGGTATTCAATTAGGAAAAGAGGAAGTCAAATTGTCCCTGTTTGCAGATGACATGATTGTATATCTAGAAAACCCCATTGTCTCAGCCCAAAATCTCCTTAAGCCGATAAGCAACTTCAGCAAAGTCTCAGGATACAAAATCAATGTACAAAAATCACAAGCATTCTTATACACCAACAACAGACAAACAGAGAGCCAAATCATGAGTGAACTCCCATTCACAATTGCTTCAAAGAGAATAAAATACCTAGGAATCCAACTTACAAGGGATGTGAAGGACCTCTTCAAGGAGAACTACAAACCACTGCTCAAGGAAATAAAAGAGGATACAAACAAATGGAAGAACATTCCATGGTCATGGATAGGAAGAATCAATATCGTGAAAATGGCCATACTGCCCAAGGTAATTTACAGATTCAATGCCATCCCCATCAAGCTACCAATGCCTTTCTTCACAGAATTGGAAAAAACTACTTTGAAGTTCATATGGAACCGAAAAAGAGCCCGCATCGCCAAGTCAATCCTAAGCCAAAAGAACAAAGCTGGAGGCATCACACTACCTGACTTCAAACTATACTACAAGGCTACAGTAACCAAAACAGCATGGTACTGGTACCAAAACAGAGATATAGATCAATGGAAGAGAACAGAGTCCTCAGAAATAATGCCGCATATCCACAACTATCTGATCTTTGACAAACCTGAGAAAAACAAGCAATGGGGAAAGGATTCCCTATTTAATAAATGGTGCTGGGAACCGGCTAGCCATATGTAGAAAGATGAAACTGGATCCCTTCCTTACACCTTATACAAAAATCAATTCGAGATGGATTAAAGACTTAAACGTTAGACCTAAAACCATAAAAACCCTAGAAGAAAACCTAGGCAATACCATTCAGGACATAGGCATGGGCAAGGACTTCATGTCTAAAACACCAAAAGCAATGGCAACAAAAGACAAAATTGACAAATGGGATCTAATTAAACTAAAGAGCTTCTGTACAGCAAAAGAAACTACCATCAGAGTGAACAGGAAACCTACAAAATGGGAGAAAATTTTCGCAACCTACTCTTCTGACAAAGGGCTAATATCCAGAATCTACAATGAACTCAAACAAATTTACAAGAAAAAAACAAACAACCCCATCAAAAAGTGGGCAAAGGACATGAACAGACACTTCTCAAAAGAAGACATTTATGCAGCCAAAAAACACATGAAAAAATGCTCATCATCACTGGCCATCAGAGAAATGCAAATCAAAACCACAATGAGATACCATCTCACACCAGTTAGAATGGCAATCATTAAAAAGTCAGGAAACAACAGGTGCTGGAGAGGATGTGGAGAAATAGGAACAGTTTTACACTGTTGGTGGGACTGTAAACTAGTTCAACCACTGTGGAAGTCAGTGTGGGGATTCCTCAGGGATCTAGAACTAGAAATACCATTTGACCCAGCCATCCCATTACTGGGTATATACCCAGAGGACTATAAATCATGCTGCTATAAGGACACATGCACATGTATGTTTATTGCGGCACTATTCACGATAGCAAAGACTTGTAACCAACCCAAATGTCCAACAATGATAGACTGGATTAAGAAAATGTGGCACATATACACCATGGAATACTATGCAGCCATAAAAAATGAAGAGTTCATGTCCTTTGTAGGGACATGGATGAAACTGGAAATCATCATTCTCAGTAAACTATCGCAAGAACCAAAAACCAAACACCACGTATTCTCACTCATAGGTGGGAATTGAACAATGAGAACACATGGACACAGGAAGGGGAACATCACACTCTGGGGACTGTTGTGGGGTGGGGGGAGGGGGGAGGGATAGCATTGGGAGATATACCTAATGCTAGATGACGAGTTAGTGGGTGCAGCGCACCAGCATGGCACATGTATACATATGTAACTAACTTGCACAATGTGCACATGTACCCTAAAACTTAAAGTATAATAATAAAAGAAAAAAAAACAAAAAACAAAGTGGAACCAAAAAAATAAAGATTGGCTTTTGGTAGGAGGAGGGTTTTTATTTAATGGAACTCAGGATGTAAAGAGTGCTTGCTTTTCTTATTTAATTGCTGAGGCCAACAGCTGAGAATCATAGATGGGAGCATCTCTGCTTTCTGATGTCAGGCAGTGCACCATTTAGGCAAGACTTGGAGAGAGACGTTTTGCCCCCTTAACCCATCAGTTAACTTCAGGCAATATAAGACATAAGAAATATATAAGAAAGGCAAGGCGCAGCGGCTCACACCTGTAATCCCAGCACTTTGGGAGGCCAAGGCGGGCAGATCACGAGGTCAGGAGTTCAAGAGCAGCTTGACCAACATGGTGAAGCCCCGTATCTATTAAAAGTATAAAAATTAGCCAGGCGTGGTGGTGTGCATCTGTAATCCCAGCTACTCAGGAGGCTGAGGCAGGAGAATCGCTTGAACCTGGGAGGCGGAGGTTGCAGTGAGCCAAGATTGTGCCACTGCACTCCAGCCTAGGCGACAGAGTGAGACTCCATCTAAAAAAAAAAAAAAAAAAAAAGAAATATGTAAGAGTTCATGAGAGAGCTGGTAGTGAGTGAGAGGCTTGGGAGATGGTCAGTTTGCTGCTCCTCCTGACATGAGAGAGCAGGGGGGCTTTCCTCCCTCTCCAAGCCAATAAGGAGGGCTTTCTCTATCCCTGGAGGCTGGGGCACTCAGAAACTGTTGCCTCCCTGACAATACCTAAAAATGTCTATGGATGAAAGCCTGTGAGGAGTCATCAGTGGCAGCAGGGCAAACATTCTTTGGGAATGGCCTGCACTTCCAAAGCCACCAGGACCAAATGTTTTGGTTGGTTTTGTTTTCCTGTGGGCCACAAACCTGACAAAAGGTAGTGAGTCTTGAGATTTCTTGAAAGGCTTCTTCCCAGTAGGATATTCTAGAGAGATGAGGTACCACCAGAGTGAGAGTCTGTATTGATGGGCTGGAACCCAGGGGATGTCAGTAGAACCATAAGAGACCCACTGGAGAGGACAATTCCCACATAAGGGAACTGCTGATGGGAAGCTCCCAGCAGGGAGACATGTGAGGGACCCACAAAGCAACCAATCAGGGAAAGAGCTACATTTGAGCTATGGTACACAGAGGGCCCCAGTGCCAGGATACAAACACACCAGCAAAGAAAGATGGTGGGCTTTTCTCTGAACACTGTTCTCCGGAGATCAGCCCAAGAGGGAACCAGGAACAGGATTTAGACAGCAAGAAAGAGATGGAGAAGGAGAAGAAATGCAGAAGTAGGCAAAAAAAATAAAGAAATCAATCTCATCCTCCTTCCTCATTCCAGGCTCTCGGACCTGAGTGAAAGTCCAGCAACTATGTGGAGCAAAGCCATGGGGGCAGTGAAATTGGATGAGATGTTGAAGTTTTGACATCAGACTGGGTTTGACTTTCTAAATACTTTAAAAACCATATATATATATATATTATATATATATAATATATATTATATATATTATATATATATAATATATATTATATATAATATATATTATATATATTATATATATATAATATATATATATAATATATAATATATATATAATATATATTATATATATTATATATAATATATATTATATATATAATATATATTTAATATATAATATATATTATATATATAATATATATTTAATATATAATATATATTATATATATAATATATAATATATTATATATAATATATAATATAATTATATATATTATATATTATATATAATATAATTATATATATTATATATTATATATTATATATAATATATTATATGTATATATAAATTAAGAACAGAGAATGACAGGAGAAGTACTGATATGCCTGAGAGCCATCCTGGGGTGGGGAAGAACAATTCCATAGAGGGAGTATAAATGGGCGAGAAGGAGTCAAGTTGCTTTCTGCCTGCCCCTTGCTGATTCCAGCTTGTTCAATAAACTGGTTATGGTTTAAATTTGTTTCTATCTTAAAACATCGTGATGTTTATATTGTTGCAGTCCAAATAAAACTTACGTATGACAGTTTACAAGCACTGCTGTGATTCCTGGTCTAGCATGTTGTAGACCAGGTTTATATATTTAAAGGCATCCATATGCCTAGCAGGTAGCAAAAATGGATGAGGCAGGTGAGGAGCAATAGAGAAGAATGATGACTGGAGAATGCCTGGCCTTTAATGTTTTAGCACCCCTCTTTGGGTCAAACCACACAAATATGCAAACTACAAATGACTTTTGTGTTAGATATACAAAAGTATCTTCCCCTACTCAGGCCTTTGTAAGCCTACTGCATTAAGTGTGTCTGTGGGAGGGGACAGGGAACAAAGCAATATGACATGCCTCCGCCTCACATACACATACTATGATGATGTCGCTTACTAGAAAAGTGTAGAAATATTTTGAGATTTCCAAAATCTATAATTTATGATTCTTGTCAGCATTCTAGTTACACACAGGAAAGCATCAACCTGCCATCTGAACGTTGACAGGAGAATAGATGAGGAGAGAAACAGAGAGTGTGCTTCACAAAAACTCCTCTTCCCATCACAGGCCAGATCCTGGTAATGAACACCAACGCCAACCATTGCCCAACCATTGCTTTACCAAGGATCCACTTTTTAAAGGGCTTCAGTTCAATTCATTCAGTTTTTACTGAGTGCCTAGGATATATGAGAAAATATTAGGAGGTCAGCTTTGACCAGAAGAAACTGTACATTCTTGTACACAATCTTGTCATTTAGAATTCTGCCTGACTAGCAATATATTAGCCTGAAGCAAAATATCCTGTCAGCAAATAAGAGCTCCCTCAACCTAAAACAAAACATATGAGGGAAATAGAAAAACAGAATTTCAGAATGTGAATAATCATATGCTAGAGAAAAGGAAAAGTAATTGTATTTCATTAAATGTTTGCTTTCTAAATGATTCCCTAAAATGGAACCAATATTCATTTCTTTACGTTTTTTTGAAAATGCCCCAGATTCTTACATTGGAAGGGTCCTCAAAGGCTATCCAGACAACATTCTCACATGGAAGAGTTGCTCTTTATGGTAGGACCCCCTTCCAGATGGTTCATCCCACATAAGCTTGTTCACTTATGATGATCAGAACCAGGTTCTGGCGCTGTGAGCTGTCCCAAACCAGATGCAACTAGCTGATGGAATCTAGAAAGATCTATGGTGCTGGGCAAAGGTTAAGGGCCTGGTCATACAAGATGCATGGATCTGTATCTGAGAATTGGTCTATAATCAGGAAATAACCATGGTGGTAATGACGGGTGAAAAGACAAGGGAGGCAGAGGTAGCACTGAACAAGGACCTAACTAAATCTTGGAAGTAGTAGTCTGCTCAGGCCAGGGCAGGACATCGATAGACAACCAGAGTGGTTCTGGTTGAGAGATCTGACTGCAAGAATCAGTAAAATCTCTGAAGACCTGAGAACAAGGCAAGGACTCAGAATTAAGGAAAGGAGTCTCTAAGAATGCAGTAATGTCTGGAACAAGAGTGTCCAGAGAACAAGCCTTGAGCAACTGATAGACATCTCTCTGTCCCTTCTTCCGAGTTAGTGCTGGCCTGGGTGGCATTTGCCTGCTGGTGTACCTTGTTTTATCATCTAGATACATTGTTTTTATCATCTAGAAGAGGAGAGATGTGAAACATAATGTGTCCTGTTCCCTTGACAGGGGACTGTGAGATTCCATCCATGATAGGCTAAATCTAAATTTTGCAGAATTTTCCTTAAATCGAATGGCTTCCTCTTCTTTAATTATTTTCTTCTTTTGATCTTCATTATGCCACCTTCTCCTGGTTTTTATTGTATATGATTGGCCTTATCTTTTACTGGCTCTGCTTCCTCTACCTGGTCTCTAAATATTAAACACTTGTAAGGCTCAGTTTTGAGGTCTTTCTTCTATTTCCTTCCATTCCTACTCGCATGGGTCATGTCCCATCTATGCGTTGATGATTCCCAATTTTTGTTGCTCTAACCAAGACCTCCTCCTTGAGCTCCAGACACATGCATCTAGCTTCCTACATGATATATCCACGTGTGAGTCAAATTGGAATTTCAATGTAATATATCCAAAACATAACTGTTAACTCTCTCTGTTGTCCACAACCTGTTCCACCCACTCTTTCCTCTATCTTACTAAATGGCAGCACCATCCAATGGAACATTTAAGCCAAGAACCTAAGAGTCCTCCTTCATTCCCCCTTTTCCTTATGGCCCCCTCAACATCCAATTCCTTCAGCGAATCCTGTTATTTTTATATATAAAGTGTTTCTGGAACCAATCCATTTCTTTCTGCCACATTACCACCCTACTCCAATCTACTGTCCTCTGTCCTCTCAAATACTGTTCCGTGTAAACTCCCACATACTCTGTTCTGTACTCAATAGCCAGAGTGATCTTTTAAAAGTACAAGTTAGATAATTTGCTCCTTGAACAAGTCCTGCCCATGCAAAATGTACATAGTAATCTCCCATCACAATCAAAATCCAAAAAGCCTTGTCTGAGCTTCCTCTACCTACCTATCCAGTTTCATCTTGGTACTACATTCTCATTCACCTTCCCTCAGCCACACCCTGCTCTCTTGTTACAATAGCTAAGCCTTAATCCTGAGTGAAGGCCTTTTCACTTGAGTTTTACCTGGCCCAGAAAGCTCTTTCTAAAACTGGCTGGCTCTTGTCATTCTGGTCTCAAAATGTCTCCTCCTTGGAAGGACTTCCCTAGCACCCAGCCTAGAGAGCTCTGCCCCCACCCTCACACTCCGCCTTTGGTCTTATTCTCTTTCTTAATACTACATTCCTTTCCCCACAGTACCTGTCAGTGTATAAAGTCATTTATCTTGTTGATTATCTGTCTCCTCATCACTAGAATATGAACTCCAGGAGAACAGGGACCTAATCTATCTTGTTCCTTGTTAGAGTCCTATACATAGAAAGGAGGCTACTAAATCTGGGTGTTTAATGATCATTTATTGAGTAAAAGTGAACTCTACCTGCATATAACTTCCACTCATTGATCAGCTGGAGGTATGTTCAGTAAGTCTATTATTTCTTCAATGTGACAACCCTTTCAATATTTGAAGGAAGCCTTTATTATGTTGCCAATATATCTCTGTGTATGTGTATGATGTCTTTCTCTTGACTAAATATCTTCAAGTATTTAAATTAATCCTCATATGAAAGAATTTCCATATACTTCACTATCCAGGTCACCTGCCCCTGGATAAACTCCGAAAGAAGACTCTCCAAAGTTAGTTCCAATGGTGTCTAAAAATAAACCGAATGACGCCAAACATAGGTAGTAGAAAAAATGCTTTCAGGCTGAAATTAACAGCCAACTTCTGTTCTGGTCTGAAGTATTTTTCTGTAATGCAGAATTTAAGGCATAGAAAATATTAAAAGATTTTCTTCTATCTTTTAGAGCAAATAGTTCCCTCCCACAGCCCCCAGTCAATCAATCTTAGACATGTATTATTTACTTTCTTGCTTACTTCTTCCTGGGCTCTGATCTAAGAGAGGCAGACTAGAAGAAGACAGGGTCTCTGCTGGTATTTTCAGCTCTTTCCTCTCCTCTGAAGTTCAGATGTGAACCTCCTATTTCCTAGTCAACACCTTCCCAGTTGTTTCACAAGCACCTCTTATTCAACACCTATCCCAAATTAGACTTTCCTCTCCCTCCCCCAACCTTCTCTTCTCTGTTCTTTCCAATGCCTATAAATGATACCACCATCAATCCAGTCATCCAAGCTCCAAACCTCAGAGCCATTTTAGACCTTTTCTTTCTTAATATTCAGATCCAATCAGTTTTCAACTCTGCCAATTTTACCCGTTTCTTCACCTCTATTTTCACAGCGCTAACTCAGGCCTTTATAACCTCTTAGTTGTAGCCTCCTGAACTGGGCTCCTGTTTTCCCACCCCTGCCTTGCTTCATTTAAGTCTTTTCTACATTGCAGTCATGGAGACTTCCAGTGCAGCTCCATGATGATGGAGCCCAAACACCTGGCATGCTACCTGAAGCCTCCTTTTGCCTGACCTACCTCCCTCTGGTAACCTTTCTTGACTCGCACTTAATTCTAAGAAAACAAAGTCAAGAATTCTCCCTAAATACCACATACACTCGTCTTCTATGCCTTTTCTTTTCCCCTCTACTTGGACTTCCCTTCTCAACTTTCTTCACCTTTCTAATACCCTCAAGGACTAGAGGAACAGCTGCTCCTCTAGGGAGCCTTTCTGACCCACTAGTTGGGCTATAAACCCCTCTTTTCTGCCAAGACAGGGCCCAGCATGATTTCTTATCTAAAGCACCCAACAGGAGCTATTGAAATTATTTGTTTTTTATATCCTCACAAGGCTGCAAGTTCCTTAAAGGCAAAAAAAACTCTTATTTATCTTTGTACTTCCCCTCTAAGACCTGGCTAAGTGGGAAGCACATAGTAGGTATTTCATAAATATTAACTGATCTGAAAGATCGTTTAAGAGGCTGAAACTTAAATCTAGATGAAGCACTCTTAGGCCTAAAATAACATCAGAATGTCCCTACATTACAAAATAAGAGTGTTTCTAGTTCTTCATCATTCACAGTTCCTGATATTTCACATCTTGTGTTCAGAAACACTTCTAATAAAATTTATCATGCTCCAGCAGCAGAATTCGGGGGACTTAGGGTGGTTAGTGGTGCAATTATATGTTCTCTCTTACCTTTTTATCTGTGGCTAAACCTATGTTAAATAGTATGGATGGCAAGATGTGTCCAAGGCCAAGATGATGAAGTTTCCTGTGATTTAAAAGTAGTGCATAGCTATTAAACAATGGAGACTCCATTGTGCTATTGTTATTTATGCACATCTCTTAGTCCCTACTACAATGCTTCCACCTGGGAGGCAAGGCTTGGGGCTTATTTAGCCTTGAAACTATTAGACTGTCCATCTCAATGTCCGAAACAGAGGATGGCCTCCGTCAATGTGTATTGAATTGAGTTGAGGCTGCCAAGTGGAAAGGAGGTTCATTGAGACACCAATTTGTTTGTGATAGTCATGGAAAAATATGTAGCAACGATTTCTTTCTCTTTACAGTGAACTTGCTTGTCAAATGCCTCTTTAAAAAGAAAGTGAAGATAACTGCAAGTCAGCTGGAAGTGCTGCCAAGATATGACCTCCAGGAAGGCCCAGAAGACAAGTGATATTGTGTGGACTGCTACAGCGCAATGTCTAACTGATGCAAAATGAAGAATCAATTTGAAATTAAGATGAGTAAAGGCATCCAGCACTTACAGCAAAAAACATTGTCATCAGGCCCTGGGGAGATGAGGACACCTCCCTTCCCTTCTCAGGCTCCCTTTCCCTGTCAGACTCTAGCTCTCAAAGGCTGTCATCCTCCAAGGGTATTCCCTACGTACTGCATAGCATCTCTGTTACCCTTTGAATTCAACAGTATTCATCTCCTCCAACATTCATTCATTCCTTTAGTCAAAAGTCAGTTGTCAAACACAAGGCACAAGTGCACATTTAAGGAATTCATGGCCAATATTTGTCATGTCATTTCATGAATTGTCTGAGAAACATAAAACATACAATGAGGATACTGATCCAAGATACATGGCACACAATTAAATTGCGAAAAACATGACTCTGAGTCCAAAAGTTCTTATTTTTTCACAGTCTTCAGAGTATTGTATAGACCCCTTGAAAAATAAATTTGCAGAGTGTGAATGTTAATTACTGTCACCTTCAGAAAAGAGATTTTACACATGTATAAAAGAGAAATAGTGACTATTCTAGATTATAGAGCACAGAAAGAATTCTCAAACTAGTATAACCCTATTTCTCTATATCACAAAGACATCTTGTAGGCATGTTCCTCTGAAGGACTTGAGAATTATGCTTTTTTTCCTCCTTGTCTCTCTAAAAGCAAAAAGCACAGTAATCTCGCTGAAGTATAATCAAAACAGAGCCTGATGTGAAACCAGAGCCTTGAGTTTTCATCCTGCATTTGTTACTTAAAAGCTGACATAAGAAAAATTATTTAACTTCTCTTAACCTCAGTTTCTTATCTATAAAATGGGATTATAAAATGTATCTCACAAGGTAGTTATGAGGATTAAAGGAAATGAAAAAATGCTTATTTGGTTTTGAATCCTGGTTTGGTCTAGCTATCAATAAAACTCATTAAGATGGAATGTTGAGGTATCCTCAGCATTTTGTTGTTGTTGCCAGTTACTGATGATTAAACTAAAACAAGGAGTAAAACATCTGTGGCATTTCTGCAAAACCGTGAGCCCAACACAAATCATCGAAAGCTCTACTTTCACACAGGTGAGTCAGAGCTCAAGCCAACAAACCAAGGAAAGACCTGTGCTGCTGCAGCTTTCGTGCTTCTCAGAACCAACAGCAGCAGCAGCAGCACCTAACACCTAGCAAGCAGGCACTCTGTGCCAGGTGCCAAGCTGTGCACCTGATATTCATCCTCTCCCCTCATCTTAGCACAACCTCAAGAAACTTGAGCTCCTCCACACAGAACCATGGCCCCCAGTGGAGGCCACACATATGGCCCAGGCAGACCACAGGCAGCCTGCTCTCAAGAAGAAGGCTTGTTCTTCTAAGGCTGAACACAGAAGGATGCTAATTAATGAGCAATCTGTGTCCCTAGCCACCTTGCTTCCTTTTTATTGTATACTCTCTTGATCTATTGCAATCTCAAAAGAGGCCTCACAAACATCCACTTTTCTCCTATGTTGCCTCTTCCACAATTGCCAGGGTGATCTTCTGAACCCAGGCCACCCATGGTGCTGAGAAGGTCTCTGGAACCCTGGGCCTTTGGTCTCTCCATCCTCTGAGTGCCTGTGGCATTTGGCAAACAGCACTGTTGCTATCATGCCTTCTCTATCAGGAGAATGAGAGATTCTGGAAGGTAAGAACTTCCCCTCGTTGATCATTTTATCTAGTGGAGTGCATGGGATGATGGCAGGGGCTCCTTCCACCTATGTTCTATTAGAACAATGATTCTCAACCCTGGTTGTACACCTACGATTACCTAGGAAGTTTTTAAAAATACATATCCAAGCCCATGCCCAATCGTAGTCAATGGAATCAGACTCTCTAGGCATGAGGATGGAGTCCCAGGTAACCCTAACATAAAAACAGGCCTGAGATCCACAGTATTTGTGTGTGTGTCTTACTCCTCTCCATCCCCATTGCTCCTCTGACCCATTTTAGAAGCAAGACTGGCCTGCAGCCAGCCCCTTCCCCTCCTCTTCCTTGTTGGGGCCCTGCTGGCCTACAGCGAGCCTGCCTGCCCTTCTCCTAACCAGGCCTCCAGATAAGTAGTCTGTGCTCTACCTTCATGAGTAAGTCCTGCAATCCTCTGTCCGCTCTGTCTGTGTCAGGGCAGGTGGGCCTGTTTGATTCCAGAGCTCACTCCTAGGAAACCCATTATTATTGTAGCCTAAGCCTCATTCACCAGTATTTGTTTTCAGTAATAAACTTGACATTTATATCTCCATTAGCTTAACATCCCCCTACCTCATCAATTGATTCAGAATTTAGGAAGGGGAGAGATTTATTATCAACCTCAAACTCAACAGCATCTTTTTTTTTTTTTTTTTTTTTGGCCTGGCATGCATAGGCTATAATAGGTGCTCAATAAGTATTTGTTGACTGAATCAATTCCCTATGCACTTCTAGTAATATCCATTCTCTAAATTTTAGTCTCACTTTTTCTCTGTCTCTTTCTTGCACAAGCTACAGATGGTATAAATGCTGCAGTCCTTGGGAAGACTGAAAAAGCAGTCAGACAGATGTGTTGTTCATAGCTCCCTAGTCAGGCATAACTAAACATTTACATTTATTACCAATTAGAGGGGAAACAGACTGTAGTTTTATGTACTGTATGTGGCTGGGTATATTTCTTTTTGGGATCTCACTAAAAATTTCAAAATGTACCATTGGATCTCACTCTTTTACCAGCTCTAACCTCATTGAAAACACCATTTAAATAGAGGTCTACCAATGACAGCACAAATCTATCGTCATTCCCCTACTCAAGCACAAAATACTATGCAGGTAGAAAGACAATGCTGCAGCGAGGCAACTGACCCATTGGAACTGACCTGAACCTACTTCACTAAGACTTTGTGGCCATGCAGAACTGAAGAAGTTGTGGTAGACTATGTTGAGACTATGCCTGTAAAGTTGTTGATGGCACACAGTGTGCAACAGTGCTTGTGAACACAGAGCTTTGCTGTGTTTGCAGCCCTTTTTCCATTTAGGACAAAATAGAGTGAGTGGACATAGTACTTGACAGGAAGGACTGTGGAACATTTGTGTTCCACAGGGTATCAGACCCAATGCTAAAGAATTCACTGTTTTTAGCTGAGTTTCATCTAACCTGGTATCCATCTTACATCTAAAACACTGACACAATCCCATCAAAAAATCGAAGGAAAACACTGGCTAAGGTATAGGTAACCTGAGCTCTGGTTTCAGCTCTTATTAACACAGCTTCTTCACCTGCAAAACCAGATGATTGCTTCCAGGAACTTTGCTGAGGAAATAATGAGATGTAATTACAGATTTATATACTGTGTAAAAATTTCATCCTATGTTTAGTAACAATAGGAGCAATTTCAAAACAACCTAAATGTCAACAATAGAGTAGAGAATGAAAGATACAATATAGAGAAACCAGATGAATCACATAACCATTAAAAACCACTTTGCACCCACTGTAATGGATGTAATGAATGGCTATGATGAAAACACAAGCAAACAAATGGAAATTAACAAGTTCTGGTGAGGATGTGGAGAAATTGGAACCCTCATGCATTGCTGGTGGGGATGTAGAATGACAGAGCAGCTGTGGAAACAATTTGGTGTTTCCTCAAAAAGTTAAAAATAGAATTACCATATGATCCTGCATATTCCACTCTAGGTATATGCCCAATTGAACTGAAAACAGACACTCAAACAAGAACACGTATACATATGTTCAACACTATTCGCAACAGTCAGAAGGAACAGCCTAAATGTCCATTAATAGATGAATGAGTGAATAAATAGTGGTATATACAAACAATGGAATACTTTTTCTGCCATAAAAAAGAATGAGGTACTGATGCATGCTACAAGGTGGATGAATGCAAAAACGTTATTCCAAGTGAAAGAAGTCAGACACAAAAGGTTCACATATTGTATGGTTTCACGTATATAAAATATCCAGAATAGGTAAATCCAGAGACCAGACGCAAATTGGTGGTTTCCAAGTGCTACCAGAAAGAAGAATGAGGAAAAACTGCTTAATGGGTATGGGATTTTACCTTGGAGTGATAGGAACGTTTTGAAATCAGATGGAGATGGTGGTTGCACAACATTGTGGATGTACTAAATGCCACTAAACTGTTCGCTTTCAAATGGTTGATTTTATGTTATGTAAATTTCACCTCACATTATTTTTAAAAATGATGGTTTTTAAAGAATATTTACTGACATAGGAAAATTCACACCACATACCTATTATTAAAACTGGACTTACAATATAATCTCAATTTTGAAAGATTAAAAATGTACATGTGAGTTTGTGCATATATACATACATACAGATATGCGCGCGCGCACACACACACACACCATATATATATATATATACTCATCCTCCTCCCCTCAAAAAATACTATAAAGAAATTCAGAACTCTGATATTTGAATTATAGGTTGTTTCATTTTCTTATTCCTTAAAATGAACATATGTTAATTTTATAATTTGAGGAAAAAAGCAATGTTATTGAATAAGAATTGGGTTATAAGAACATCACTAAAGTTTTCTCCAGCTCTGCAGTTCTAGTAGTCTCAACATGTTGCATTTTCTGGAATACCTATTAGATGTTGGGCAAGAGAGATAAGCCTTTAGAGTGGACACCTAGGAAATGATGATTTAAGGCAGGCAGGCAATATTGGAGCACAGAGACATTTAGAATACAAACATTTGTATAGGCAGTCTGTATGCATAACTTTCTCCCTCATCACATTGGCCATAAGTGATGCCATCAGAAGAACATACATATCCATTATTCAGCTCATGGCTCATTCCCTAATGGCTCCTTTAAGAAGAATGTTTTCAGGGTAACAGTCATGGCTTTCATATTCAATCTTTTCATAATGCATTCATTTCAAAATAAAATACATACTCCTGTCCTACACAGCTACCCAAGCTGAATTCTTACTAGATAAATTAAATTGCTTGGTTTTTTATTTGCTTTCTTTTTCTTAAAAATAACATTCTCCAGCTGATGTATTCCAATGGGTGGCTTTCTAAAATGATCAACTCAGTGTGGCTTGTGGGAAACTAAAATTTCACCATCCTTGATTCTACCTACCTCATCCTCTTCCTATTACTCCATATCAAAGGGACACTGAGGCTGGGTGTGGTGGCTCATGCCTGTAATAGCCCTTTGGAAGGCCAAGGTGGGTGGATTGCTTGAGGTCAGGAGTTCAAGACCAAGCTGGCCAACATGGTGAGACCCTGTCACTACTAAAAATACAAAGATTAACCGGGGTGTGATGATGGGCACCTGTAATCCCAGCTACTTGGGCAGCTGAGGCAGGAGAAACGCTTGAACCTGTGAGGCGGAGGTTGTAGTGAGATGAGATTGTACTACTGTACTCCAGCCTGGGTGACAAGAGCAAAACTCCATCTCAACAACAACAACAACAACAACAAAAGAAAGTGACATTGAAAATATGGAGAATTAAAAAGTAGAGTTTGACTTAGCGTTACAAATTCTGTGTACTTTACTCCATATTCACAGTTTTAATTTTTAATTTTTATGGATACATAATGGTTGTATATATTTATGGTGTATATGTGATATTTTGATACATGCATACAATCAATGAATGAATGGATAATGAATATATATATATAGTATATATACACAGTGAAATATATGACAGTCTTAAAAAAAAAAAGCAAAATCCTGTCATTTACAACAACATGGATGGAACTGGTGGACATTATGTTAAGAGAAAGAAGCCAGGCACAGAAAGACACTGCATGTTCTCACTCATGTGTGGGAGCCAAAAAGATCGATCTCATGTGGATCATGAATAGAATGGTGGTTACCAGAGACAAGGAAGGGTAGTGGGGAGTGGGGGATGAAGATTGGTTGGTTAATGGGTACAAAAATACAGTTAGATACAAGGAATAAGATCTAGTGTTCAATAGCACAGTAGGGTGACTATAGCTAACAATAATTTATTGCATATTTCAAAATAGCTAGCAGAGGAGATTTGGAATGTTTCCAGCACAAAGAAATGATAAATGTTTGAGGTAATGAATGAATATCCCAATTACTTAGAACTAATTGTTACACATTGTATGCCTGTATTACAAATTTTGTTGTTGTTGTTATTTTTACCATTTTATCATATTCAGTGAGTCTCTCAAACCACTAATTACCTTTGTGGATTAAGAATCCCCACTCTTTACCTCACTACTTTTGGGTCAGTAGGCATAAAAGAGAAACAAAATTATTAAAATATTTGTGCTGAAAAGAGACCAGATTACATTCTGATAGTAGAAAATCCCTGTACCTGCTGGGCATGGTAGCTCACACCTATAATCCCAGCACTTCAGGAGCTGACACAGGAGGATCACTTGAGCCAGGAGTTTCAGACTGCCCTAGGCAACATAGCACATAGCAAGACCTCATCTGAAATATATTTATGTACGTATATCTATAAAGACAATGTTTTGTTGAGACGGAGTCTTGCTCTGTTGCCCAGGCTGGAGGGAGTGCAATCATGCGATCTCAGCTCACTGCAACCTCTGCCTCCCAGGTTCAAGTGATTCTCCTGCCTCAGCCTCCCAAGTAGCTGGGATTACACGTGTGCACCACCACATCCAGCTAATTTTTATATTTTTAGTAGAGATGGGGTTTCACCATGTTGGCCAGGCTGGTCTCAAACTCCTGACCTCAGGGGATCCGCCTGCCTCAGCCTCCCAAAGTGCTGGGATTATAGGCATGAGCCACTGTGCCTGGCCCAAAAATTTTTTAAAAAGAAAATCCCTGTACATAAAGGGAACATGGGCTTGGACCTATGGGGAGAAGTGTAAAGTCTCATTTAGTATTTCCAGTGGAGAGAAAATTTATAAAGAAAACAAATTCAGGTGCTTTTTCAGAAAAACTGAGTCAAAACGCAACAGAAGTCAAAAATGCATCTTCTCGTAAAAGAAGATGCAAATGTTGAGTATGTTCACAAAAGCCTGAGAACACAGCCATGGAAGAGGTATTGACTTTTCTCGTACCCACAAAAAGAAGGTTCAAAGAAATTTTGTGGACAGAATTCAGAGACATGTCCATGGTGAGTTTTGAGAAGACAGGAGGTGAGTCATTTTGAGGCTTGAAAAGCTCTGGTTTTATTAAAACAGAAATGAGTTCACTTCCTTGGTCACTAAGGCTGAGAGACAGAGCTCTTGTATTATCTAGAGAAGAATCTGAAATGAGAAATGGAGGTGTTGTCAAAAACCTGCTTTATGCATCACCTTCATGGGTACTAAACTCAGTTGAATAATTAAACTCTTATAGACTTGGATATAGTCAGACCCCAAATAAGCTCCACACAGGGCAACAGTGCCTACTCCCTGAATGTCTGAGTGTCTGTATGTGCTGTCTATAAAATGTGACCACATGCTACTGGGTAAAGGAAAGTGAAGATTTTAGAAGAGACTGCATCCCTATCTAAGTCCTCCCTTGGGTAACTGCTTTTTGTTGAATTGTAAAGCTGTGAGCCCTTAATGGATAACCTGACACACTGATTACTGTTTTTCTGGTTCTTTCTTTGAAAGGACACTAATCCAGCCCCAGGGGAAATGCGCAGCACTGGGATTAAAGAACAAAAGATACTCCCTCTACTACCTTGACCTAGATCTCCAGAGGAAGTCAGCATTTATCAAAAGGATGTTATGGTGTCCCAGCCAGCAGAGCAAAGCACTGGCATGGTTTGCCTGGCTCCCTCTGTGAGCTGTTGGCACTCACACACTGGGCTCACTCCGTGGATTCCTTGCCCCAGGACAATATTTTACAATTGTCTACATTAAATTCTACTTTTCTTTCTCCAGCCTCAGGACATCCAGGAAAAAAAAAATTGGAGTCCCTCTGGATCCAGCACATGAGACCTAATTAGTTGCTCTATCTGAAAGTTTAGTTTATCAAGAGGAAAATTTAATACTTTCCAGTTAATATCCTCCTCCAGCATCATTTTCATGTGCTGATTTGTGAACTGCTGTGCTGTAAGAATGGTATATTGTGTGCTTTAAGCCACATGAACATCATAGGTTTGTGTTATCACTGGCAGCATCACAGATGTACTGCTTCTCCTGTTGCATTACTCAGGGAGTCCTCATTTGATATCTGGAAGCTCATTATTAAGATAAAGAGACAAGAAGCAGTGTCAGGCACAACAGCTTTGAATGGACATCACCTCAATGTTAACAAAAACCTCTCTTGTTTCCGAGGATTTCTCTGTGTTAATGATACCAGGATGATTGCTCTTATGGTGCTGTCTTTAAATTTCAAAGAATTAGTTGAATGTAAAGAACAAGAGGAGTGGGGAGGGGCCAAGATAGCCAATTAGAAACAGCTGTGGTTGGGGGCTTCCACAAAGAAGAATGAACATAGTTAGTGAATCCTGCACTGACAACTGAGGTATCCAGGTTCTCTCACTGGCACTGACTAGGCAGTTGGCGTGACCCATGGAGAGCAAGGAAAAGCAGGGTGGTGTGATGGCCCACCTGGAAGCCACACAGGGTAAGGGGAGTGCCCATCCCCAGCCAAGGGAGGTGGTGAGTGATCATGCTACCCTGCCCAGGAAACCATGCATTTTCCATGGATCTGTTCAACCTGCAGATCAGATCATTCTCATGAGCCCATGCCACCAGGGCCTTGGGTCCTAAGCACAGAGCTGTGCAGATTCTCAGAGGCCACTGGCCTGGAGACTGTCAAAGACTACTGAGTTCCCAGGGGGAGGGGCCACTGTCTTCACTGCAGCTGCCTGTTGACTAAGATGACTGAGCTCCCTGCAGGAGGGGCGGCAGCCATCACTGTAGCTCCAGTCTACCATTTTATCCTATGCCAGTGCTGGGAGACTGGAAGGTTTGGACCCAGGAGGAATTCCTCACAGCGTAGCTCAGCTCAGCAGCTGTGGCAGATCATGGGCAGACTGCCTCTTTAGGCCAGACCCTGACTCATCCCTTCTCACTGGGCAGGGCTTCCCTACAGGAATTTCCGCAGCTCCAGCCAGGGGTTTAGGGACAGAACTTTAATCTTCCTGGGACTGAGCCCCTAAGGGAAGAGATGGCCATAGTGTCCATAGATCAGCAGACTTGGTCTTTCCTCTGCTGGCTCTGAGGAATCCAGGCAGTCTGGATGAGTGGGATTGCCCCCAGTGCAGTGCACCCCCTCTGCCAAGAGGCTTCATTAAGCAGGCCCCGGATCCCACACCTCCTGACTGGGTGAGACCCCTGAACTGGGGTCACCAGGCACTTTATACAGGAGCATTACCACTAGCATCAGGTCGGTGCCCCTCTCAGATGGAGATCCCAGAGGAAGGAGCAGGCAGCAATCTTTGCTGTTCTGTAGCCTCCACTGGTGACACCTCCTGGTATGGGAGGGACCCAGGTGAATAGAGTCTTGAATGGACCCCCAGCAAACCACAGCTGCTCTATGGAAGAGGGGCATGACTGTTAAAAGAAAAACAAACCAACAGAAAGTAACAGCAACAACAGAATCAACAAAAAAGTTCCCACAAAAACCCCATCCAAAGGCCAGTAGCCTCAAAGATCAAACCTAGATAAACTCATGAAGATGAGAAAGAATCAGCAAAAAACCACTGAAAACTCAAAAAGCCAGAGTGCCTCTTCTCCTCCAAATGATTGCAACATCTCTCCAGCAAGACCACAGAACTGGGTGGAGGCTGAGATGAATGAATTGACAGAAGTAGGCTCCAGAAGGTGGGTAATAGTGAAATTTCCTGAGTTAAAGAAGCATGTTCTAACCCAAGACAAAGAAGCTAAGAACCACGATAAAACATTACAGGAGCCATTAACCAGAATAACTAGTTTAGAGAGGAATATAAATGACCTGATAGAACTGAAAAACACAATACAAGAACTTCACAATGCAACCACAAGTATCCATAGCCAAATTGACCAAGCAGAGAAAAAAATTTCAGAGCTTGAAGACTATCTTGCTGAAATAAGACAGGCAGACAAGATTAGAAAAAAAAAAGAATGAAAATGAACGAACAAAAGTTTTGAGAAATATGGGACTATGTAAAAAGACTGAACCTCTGACTGACTAGGGTAACTGAAAGAGAGGGAGAACAGAACCAAGTTGGAAAACATACTTCAGGATATCATCCAGGAGAACTTCCCCAACCTAACAAGACAGGCCAACATTCAAATTGAGGAAATCCAGAGAACCCTGGCAAGATACTCCATAAGAAGATCAACCTCAAGATACGTAATCATCAGATTCTCCAGGGTTGAAATGAAGGAAAATGTTAAGGGAAGCCAGAGAAAAGGCCAGGTCATATGCAAAGGGAAGCCCATCAGACTAACAGCAGATATCTCAGTAGAAACCCTACAAGCCATAAGAGATTGGGTACCAATATTCAATATTCTTAAAAGAATTTCTAACCCAGAATTTCATATCCAGTCAAACTAAGCTTCATAAGCAAAGGATAAATAAAATCTTTTTCAGACAAGCAAATGCTGAGGAAATTTGTCACCACCAGGTCTGTCTTGCAAGAGCTCCTGAAGAAAGCACTAAATATGGAAAGAAAAAACTGTTACCAGTCACTGCAAAAACATACTGAAGTACAAAGACCAATGACATTATGAAGCAACTACATCAACAAGTCTGCAAAATAACCAGTTAGCATCATGATGACAGGAGCAAATGCACACATAACAATATTAACCTTAAATGTAAATGTGCTAAATGCCGCAATTAAAAGACACAGAATGACGAGCTGGATAAAGAGTCAAGACACATCAGCTGTATTCAAGAGACCCATCTCACATGCAAAGATACACATAGGCTCAAAATAAAGGGATAAAGGAAAATTTACCAAGCAAATAGAAAGCAGAAAAAAAGCAGGAATTGCAATCCCAGTTTCTGACAAAAAGACTTTAAACTAACAAAGATCAAAAAAGACAAAGAAGGGCATTACATAATGGTAAAGGGATCAATTCAACAAGAGCTTACTATCCTAAATATATATGTACCCAACACAAGAGCATCAGATTCATAAAACAGGTTCTTAGAGACCTACAAAGAGACTTAGATTCCCACACAATAATAGTGGGAGACTTTAACACTCCACTGTCAATAGTAGACAGATTGGTGAGACACAAAATTAACAAGGATATTCAAGACTTGAATTCAGCTCTGGATCAAGTGGACCTGATAGTTATACACAGAACTCTCCATCCAAAAACAACAGAATACATATCCTTCTTGGTGACATATGTCACTCACTCTAAAATCAATCATGTAATTGGAAGTAAAACACTCCTCAGCAAATGCAAAGTAACAGAAATCATAACAGTCTCTCAGACCACAGTGCAATCAAATTAGAACTCAAGATTAAGAAACTCACTCAAAACAACAAACTTACGTGGAAATTGAACAACTTGCTCCTGAATGAAATTTGGGTAAATAATGAAATTAAGGCAGAAATCAAGGAGTTCTTTGAAATTAATGAGAACAAAGAGACAATGTACCAGAATCACTGAGACACAGCTAAAGCGGTGTTAAGAGGGAAATTTATAGCACTAAATGCCCACATCAAAAAGCTAGAAAGATCTCAAATGAACATCCTAATACCACAACTAAAAGAACCAGAGAACCAAGAGCAAACAAACCCCAAAGCTAGCAGAAGACAAGAAATAACCAAGATTAGAGCAGAACTGAAGGAGATACAGACATGAAAACCCTTCAAAAAATCAATGAATCCAGGAGCTGGTTTTTTGAAAAAAATTAATAAAATAGATAAACCCCTAACTAGACTAATAAAGAAGAGAAAAATCAAATAGACATAATGAAAAATGATAAAGGGGATATCACCTTTATCCCCTTTTGTTGTTGAAATACAAACAACCATCAGAGAATACTATAAACACCCCTATGCAAATAAACTAGAAAATCTAGAAGAAATGGGTACATTCCTGGACACATACACCCTCCCAAGACTGAACCAGGAAGAAGTTGAATCCCTGAATAGACCAACAACAAGTTCTGAAATTGAGGCAACAATTAATAGCCTACCAACAAATAAAAGGCCCAGGACTAGATGGATTTACAGCTGAATTCTACCAGAGGTACAAAGAGGAGCGGGTACCATTTCTTCTGAAACTATTCCAAACAATTGAAAAGGAGGGACTCCTCCCTAACTCATTTTATGAAGCCAGCATCATCCTGATACCAAAACCTGGCAGAGATACAACAAAAAAAAGAAAACTTCAGGCCAATATCCCTGATGAACATCAATGCAAAAATCCTCAATAAAATACTGAAAATTGAATGCAGCATCACATCAAAAAGCTTATCCATCATGATCAAGTCAGCTTCATCCCCAGGATGCAAGGCTGGTTCAACATACACAAATCAATAAATGTAATTCATCATATAAACAGAACTAAAGACAAAAACCACATGATTACCTCAATACACACAGAAAAGACCTTCACTAAAATTCAACATCCCTTCATGTTAAAAATTCTCAATAAACTAGGCATTAATGAAACATACTTCAAAATAATAAGAGCCAATTATGACAAACCCATAGCCAATATCATACTGAGTGGGCAAATCTACAGGCATTCTCCTTGAAAATTGGCACAAGACAAAGATGCCCTCTCTCACCACTCAGCATAGCATTGGAAGTTCTGGCCAGGGCAATAAGGCAAGAGAAAGAAATAAAGCATATTCAAATAGGAAGAGAGGAAGTCAAACTGTCTCTGCAGATGACAACATCCTATATCTAGAAAACCCCATCATCTCAGCATAAAAGCTTCTTAAGCTGATAAGCAACTTCAGCAAAGTCTCAGTAACAAAATCAGTGGGCAAAAATCACAACCATTTCTATACACCAACAACAGACAATCAGAGAGCCAAATCATGAATGAACTCCCATTCACAATTGCTACAAAGAGAATAAAATAACTAGGAATACAGCTAACAAGTGAAGTGAAGGACCTCTTCAAAGAGAACTACAAACCACTGCTCAAGGAAATAAGAGGACACAAACAAATGGGAAAACATTCCATGCTCATGGGTAAGAAGAATCAATATTGTGAAAATGGCCATACTACCCAAAGTAATTTATAGATCCAATACCATTCCCATTAATCTACCATTGACATTCTTCACAGAATTAGAAAAAACTACTTTAAAATTCACATGAAACCAAAAAAGAGCTCATATAGCCAAGACAATCCTAAGCAAAAAGAACAAAACTGGAGCCATCATGCTACCTGACTTCAAACTATACTAAGAGGCTACAGTAACCAAAACAGTATGGTACTGGTACAAAAACAGACACATAGACCAATGGAACAGAATAGAGATCTCAGAAATAAGACTGCACATCTATAACCATCTGATCGTTGACAAATCTGACAGAAATAAGCAATGGGGAAAGGATTCCCTATTTAACAAATGGTGCTGGGAAAACTGGCTAGCCATATGCAGAAAACAGAAACTGGACCCCTTCCTTACACCTTACACAAAAATTAACTCAAGATGGTTTACAGACTTAAATGTAAAACCCAAAACTATAAAACCTCTAGAAGAAAATCTAGACAATACCATTCAGGACATAGGCACAGGCAAAGATTTCATGATGAAATGATCAAAAGCAATTGCAACAAAAGCAAAAATTGACAAATAGGATCTAATTAAACTAAAGAGCTTCTACACAGCAAAAGAAACTATTAACAGAGTGAACAGACATCCTACAGAATGGGAAAAATTTTTTCAATCTATCCATCTGACAAAGGTCTAACATCCAGGATCGACAAGAAACTTAAACAAATTTACAATTAAAAAAACCCATTAAAAAGTGGGCAAAGAACATGAACAGACACTCCTCAAAAGACATTTATGCGGCCAACAAACATATGAAAAAAAAAACTCAACATCAATGATCATTAGAGAAATGCAAATCAAAACCACAATGAGATACCATCTCATGCCAGTCAGAATGGCTATTATTAAAAAGTCAAGAAACAACACATGCTGGTGAGGCTGTGGAGAAACAGGATCACTCTTTCACTGTTGGTGGGAATGTAAATTAGTTCAACCGTGTGGAAGACAGTGTGGGGATTCCTCAAGGATCTAGAACCAGAAATACCATTTGACCCAGCAATCCCATTACTGGATATATACCCAGAGGAATATAAATCATTCTATTATAAAGATACATGCATGCATATGTTCATTGCAGCACTGTTGACAATAGCAAAGACATGGAATCAACCCAAATTCCCATTAATGATAGACTGGAAAAAGAAAATGTGGTACATTTACACCATAGAATACTATTCAGCCACAAAAAGGAATGAGATAATGTCCTTTGCAGGGACATGGATGGAACTGGAAGTCATTATCCTCAGCAAACTAACACAGGAACAGAAAACCATTTACACTCCATGTTCTCACTTATAAGTGGGATCTGAACAATGAGAACACATGGACACAGTGAGGGAATAACACACCAGGACATGTCAGGGGAGGGGCGTAGGGGGAGGAAAAGTATCAGGATAAATAGCTAATGCGTGTGGGGCTTAATACCTAGGTGATGGGTTAATAGGTGCAGTAAACCACCACAGCACACGTTTATTTATGTAACAAACCTGTATGTCCTGCACATGTATCCCGGAACTTAAAATAAAATTTAAAAAAATAAAAAGAATAACATAAAATGGATAAATGTAAAAAAAAAAAAAAAAGAACAAGAGGAATATAAGAGATTTGCCTCGCCCAAAGTGTCTTGATTTTAGAAAATGAATCCAGTTGCCCCTCATGCAGGAACATGATGCTCTCACCCACAGTCTATACAGCATGTGTGTTGCTTTGTTTTTCTAGCAGTCAAGATGGGTTTATGTGGAACCAAACAAAGACTCTCTCTTGATCTCCCTTGTGACCAATGGTCTAAAATAGCTGGTTGGAATTAGCATCAGAGTATGTTATGACTGGATAAAACAGAAGCTGTCATGCTCAGCATTACAGAGAAGTAAGATCAACACCATGGGGACATCAAGGTTTGTGCCAGAGAATCAGAAAGACATTGAGTTCAGTCAATGATCCAAAAGCCAGAGTCAGATAGAAGGATGGGGGAGGGACACTGGGAGAGGATAAGACAAGCCAAATCAGCTTCCAGAGGTAAAAAGGAGCAAGGAGTGGGAGAATATAGGGGGAAAAACACCTGGGACTCTGGGACACAGGACCTAGGCAAATCCAGATTTTTCCACCCAGTGACATCTGCATGGCCCAGCACAATTTTTGATGGGTTTGGAACCATTTAGCTGATGTATTTGTCAGGGTTGTCTAGAGGGACAGAACTAATGGAAAATACACACACACACACACACACACACACACACGTATATGTACACATATATATGTATATTTACATATATGTGTACATATATGTATGTATGTATGTAAAGGGGAGTTTATTAAGTATTAACTCACACAATCACAAGGTCCCACAGGAGGCCATCTGCAGGCTGAGGAGGAATGAGACCCAGTCTGAGTTCCAAAACTGAAGAACTTGGAGTCTGATGTTTGAGGCTGGGAAGCATCCAGCATGGGAGAAAGATGTAGGCCAGGAGGCTAGGCCAGTCTCTCTTTTCACATTTTTCTGCCTGCTTGTATTCTAGCCACGCTGACAGCTGATTAGATAGTGCCCACCCAGATTGAGGGTGGGTCTCCCTTTCCCAGCACACTGACTCAAATGTTAATCTCCTTTGGCAACACCCTCACAGACATACCCAAGGATCAATACTTTGTATCCTTCAATCCAATCAAGTTGACACTCAGTATTAACCATCATGGCTATCAATAGTTCTTTTCTATCAGAGGTGATGGTAAATGCCAGATTGCTTAAGGGATTCATAATAAACACTCAGCTCTCTACTGGCATTGTTGGGTCATGAACACCAGATTCCTGATTCTCACTCCAGTGTTCTTCCATAGGACCGATGGGGGCCTGAGAGCAGAGACTCCAGGAAAAGGTAACATCTAATCTCTTGATATCTGTGGGAATTGAAGAGCCCAGCTCAGGAGGATCTATCCTTCTTTTCCCTTTCTCAGAGGCAGAGTGAAAATAAAGGCTGATTATGGGGGCAGAAATCTCCAGAAATGCTCTAAAAAGCCAAGATAGAAATGGCTGCACATGACTGTGGATGCCTTTGTCTTCACCATAAAGCAGGAATACTTATGGCTAGAGAAGCCCACTCTGTGCTCAGAAGCCAGAGGGTTCTAGACTCTTCCATCAGACCCTCTCTTCTTAGCTTCTACCAGCATTTTCCTTTTTTCCCTTTTCTCTCTTCCTTCTACCCACCCCTCTATACACACCCTTGGTCTTTCTTGATATTGGTTCTTAGCCCCATTTCTCCAGAGCTCTAACTTTATCTTTAGGTTTAGCTTTATCATAATCTTACATCTTTTAACTTCCATGTTTCAACCTCTTACCTTGATAGCACTGAGCTTCTCTTTGCTTTCTAACAAGTTGTTTTACTCTGCCTTTTTCTTTTTCTGCTTTGTTTTTAAACTCTTAATGATGTGAAATATTGAGCCCAAATTTAATCTTTTTCCTTGTGTAACTATTTTAACTCAATTTAAAGATTTCTGGCCTTTTATTTTCTAGTCTATCTGTTTAGAAATTCCTTTTGTTCTCTTTTTTCTTTTAATTTCCATCTCACCATTTGCCATGTTCTGTGACGATGAAACAAAATATCAGCCTGGGGGCAGGTATGATGTTGAGAACCCACATTAACAAAAGAAAAATGAGGGGCTTTCTTAACCCAGATGCCACTCTATATGTGTTTTACATTTCTCTCAATAGATTTTCTAGCTTAGTTGAGGATGACTTTGCAAAGAATCTCACCCTAGGAGACTTGGGAGATTTTGGGTAGAATCTGCTAAGAGCCATGATGTGGTTTGGCTCTGTAGCCCCCCCTAAATCTCATCCTGAGTTGTTACTCCCATAATGCCTACCTGTTGTGGGAGGGACCTGGTGGGAGATAATTGAATCATGGGGGCAGTTTCCTCCATAATGTTCTTGTGGTAGTGATTAAGTCTCATGAGATCTGATGGTTTTATCAGGGGTTTCCACCTTTGCATCTTCCTCATTTCTCTCTTTGCCTGCTGCCATCCATATAAGATGTGACTTGCTCCTCCTTGTCTTCCACCATAATTGTGAGGCTTCCCCAGCTACATGGAACTGTAAGTCCAATTAAACCTCTCTCTTTTGTAAATTGCCCCATCTTAATTATGTCTTCTCTGCAGCATGAAAATGGTCTGATACAGTAAATCGGTACCAGTAGAGTGTGGTGCTGCTGAAAAATACCTGAAAACATGAAAGCGACTTTGGAACTTGGTAACAGGCCAAGATTGGAATAGTTTGGAGGGCTCAGAAGAAGACAGGAAAATGTGGGAAAGTTTAGAACTTCCTAGAGTCTTGTTGAATGGCATTGCCCAAAATGCTGGTAGTGATATGGACAATAAGGTCCAGGCTTAGGTGGTCTCAGATGGAGATGAGAAACTTGTTGGGAACTGGAGGCAAAGGTGACTCTTGTTATGTTTTAACAAAGAGACTGGCAGCATTTTGCCTCTGCCCTGGAGATTTGTGGAACTTTGAACTTTAGAGAGATGATTTAGGGTATCTGGTGGAAGAAATTTCTAAGCAGTAAAACATGCAAGAGGTGACTTGGGTGCTATTAAAAGCATTTAGTTTTAAAAGGGAAACAGAGCATAAAAGTTTGAAAAATTTGCAGCCTGACAATGCCATAGAAAAGAAAATCCCATTTCCTGAGGAGAAGTTCAAGCAGGCTGCAGAAATTTGCATAAGTAACAAGGAGCCAAATGTTAATCCCCAGCACAATGGGTAAAATGTCTCCAGGGCATGTCAGAGGTCTTCATGGCAGCTCCTCCCATCACAGGCCCAGAGGCCTAGAAGGAAAAAGTGGTTTTGTGGGCCAGGCCCAGGGCCCCCATGCTGTGTGCAGCCTGCATATCAGGGACTTTGTGCCCTGAATCCCAACCACTCCAGCCATGGCTGAAAGGTGCCAACATAGAACTTAGGCCATGGCTTCAGATGGTGCAATCCACAAGCCTTGGCAGCTTCCATGTCGTGTTGAGCCTGCAGGTGCACAGAAGTCAAGAATTGAGATTTGGAAACCTCTGTCTAGATTTCAGAGGATGTATGGAAACTCCTGGATTCCCAGGCAGAAGTTTGCTGCAGGGGTGGATCTCTCATGGATAACCTCTGCTAGGGGAGTCTGGAAAGGAAATATGGGGTCAGAGCACCCCACATGGAGCTGTGAGAAGAGGGCCTCCACACCGCAGAATGGTAGATCTACCAACAGCTTGTGCCATGTTCCTGGAAAAGCTGCAAACACTCAACACCAGCCTGTGAAAGCAGCCAGGAGGGAGGCTGTACCCTGCAAAGCCACAGGGGCAGAGCTACCCAAGACCAAGGAGACTCACCTCTTGTATCAACATGACCTGGATGTGAGACATGGAGTCAAGGGAGATCATTTTGGAGCTTTAAGATTTGACTTTGGCACTGGATTTCAGATTTGGATAGGGCCTGTGGCACCTTTGTTTTCATCAATTTCTCCCATTTGGAATGGCAGTATTTATCCAATGCCTGTACCTCCATTGTATATAGGAAGTAACTAGCTTCCTTTTGATTTCACAGGCTCATAGGTGGAAGGGACTTGCCTTGTCTCAGATGAGACTTTGGACTGTGGACTTTTGAGTTAATGCTGAAATGAGTTAGGACTTTGGGGGACTGTTGGGAAGGCATGATTGATTTTGAAATGTGAGGATATGAGATTTGGCAGGGGCCGGGGGGAGTGATGTGGTTTGGCTCTCTGTCCCCACCCAAATCTCATCTTGAATTGTATTCCCATTAACTCCCACGTGTGTGGGAAGGACCTGGTGGGAGATAATTGAAACATGGGGGTGTTTTTCTCCATACTATTCTTGTGGTAGTGAATGTCTCATGAGATCTGATGGTTTTATCAGGGGTTTCCACCTTTGCATCTTCCTTATTTCTCTGTTTGCCTGCTGCCATCCATGTAAGATGGGACTTGCTCCTTCTTGCCTTCTGCTATGATTGTGAGGCTTCTCCAGCCACGTGGAACTGTAAGTCCAATTAAACCTCTTTCTTTTGTACATTGCCCAGTCTCAGGTGTGTCTTTATTAGCAGTGTGAAAACGGACTAATACAAGCCAAAATCCTGCTGTTTAGACAGCATGGTGCACTTGCTGAGTGTTAGTCATTTACAGCTCATGCTACCTGGGAACTTTTGGAAAAGTCATGTTTTAAGATCAATTGTCTCCAAAGTTTACACCATTGGCTTATAAGCAACCCACTGGAGTGGTTAGCACTGGGTAGCTTGGGAATGGAAGAGAGATGCCTCCCAGGCATTTCCTCTGGTCTGATGGTGGTAAGGGTTGAGTGGACAGAACAGGGGCAGCATTCTGACACCACATCTACATCTCTTTTCTCCTCAGTGAGCAGTA
The DNA here is from genome assembly GCF_000001405.40 of Homo sapiens. NCBI lineage: Eukaryota > Metazoa > Chordata > Mammalia > Primates > Hominidae > Homo > Homo sapiens. Next base: position 177,374,052 of record NC_000001.11, on the reverse strand, counting down.
TCTCTGCCCTTCCTGGAGAAGATCATATGAGCAGCTTATCTGCATATGATCCCCACCACTCCACCTTCTTTCCCTTGTCATGAGAATAAGGAGAAACTGTCTATAGCAGAGGTGACTATGAACAGGCTTTCTGGACAGGAGCAGATGTACCCGTTAGGGGCTTCTTTCAAACTGTTAGGCCTTGCAGCTGGCAGTAGAGGCCTACCAGAAGGGCAAAATCTGTGGTTACCCCCACCTTCTGATATGTCTAAATTTCCTGGCCCTCACCATCTCCTGAGCTCACAAAATCTACAATGTATAAAACTGTAGTTGGAGGTAAGAGGATTAATTCATAACTAGACTACTGGAAGAACAGGATGGGGGAATACCACCTTATGTGCACATTAGCACTGCCTTCTTGTCACCTAAGCAAGTGGACTAGTGAGATATCCCACCTGAGGGCTAGTGTTTTTCTTCAGAGTTTGACAACTGCACCGCACTGAAATGGGACTCTCTTGAGCAACAGCCACTCAGTTTTGAGTGTCTGTTATATGCAGATCTTAGCATCAGGTGCCAAGGAAGCCACATGGTATGTGAATTTTAGTCTTTGCCTTTGGGGACCTTACAATGTAGTTGGTGATAGGAGAAATATGTATAAGACAGTAATGTAGCTTACAAGGTCCTTACATCTCTAGGAGTTTCTCCTCCTTCCTCCTTTCTCTCGCTAAACACCTCAGGTCAAATTTTGAGGTTACTTTCTCAAGGAAATCCCTCCTTCCTGGTTGAGCTAACGCTCTTACCAACTTTCACCAAAGCCTTTTCTGACCTTTACCTTTGCACTTCATGATTTCCTGTTATAATATTTCTCTCATTGGACAGTAAGATAGTTAAGAGCAGAGACTGACTAGTACACTGTTAGTGTTACCACCATTCAGTAAAGTATAGAGACATGCTCACCAAACATATCTTAAATAGATGAATCAATTAATTAACAATAAGAGGTGCATATGTTACATGCAAAAAGCATAAAAGAGACAGCAATTTCCAAAGAAATTTAGAAGGGATTGGGAAAAATGGGTATTAAGGTACTATAATAGAGTTGTGGAACTGGTGAAGTGGGAATGGTCTGGCAAGTCTTTGTGACCCTATGCACCTGGTACATACACATTCATGTCTCATCTAGTTATTATCATGTTAAGGTTTAGGCGTGTGGTCCTTTGGTCAAAAGGAAGTTGATATGCGTTCATGAACATTCCTCTGGAAGAGACGGCATTGCGATTCTAACTGAGCTAAATACCTCCAGCCCCCACTCCCCTCTCTCTGGGTGTGTGCGTGTGTGTGTGTGTGTGTGTGTGTGTATGTGTGTGTGTGTGTGTGTGTGACAGTGGCAACTGGGCCAGATGACCAATTTCAGCTCCATCATTACCACTTCCTAAAAGCCACTGCATATGAGCAGTCTGTGGAGTGAAAGGACCTAACTGCCATGACCATCCAGCTTATGTTCTGGTGTGGGAGCCTGAGCACACATAAAGAAATATGTGCAGAAATATCCCTGAGCATAAGTGCCACACTCTGAGAAACATTCACAAACAAGCACACTGTAAAAGGAACACAGATATGAAAACAGCCAGTGAGTAGCTGTCTCTACTGTATAATAGATCACATGAAAGGGAGGGAGAGACATGCCTGGAAGTATAAGGATCTCTTCGCAGGCCATGGTACTATTTTATGCATATTTCTTTTATCACCAACCACATTGTAAGGTCCCAGAAGGCAGGAGCTAAAACTTACACACGACGCAGCTTCCTAGACACCGATTACTAAGACCTGTCTATAATAGCCACTCAATACCTGTTCCCTGCTGTAGAAGAGAACCCCATTTCTAAATAGACCACAGGCTGAGGGGACCCTGGACACAGTTCTAAGTGGGAGAAGAACCTGATTTTTGGAGAAGACTGGGGAGAGTAGTTCTATGGGGATCGTGGCAAGTACATTGTGTAAACTATAAAAACGTGGTGATATTGTGTGCAGGGTATGTGGTTAGAAGGGTTGTAGGTAAAGGGATTCCTTCTACCAAGCCAAAAAAGGTGAATGGGGGTGGTTAATAAGAGGACAGCTGCCAGTGGACAGGAAGGAGAAGATAAAGAAATATCACAAATGACCACCCACTATTGGAAGTGCTGCCTGTATCATAGAATATATTCTATATAGTTTGTGGATGTAAGGTTTGGCTGGGAAGTTGTGAGCTTGTATGTAACAACTGAGAGTCAAGATTGGAAGAGTGGTTGCTTAGCAGGCTTCAATATAGTTTCTCTAATTTAATAAAATTGTGTTGTGGATCTACTATGGGCTTGGTACTATGCCAAGAGCTAGTAGATACAATGGTAATGCTGACATAGTTTTGCCTGCCACCTAACCTGAGGCTCTGCAAGAGTGGGAGGGGATGCATTAAGAGGCTCAAACTTCATGAAGAAGGTTTTAGGAGAAGCAACTTAAAAAAAAAAAGTTTATTTTAGTTTCAAGGGTACGTGTGAATGTTTGTTACATAGGTAAACTTGTGTCATGGAGGTTTATTGTACAGTTTATTTCATCACCAAAGTATTAAGCCCAGTGTCCAATAGTTAGCTTTTCTGCTCCTCTCCTTCCTTCCACCCTTCACCCTCAAGTAGACCCCAGTGTCTATTGTTCCCTTGTATTGATGAGTTCTTATTATTTAGCTCCCACTTATAAGTGAGAACATGCAGTATTTGGTTTTCTGTTCCTGCATTAGTTTACTAAGGATAATAGCCTCCAGCTCCATCCATGTTCCCATGTAAGACATGATCTCATTCTTTTTTATGGCTGCATACTATTCAACATATATATATTCCACATTTCTTTATCCAGTCTGTCATTGATAGGCATTTGGGTTGATTCCGTGTTTTTGCTGTTGTGAATGCAATGAACATTTGTGTGCATGTGTCTTTAAGGTAGAATGATTTATATTCCTCTGGGTATATACACAGTAATAGAACTGCTGGGGTGAATGGTAGTTCTGCTTTTAGCTTTATGAGGAATTGCCATACTGCTTTCTACAATGGTTGAACTAATTTACACTCCTACCAACAGTGTATAAGTGTTCCCTTTTCTTCACAACCTTGTCAGCATCTATTTTTTTACTTTTTAATAATAGGCATTCTGACTGGTATGAGATGATATCTCATTGTGGTTTTGATTTACACTTTTGTAGTGACCAGTGCTATTGAGCTTTTGTTAATATGCTTGCTGGCCACATGTATGTCTTCTTTGGAAAGTGTCTGTTCATGTTCTTTGGCCACTTTGTAATGGGGTTGTTTTTCTCTTGTAAATTTGTTTAAGTTCCTTATAGATGCTGGATATCAAACCTTTGTCAGGTGCATAGTTTGCACATATTTTCTCCCACTCTGTAGGTTGTCCGTTTATTGACAGTTTCTTTTTGGTGTGCAGAGGTCTTAAGTTTAGTTAGAATCCACTTGTCAATTTTTGCTTTTGTTGCGATTGCTTTTGGTGTCTTTGCCATGAAATATTTGCCTGTTCCTATGTCCAGAATGGCATTGCCTAGGTTGTCTTCCAGGGTTTTTATAGTTTGGGGATTTACATTTAAGTCTTTAATCCACCTTATTTTTGTATATGGTGTAAGGAAGGGGCCCAGCTTCAATCTTCTCCATGTGGCTAGCCAGTTATCCCACCACCATTTATTGAATGCGGAGTCTTTCCCCCATTGCTTGTTTTTTGTCAGCTTTGTGGAAGATCAGATGGTCATAGGCATGCAGCCTTTTTCTCTTTATAAATAAAGAAAAAGAAAGAAGATTCAAACAAACACAATTAGAAATGACAAGGGGGATATTACCTCTGACCCCACAGAAATACAAACAAGCATCATAGAATATTATGAACACCTCTATGCACATAAACTAGAAAATCTAGAAGAAATGGGTAAATTCCTGGATACATATACCCTCCAAAGACTGAACCAGAAAGAAATTGATTCCCCGAAGAAACCAATAACAAGCTCTGAATTTGAATCAGTAATAAATAGACAACCAACCAAAAAAAGCCTAGGACCCAGTGGATTCACAGCCAAATTCTACCAGATGTACAAAGAAGAGATGGTACCATTCCTACTGAACTAGTCCAAAAAAAAGTGAAGAGAAAGGGCTCCTCCCCAGCTCATTCTATGAGGCTGGCATTATCCTGATACCAAAACCTGGCAGGGCAGAGATACAACAAAAAAAGAGAAAAGTTCAGGCCAATATCCTTGATGAATATCAATGCAAAAATTCTCAAGAAGCCCTACTTGCAAACTGAATCCAGCAGCACATCAGAAAGCTAATTCACCATGATCAAGTAGGCTTCATCTCCAGGATGGGAGTGTGTTCAACAAATCAATAAATGTGATTCATCACATAAACAGAACTAAAGACAAAAACCACATGATTATTTAATAGATGCAGAAAAGGCTTTTGATAAAATTCAACACTCCTTCATGTTAAAAACCCTCAATAAACTAGGTATTGAGAAACATACCTTAAAATAATAACCATGTATGACAAACCCACGGCCAATATCATGCCAAATGGGCAAAAGCTGGAAGGATTCCTCTTGAAAACCAGCACAAGATAAGGATGCCCTCTCTAACCACTTCTATTCAACATAGTATTGGAAGTCCTAGCCAGAGAAATCAGGTGAGAGTAAGGAATAAAGGTCATTTAAATTGGAAGAGATAAAGTCAAACTACCTCTGTTTGCAGACAACATGATTTTATATCTATAAAATCCCATAGTCTTGGCCCAAAAGCTCCTTGAGCTGATAAAAACTTCAGCAAAGTTTCAGGATACTTAATCAATGTATAAAAATCACTAGCATTCCTTAAACCAACAATAGCCAAACCGAGAGCCAAATCAGGAAGGCAATCCCATTCACAATTGCCACAAAAAGAATAAAATACCTAGGAATACAGCTAACCAGGGAGGTGAAACATCTCTAAAATGAGAATTACAAAACACTGCTCAAAGAAATCAGAAAAGACACAAATGGAAAACATCCCATGCTCATGGATAGAAAGAATCCATATTATTAAAATGGCCATACTGCCCAAAGCAAATTACAGATTCAGTGATATTCTTATCAAACTGTTAATGACATTCTTCACAGAACTAGAAAAAAATCTATTTTAAAATTCATATGGAACAAAAGATGAGCCCTAACAGCCAAGGCAATCTTAAGCAAAAGAATGAAGCTGGATGCATCATGTTGCCCGACTTCAAGCTATACTACAGGGCTATCGTAACCAAAACAGCTTGGTATTTGTACAAAAACAGACACATAGATCAATGGAACAGAAAAGAGATTACAGAAATAAGGTCACACACATATGACCACCTCATCTTTGACAGAAGCTTCTTGTGTTATCTGAAAAGGGCAGTCACCTGCTTGTATGATGTATGAGGAAGACAACTTAACTATGGAGTCCAGATTGGATTAGAGAAGGAAGTAGTTGAGCTGGGAACTGGCCACATGCTGCCACAGTCCTCAGGAAGACTGTAGCATCTGGCTTTGGGTAAGAAGAGAGACAGGAAATGACTAAAGAGATGATTTCAATTCTGCTTTGATGGGGTGACACTGAGTAATGAGAACAGAGAGGGGAGAAAGGCAACCAAGCAGTTCTCATCCTCACAAGACTAGTCTCCAAATGGGGCCTCCAGCAGCTATTCAGTAGAAGTAGCACTAGCCAGGCATCTGATACATGGCTCCACTCCTGGCTGTTGGAACTTAAGAAAAATAAGTTTGCTACAACCCTAGCTTATTTATCTTAAGAAGAGGCTGTTCCAGCCTTAAATGGTCTATGATTTAAAATAGTACTTTGGTGAGAACTGTATGTGTTGGGTAACATAAATTAATGATATATTAATTATACTGTTGATGGCAATGAGGACTGAGATTTGTACACTGCTTTACACTTTGCAGAGTATTTTTGCATGTATTGTTTAATTTGATCTTCACCCAAACCACTGAGATAAATATAAGCATTTCATCCATATTTTATAAATGAGGAAACAGAGACTTCGAGCCTTATCCTAAGGCTACAGGGAAGTAAGCGGCAGAGCCAAGACTCAAACCCTCCAAAATCTTGACCTTCTCTAATATGTGGGGACTTAAAGGTCTCCCTTATTTATCATCAGCTGTGAATTCTTGCTGCATGGAGGACTGCATTAGATGTTATCATTATGCTATTATGATTGTCTCAGGTCACTTCTTTATTCTTTGATGCACTTGTTAATCACACATTTGCTGATCAACTACTATGTGCTAGGCACTGGGAATACAGCAATGAATAGAGCATGGTTCCTACTCAGAAGGACCCAATCTAGTGAAGGAAGCTACAATGGGAAAGTAAATAAATATTTACAACACAGCATGCTAAGCATCCTATCTCTGAAGCACGAATGAAGAAATGCTGTGAAATGGTATATGTCTAGCACTATTTTAGAGCTTTGTATACTCTATTTTAGAGTATATGGTATTTATGGTCTTTGTCTAGCTCTATTTTATTTGGGGATAGCACCATCTCATTACATTCACAGATAAAACCTTTGACAAATGGTTTAAGATCCCTCTCCTTGGTCAAGGCTCCTCTGACTTCAGGTCACCATACCCTGTTGTTCTTAGAACCCTAACACACTCTCTCCTGTCACCATCTATGGTGTATTAATTTTGTTCATTCATTGTTTACTATATGTTTTCAGTACTTCTTTAGAGAGCATTATGGTAGATACACAGTAGTTTTATCAGGTGAGTACCATAGGTAATATTTATTATTCTTTCATAGCACTAGATCTGAACATGGTAGTCAATCAATAAACATTCGTTTGATTGATTGAGGTCCCCAGATTAAGAATCCACATGGTTGAGAGGTATCAAAATAAATCTCCTAAAAGTACTTCCATTAAACCAAGAAGGTGAATTCAAGAGCAGCTACAATGCTTCCCTAGAGTGTTTCAATTTGATAAGTGTAATCCACAAGCCCACCCTTGATCCCCCTCCATCCATAGTGTCAGGGGCTGCAACAAGCACATTCAGATTATGCAAGCTCCCTGTTGTTGAGGAGAAAGGAAGACTTTGACTCTTTAATGTCATTTTGTGAAAAAGATCTTGATCCAGCAGGGAAGATGTTAAGAACAAATAAAAAGAATTTATTGTTGGTATTTTTACCTGCATCCTGTTTCTGGCTGTTCTGCTGTCTTCTGAAGGGCCTTGGCACATATACTGCTTCTAAGTGCCAGTTTTCCCATCTGTAAAATAATCCCTGTCCTTGATCCTCAACTCACAGGGGTGTTTGGAAGCCTAGGCAGGTGATGTCTGTGCTGTGAGTGCAGGTTTCTGGACAAAAGGCATTGTATAAATACAGGATCTCATTTCTATTTATAGTGTACACAGCAGTTCAGAGGTGTTTAATGCCCTGTCCCCTTTCCTTGTATCTGTTCACCCCAAAGTCTCACCTCTGCCTATACCCAGAAGTAGAACCGTTCTGGTCTATCTGTAGTCAGATTAATTGAACAGGACTCTTTGAAATCCCAAGTAGTTTACGCAGCCTGTCTGTCTTTCAGGGCTCTTGCAAGCTCTTCTCTTTATTGAGAAAGGGAAAAAAGACATCAGTTGGGATGGCAGCTCCTTGATTCCTTTATCAGGTCAGCTTTTTCCTGAAGGGTCTCCTTGCCCCTCAAGGCATCTCCTCATCTGAAACTCACTTCACACTGTGATGGCTGGATGCAGGGATGCTCTTGTTCTGTTGCCTTGGTAACAACTTCTGTTTGTTGATAACGAAGTTTACTGTGTATTTGTCATTGTTTTCCCTCTGCCTCATGGTAAAAGAGGGGTGAATAAACTCTGTGGATTAGGCAAAATGAAGGGAGCCATCTGGTGAGTGAAGGAAGAGGAAAGAGGAAGAACAGAAAACCTCTAGAAAGGCCCCTGTTGGGTCTTTGGGGGCTACGGAGTAGTTATGCATTTCACAAAAGCTATTAAAACCAGGAATTACTTTATCTGGAAGAACTTAAAGGCAGGTAAATAAAGACCTTGACATGACAGACCAATTCCTACGAGAATCATAAGAACAGGGGACTCCAGAGAAAGTGCTGAAAATCTCTTCAGGGTAGACTGGATAACCACATTTCATATGTTTTCCTCATCCTCAATGAACTTAGGTGTTATGGATCCACTGACATTTACTAATGGCCTACTCAGAGCAAGGCTCTATGATTAACAGTACAATTTGGCAAAAACCTTCCTTAGTGTCCACATATCACATGCATCCTTAAAGCACAAGTATATTCAAATGGTTTTACTTAACATTAGCTTAGTATATATCCTTATTTTTATTTTTCTTAATTTGGAAGACTTGGCATAGTTGCGTCAAAAAAGACAACTTCTAGACTTGTGATTTGGAGAAAGAAGAACATTCTGATCCATTTCAACTGCTAAGCTTTGAAACCTGCATATGTAAGTTACTGTTAATTCTTTGTGTTGTCACCAAGTACAACTCTTACATTACAACAAGAGCAAGGTGGGTTGAGTGGGGATAATTTAGTTTGAATGTCAACTACAGGTATAAAAAATGTACATTTACAGCTTTTTCATCCTTTTATTTATGCATTTATCACATAATTATTGGATTCTGAGTATTTGTCTAGTGTACGAGGCACTAGGGGAATAGTAGTGAAGAAAACAATAGAACATCTCTGCCTTTATAGATGCTGTAATCTCTTCCAGTCCTATAATCAATGTTGATGCTCACATATGTGCTTCTGGTGTTAGCAGAAATTTGTTGTAGGATATAGAGTTGCCACCCCCAAAGTTTACCATAAAATTACACAACTTCAGAGGAGAGTCTTCAGATACCATTATCTCCAACCTCGCATTTAAAGCAAAAATTTGTTTCAAGCATCCCTTGAGGTGCTTACCACCTTCCACCTATTCCTTCATCTCTCACTTCTTATCTAGCAGTGACTCTACTTAAAGAATATTCTCCAAATCTATCTGCCCACATCTGTTATCTGTCTCAGTCTAATAGTCTCCTAGCTGGTCTCTCTGCTTCCATTCTTCTCCTCCTTCAAAATCCATTCTCTACACAGCTGACAGAGTGATCTTTTAAAAATGCAAATCAGATAATGTCTTCTCTTCTTAAAACCCTCTGAAGGTTCTCGGCTGCACTTAGATTAAAATTTTAACTTTCCAGCCTCCCCATAAGCCCGTGACCTGCTTAGGTCTTCACCCACCTCTCTGACCTCGCTTGCCTGCCATCCCGGCTCAGCACTCATTACTACCTGGGGCATAATTGCATGACTGATTATTTCTGTGACTGCCCCCAACCACCACACACACACAAACACACACACACACACACACACACACACACACGAAAACACACTAAAAACTAAGCTCTTTGCAGCCATTGCTTTGTCTGATTTATTTCTACTTATTAAAAAAAAATGTCTTGCAGAGTAGGGCATTCATAATTATGTGTTAAAATTTTTAAAATGTAGCATTTTTAATGCCTCTTTTAATGACAAGAACTATCTGTATTATAAGGTCCCCAATGTATATATTAAGAGTTTATTTAGTTTTTTCATACATTGTGCAAAATTTTCTTTCTACTTACATGAAATTAACCCATTTCCTATCTATGTAAGCTCTTTAAATGTTGCATGGAGCTTCTATGCCTTACTACATTTTTTGTTTTCCATGCGAAACACTAACAGTTGCTTTAACCATTTGACCTGTGGAGATTTTCAAATCCTTTTCTCTTTTGTTTCCTTTTCTCTTGAAAACTACCAGTTTGCCTAGTTTCCTCTTAAAATGTAGGGATTGGTTTAGTTATATATCACAGCTATCTAGGGAAGACAAGATGAGTCAATTAACAGGAAACATTTGGCTGGTGAAAAAGAAACTTGATCCAATGTTATAAAATGTCTATTGATCACTTATATGAAACTAGTTTAGTGTCTGACCAATTAAACCTAATTGAAGTCTCTGCTCTGCCAAGCCAAGTACACCTTCTATTGGATTTTAAGCAATGAACTGATGTGCATATAGTGGAAGGAACTGCAACCAATCCTCTGTTCTTAACTGCTCTGAATACATGCTGGTGCTCAATAAATATGGTATCAAAATAATTATAATAAAATTATGTGAAATCCAAGATGTGGTAACTAATGAAGAAGTATTGGAACTGTCAGTGGCATCTTGAGCCCCAAAGGGAAAAATAATAACCTGACAATATAAGTGAAATATGAGATCAACCAATTAATTAGCAGAATAATTTAATCTGATGCTCTGAAAATAAGCCAATTAAAATTCACTGTTACTATTTAACATTGATTAAGCAAGGTGCTAGATCCGGAACACAGTTTGAAAATAAACCTATTCCTACCTTCAGGGAACTTAAAGCTAATTTAAGCAGCTGTATATGAAAGGACAAAGGAATAGGAGGTATGGTGTTGATTTGATTTACTTACTGGAGCTCCTTCCTCTGGGGAAGGAGCAGCGGAGGGCTGTCATCACCACTGCACTCTTCCAACCTTCTCTTCTGCTCATTCACCAGTTCCATCCTCATCTGACCTACACTGGAGATAGCAGAGGTAAAGTTAGGACAGAGAAATTATTTAAAAACACAAAAACAAAACAAGCTTTCCAGAAAATGTGAAATCTTCCACACTTGTGCTAGTTAGTGGAAAAGAGGAACCCAGATATAATTAGTGCTTCTGATAATTCATTAGGAATAATTTATGAGCTACTAATGAAACAACAATAACAATAAATATGAAAACAACTGAAACCATCTTGCCTTCCAGCTTACTTAAGGGAATGCATGTACCCACTCAAATTTAATGATACAAGAATAAACCACAAAGTAGCCCATTAACTACTCATTTAACTTTAATGAATTTTGATCTGTGAAATAAGTAATAATAGTCTAAATGCATTTATAATCTGCAAAATGTTCTTTAACTTATCGTAAGCCTTCTCCTTGTGAAATACTTGAGTATTATGGTCTCGCCTCTGAGACCTCTGTTCACAGTGTTGGCTGAACAACATTTTGGTGTCATAACACTGTCCCTGAAAAGAGAATTCCCTATTCTTTCCATCTTACTAGACGGAAAACAGGAGAGGAACCTCCTTTTTTTTCTTTTCAGAACTGCATGTATACTGTTTGGACACTGAATTGCCTTTCTAGGAGTTCCAATAGATTGTGTTGAGGTATTTATCCTGTTCTTTTCTCCTTGGCAAGCATTTGCATTCCTATGTAAGATGTTGGGGACAACTAATTCTGGCTGTACACTAAACAAAGCTGTCTGTCTCAAAAGAGACTCACCCAAGATGTAGGACTGACAACCATCACACTTTCATTAGAGCATTCATCAATGTAATAGGCCAAAATGGATGCTAGTTTGCCAAAATGTGTTGTAGGCTGTGCAAACACACTAAATTATTGTGCTTTAGGACAAAAGAGCTCTGGATTCATCTACTAAAGCTATTACCAACCCACAGAACAACATTTACCAACATCTATATTCCACTTACCTGTTCATGACTCTGAGTTAAGAAGTACAAGTTTGCCTAAACCAATCACACTGCCCATAGCTTGAGCAGATTTCTTAATATGTATTTCCATGAAAACAGAATGGTAACAATAATGAAAGCTATGAGTAATTGAGCTCTTACCAAAGTTTACTAAAGCTAAGTGCTCTCCATGCATTATTTCATTAAATCCTCACAACTTACGAGGTAGACATTACCATTAATTCCCATTTTATAGAGATAAAGAAATTGAAGCCTAAAAGTTAAGTAACATGGTAATTATCAGAGAAAAATGCGTAAGCCCAAGCCTGTCTCCTTTCTGGGAACCTGTGTGATTTATTCTTCTTTGGAAATAATGTGCTAGGGTATAAAGGCCATAATCATTGCTTGAACATACATGTTTTTGACAACATACATATCATTGATCTGACAACACATCAGTATGCTTAGCCCTTGTGTCCACTGACTTGATCTCTCCTTAAATCTTTATATGCATTGTACATGATTATTCTAACAATTTTACAACAAATTTCTGAACCTGAGGGCGCTAACATCTCCATGGTGATCACTCTTCCTCCACTGTGTCCATGGTCACATTTGCACTATGTGATAACATCTAGTTAATTGAGCTAACTTATATTATTTTTCTCATCAGCCTAGTCTAAAATTAGCCATTTGAACCTCCACCTCTGCTCAGAAAGAAGAAATAGAAAAGAAAATTGAGGTTTTTTTTTTTGATAGTTGCTATGTATCACTTTCTTTGTCTTGAGACTTAAAAAAATAAAGTTTGAAACTGTAGCAGATTAAGAACTCTGGACCAAATCTATTTTTCCTCCTCAGTTTTCTACTCTTCCTTGAAATTTCTTGGGGTCTCCTATTTATTTAGTGTTGCAAAGTCTGGTTTAAAGTCTGGCTGCCCTAAGTAACCTATACAAAAGCCCTTCTCTACTTTAGTTCCCCAATCCAGTGACCAAGGGCCACACAGCTGTAGGAAAGCTTTTGTTTGATTTTTACGTGGCACTCATGATTTTATATTTCTTCCCACTCAGAAGGGAAAGGTCTAGGGGACAAATGACATGGAACATCAAAGTAATTATCTGAGTGTTTGGGGCTAGTGAGCTCACAGTGTACATAGGTGACAGTGAGGAAGTGATTTTACCTAACCTGACCCAGACCCCTTTCTCTAGAATGACCCTGGTTCCTTTGTCATTCTAACTGGGGGTGTTCTGAGGGCTGGGGAGATGACATGATCCATCAGAGTTATACAACGAGTTAGCCACAAGGCTGAGATCAGAAACCTGTTCTAACTTCTGCCTCATCCACCTTTTTGGCCTTCTCACCATACTCTTTATCTGAGCTAAATTCAAGAAATCCGGACTGTGAAAAATAATGACTCTGATGCTATCTTTCCCTCAACTGAACCTAAGAGAAAAGTCCTCAATGATCAAACATACCGGGCACACCCTTACCACCATGCAGGTAGCCAGATAACCAGGGAATGCTACTGGGGCACAGGAAGGGTGAAGGTAAGTCATCATTCTGATTGACAAACAGACACTCCTCCCTGGTCTGGTGAGTTTTATAGACAGAGTGAGGCAGAGCACCAAGGTAATTACTTCAATTATGCAAATCAATGACCCAAATAGGAACTTTCTTTTGTACAGAGTCCCAGCATTCACAAGCCTGGTCAGCTGCTCAAATGACCAAATTTTACCTGGTTTCATTAACATGTAATCCTTAAAATGCATGTTCACCCAACTAATGTAATAGCTTGGTCTCTGCAGATGGAATTCTTCCCAAATGTGTAAGTGGCTCTTAGTAGTTTAAAAAGTTTTAAAGGCACAGTAAGTACTTTATACATAGTCTGTTGACCGTTAATAGTTTTACAAAATGGAAGTCAGCAGAGAGGACCATTCAAGTGCAGATGGCACAATTACTGACTGCCAACCTGACTCTCCCTTCTGCAGGATTGCTGCCCCTTTGCCAACCCCACTGTGGTTTGAGGAAGCTGACATATATTATTGATTCTTTGGTGCAGTATTAGGAAAGGGAGATATTCCAAGCCACATCTTTACATCCAGAACAATGCATGAGGTTGAGATACTGCCTGATTATTAAAAAAAAATTGAAGCTCGCCTTATATTTGCTCCTCAAATTGATAATTGGGTTCTGATTTTATTTTTACCTCTTCACTTAGTTTCTTGTAATATTCACCCACCTACCCCAATGGCTTCTTCTTTTCCTAAATGCAATTTCATGATGAAAATTTGAAAATAATGTGAGAGCAGTTGTTTGTCAGGGAAGGCAGTTGCCTCTGCCTCTTTCTTCTTAGAGATATGTTAATAAAACACTATTGAATGTTTTTGTTTTAAATACCCAGAGAGAAAGATGCATATGTAAGGAAATTGATATGTCAGATATGTAATATACAATTATTATACTATGTTTTTAATCAAATGTATATAGTTTAAATTTATATACATTGTATACATAAGGCATATTATATTTAAATATACAATACAGTATGAGGAAAACCCAACAATATATTTTAGAAAATTGAATGCTCACTTTAAAAAAGCCTATCATTTTTGTACCTATGGAATACTTCAGAAAGTTAATTTTCTCTACAAACTGTAGTAATTGTAACAAGAATATCCTAATATGACTCAGATGCTCACGAACAACTTCCATATATTGAAAATTGGTTCTTAAACAGGATTTTAGGCTGTCATTTTCATAAGTGAGATTATATTTTGTGCACATAGTTCTGTTTTTAATAAATTTTAAATATGAAATTAATATAAAAACTCCATTGAAATTTTTTAAGGGCAAAGGTGCTACTTCTCTTCTTCTGATTGCTTCACTCCATAAAATCTTCTGAACACTTCATCTAGGCATTGCGTCTTCCAGCAGCCATATTACTGTTACTCTGTTAATGTATTTTATGAAGACAACAATACTAAGTATATGGATTTGCTATAGGCTGGAAGTTGCCATCTAGGAACAACTAACTGAACGGCAAGTCATATCTTGTTTCTGAAAACATCGTAAATGCTGTTAAAGCATTATTTCTGAGTTTGTCTGTGAGGGTGTTTCTGGAGGAGACTGGCATTTGAGTCAATGAACTGAGTAAGAAAGATCCACCCTTACCCAACCTGGCAGGCACCGTCCAATTAGCTGAGGGCCCAGATAGAACAGAAAGGCAGAGGAGAGATGAATTATCTCTTTCTCTTCTGGAACTAAGACACCCTTCTTCTCCTATCTTTGGACATCAGAACTCCAGGTTCTATGGCCTTTGGACTCTGCAATTTATATGAGTGGTGCCCCCAGTTCTCATGCATTCAGCTTTGGACTGAGAGTTACACTGTCTTCTCATCTGGTTCTCAGGCCTTCGGACTTGGACTGAGCCATCCTACTGGCTTCCCTGGGTCGCCAGCTTGCAGATGGTCTGTGTGAGACTTCTCAGCCTCCATAATCTTGTACGTTATTTCCCCTAATAACTAACTAACTTCCTTCCTTGTTTCTCCCCTTCATTTCCTCCTTTCTTATCTTTCCCTTCCTCCTTCCCTTACCTCCTTCTTCCCTTCCTTCTTTTTTCCTTTCTTATCTTCTCTTCCCTTCCTTCCTTTCTTCCTTCCTTCCTCCTTTTCCCCCTTTCTCTCTTCCCTCCTTCCCACCTTCCTCATTTATCTTTCTCTCCCTCCCTCCCCCACTCTCTTTCTTTCTCTCTCTTTCTCTTTCTTTCCTTTTCTTTCTATTGATTTTTTTTCACTGGAGAACCTTGACTAATACAGAGCCCTTGGAATAATTTTATTTTCTTCCTGACTCCCAGATTGCCCTTTCTCAGCATGATATTTTACTTCTACCCACATGAAATTAGATGTTGCCCTCAAGAGTCTGTCTATGTCTCCTTCTTTTCTTTTTCCTTATGTTCTTCCTAGTAATCTTAAGCTCACTCAAGGCTATTTACTATTATCTTATGTAGAGCTTTATCCTTCTCAATCTTCAGGGCCAAACTTTCTCTAAATTCATTTTTTTTTTTTTATTTCCATGATGGGCATCTTCATGCATACCAAACTAAGCATATCAGTTTTTCCAGAAAAGTTTGCCACTGTTCAATGTTCTTTATTCAGGTTACTATCAGAAGATTTTCCTAGACATTTAGATTTAAAACTTGTGAGTCATCCTTGACTTTTTCCCCCTCAGCCTGGCACATCTAATCATTCGGTGGTCTCTCAGCTAACTCTCTGTTTTCTTTCACTCCCTTCTTATCCACCCAACTAAACATTCATTCTCTTCTCATCTAGGTTATTAAAATGGTCTCCTAACCATCCTCTCTGCCTTCATTCCCACCAACATAGACTACACACTTAAATTGCAAAATACCCATTTCTGATCATATCTGTCATTGACTAAGGTTGTTAAGGACACACATAATCTAGCAACTAAGGATCACAATGCTCAGGTTATATTTGAAGCCTCTCCTACTTACCTTTCCAATATCAAATCAAATATCCACTTTTATTTACCCTTTACCCCATTAAGCAGACTCATTTGCTGCTTTCCCTAGACATGTAGAATTTTTCTGTCTCTTTTTTGATTAGAAAGCCCTTTTTCTGCACAATGAAACATGACCTCTCCTTTAGGATCCAATCAGAAGTCAGCCGCCTTCACACAGCCTCCCCTTGTGTTGTGCTTTTTTGTCATTTCTCTTATTCCCTCCCCAACCTCATGTATTACTGAAGAGTAATTCTCTCTCTTCTGAATTTACACTTAATTTTTTAATTAACCAACTTCTCTGTGTTTTTCCGTTTATAATCCCATGGCATTTTACCCATAGCTCTTAGGGCAATTATGCACTTTGCATTGATTCTGGAGATGTTCCTCCATAAATATCTGGTGGATGAATGAATGCAGCCTTTATAGATTTTTTTTCCTCTAACAAGTCTGATTTCACAGACTCTAAGTCAATTGAAAAAATATTATACGTGAAGTGAATTTATGTATGCTTGCAACAAGTTATTTTAAAGGATAATTTGAAAGGGTGCTTATTTCTGGTGTGGGATTGCAATTCTTAATATAACTATAAAAAGAAAAAAATAAGCTAGTGATGGGATGGTTTTGTGATATTCTCTTACAGAATATTTTAGTCAAAATTTTGTATAATAAGGCAGAGAGTGAGCTCAGCACAATTCATAGCAACAGCATCAATAATTTAATAAGCACTATTCACTGAGAACCAAATATGTGCCAGAAACTGTTCCATATAATATGTACATATTATTTCTATTTTTACATTTTACAGATTTGCAAATTGAGGCTTAAAGGGATTAACTTTAATTCTCTAACTACTCAAGCTTAACATTTAAAATCCATACTTAAGTCTTATTTTTCTGGATCAGAATCTACTCACCATATTACTCCAGGAACTTCCCTTTTCCCTTGTAAATTCTGTTCCATTTTTGGCCAAACCATGGTTTGCCTCTGCTGCATTAGTTTGAAGTCATTTTTTTTCCAGACATTGTGGCGGTAGTTCCCAGATGTCCGAAAAGATGAAGTTATCAGTGCACGAGCAGCCAGGGCTTTTCTTTATGTTGATTCACCTTAGGACACAGCCCAACAATGCCTGCAACTGAAAGTCATGTGCATTAGCACAGCTCTGCCTCAACCATGAGCCCAGGACACAGAGCTGTGCACCAAGCATGATTCTTTCTGTTAATATTAATTGGCATAATTTAGCTTAACATATTAAATCTTAGAAGTGTAGTAATCGTCAAACAAAAATGTCTACAGTGACCTATTAGAACGGAAACTTCCACCATAAGAGCCACTCTTCGGAGCTTTGCAAGTTCACTGTTATATAAGCTTACTTGAGGGAGTTCCCTATGGGTAATGTAGTGAGAATAAAGAACTTGGGGTTCAAATCGTGACTCTACTGCTTAGGAGCTATGTGGCTTCTAGGTGTCTGTTTCCCTGTTTCTGTAATAGGTGGGCAGAGGGGTAAGGAAGGAGATAACATCTATTTTTTAAAATGGTATGAGGACTGTAGGAAACATATGGACCTGGTACAGATGAAATGTCCCCAAAATGGTAGTTATTACTGTTATTACTCTCACAGGAAATTCCTATCCCTTAGCAGAAGAAAGCATTCTGTATTAGTTTCCTGTGGCTTCTGTAACAAATTATAATAAACCAGGTGGCTTAAAACAACAGTTAGCTCTTGCAAAGTTTTGGGGGCCAGAAGTCTGAAATCAACCTGTTGGCAGGATTGTGCCTCCTCTGGAGGCCCTGAGGGGAAATCTATTATTTTCCTCTTCCACCTTCTGGTGGCTGCTGACTTGCTTGACTTATGCCCACATCACTGCAATCTCTGCATCCAGGGGCACATTACCTCCTCCTCTTCTGTCTGTGCTCTTCCTCTTATAAGGACACCACTCACTTAGGACCTGCTCATTTAACTCAGAATGACGTCCTCATCTCGACATCTTTAACTTAATTACCTCGGCAAAGACTCTTTTTCCAAATAAACTAGCATTCACAGGTTCTGGGATTAGGATGTGAACATGTTTGTGGGAATGTGAACAACTCAACTCACTACAGGTCCTGAAGGATTAAGTTTTTTGTTGACTTTTTGGGGGCAGGTGTACATGTGTGGTACACAGGATGCTGAGTGGAATAATGCAGTGATGTTATTGACGACCAGGGGGCAGCATACGAGGCCAAAACAGATTCTGAGAGTGGGGAGTAAGGCTGAGGAAACCAGAGAAACAAGCTGAAACAATAGGAGATGCAGGAGGCCTGGGTTTGGGGAGACCTAGGCTCTAGATGTGGTCTTTGCCCCAATTCACAGTGCAACAGAGGGCAAGACATCTCTATGGGCCTGTTTCCCCATATACAAAATGAGAAAGATTGGAGTGGAGCAGGGATTTTAAATTGACTGCTTGCAGGCTGAATGCAACGTGCCTGTGTATATCAATTGTAACATCTAAAAATCTGAATATTTTTAAGTTGGCAGACATCATATAAAAATTAGTATAGCTTCTCTCAAAAATCATATGTAACAGGCACTGGACACGCAGTCTCCAATGCTGATGATGCGTTGTAGGAGGGTGACCCTACCCTTCAGCTTGGCACAGACCCCCTTGTGTACTACCTAGCCCACCACACCCCATTGTCTTCTGACATTGTGGTTGACTGCCAGTCCCTTTTGTCATCCC
Organism: Homo sapiens; assembly: GCF_000001405.40. NCBI lineage: Eukaryota > Metazoa > Chordata > Mammalia > Primates > Hominidae > Homo > Homo sapiens. Next base: position 177,355,261 of record NC_000001.11, on the reverse strand, counting down.
CTCACACTGCAGATTCCCTGATGGTCAAGACATATTTTTCTGTATCCAGGTTTCTATCAATAGTGAGATCCAGGTGGATGATTTTTCCTATACCTAGTTGGGTTCACTCAACTTACATAACCTGCATGAGGCCTCTAGAGTTTTGCCTTTGTGATCCCAAGTCAGAAGACTGAGACCACTGGTCCTCTCTGGGATGCCAATGACCTCAGTGCCAGAAGGGAAGGTCGGGGAGCCGGGGTGGTGCTAGAGACTAGCTTGATCTATGTCTGCAAATAACTCTCCGTGTGCCCACCCAGGTATGTGAATCCACCAGCTGTGTGAATCTACCTGTCTTAGGACTACTTCACAATTCATAGGACAATGTTCTGGCAACTCTTATTGCTCCTTTCCCCAATTTTCTCCATTCTCAGACTTCTTTCCCTCATCTCTCTGTACACATCCGTGGGACTCCTGCTACAGGATCTTTTACCCTTCAGTTCCTGCCATTGAGTCCCCATCCTGTGGTTTGTTTTCATTTTTTTGGTAGCAGTTCCTCCTTCATCCTAGACTTTCCTGCTCTCTCCTACATGATTCATGACTTAGTTCTGCAGAGCATTTTTAGAGCCTTGTTTGCAACGGAAGAGAACTAGGGAAACTAAGCAGCATATTGTCTTCAATCTGGTCCCTCTCATAAGGGATCTAAGCTAATTCTTACGATTGTAATCCTGCAGTAATGGACCATCTGAGAAGACAGTCTCTCTCTCAGTGGGAGCCTCCTATGACTTAGGAAAGAGTCATGTGCCCAGGTGTTGCCAGGGCTGAGCTTGCCTGCCCACTCTTCACAGAAGCTGCCCTGATCTCAAGGTCTCCTTGTTACTTGTGCTTACTCAGAGTCCCTGTCTGACACAGAAGAGTGATGCCATCTCGTCTCCCCACCTTCCCAACAATTTTTAAACCTCTGGGTGCTGCTACCAGCTTGCCTGGAAGGTGGGGTTCTAATAATGACAATTAGCTAAATATGCAAAGAAAAGAGAAGGGCAAGGTCTCTCCCAAGCAGGAGCCGCCCTGCTTTTATTTTTATTTCTCTCTGTGTGTGTGTGTGTGTGTGTGTGTGTGTGTGTGTGTGTGTGTTTCTAAACTTCCCAACAGCTACTAAGCTAAGAAAGTTTTAAATATATACAAAAACTACAGAAAGGCTTTCTCTCCTTTGAATCTTTAGCTCTGTGTAGTTCAAGTCAACAAACAGCTAGTGGTGTCTCCTTGGTGCCTTGGCTATGCTTGTGTTCAGTTTTGAAGCAACAAAATGTGGAGATAATGCTAGCTTTATAGTAAGGGTACACATGATCAGCAGGGAAACAAGCACAACTCGAAAAGGCAGAGCAGAAGGAACAGTTTGGTACGTACAGAGGAAGGTGGATTGAGAGGCAGGAAAGGATGATTGAGGCAAAAAATGATATTATTCCTGGTTCATTTTGGAGATGATGACAATCCCAAGGCTTCTGCAGACTCCAAGGACAGGAAATACTTCTTAAAGACTCACGTGGTTCCCTCAACAGTGTGTGCGCATTTCAAATTGCGTCCTATTATACCTCCCATTTTTCTCCATTCTGCGTATGAATGGATGGTGCCACTGTTAACCCAGTTGCTCAAGCTGGAGGTGCAGATTCCTCCTAATCCCCACTGGCTTCTTCTCTCCTTTGCCTTTTTTAATCACCGGATCAGTCGCTTCTGCTTTCTCAGTGTTGACTCCATGCCCACTTCTCCCCCTCCCCTGCCCTTCTAGGTCTATTGCAGGGCTTTCCTAACTCATTTCAGCCTCTAGTCTCTTCCTGTCCCATTTCTCCTTTATTCTACCACAACTCCCAATTTGATCATGTTACTAATAGGCTTGAAATATTAAAAACAAATCTTCCAAGGCTCCTATGAAACAAAATTCCCAATCCCTAGCTGACATTCAGCCCTGATATTTTGGTGTCTTCTCTTCTCCCCTTTGATCTATACACAAAACGTCCTGCACACTAGATTGTGCAGCTCCTTGCTGATGCTATACTGTTTCCACATCAGCGCCCTCACACCCCCGTGCCCTTTCCCAGACTTCCCCTTACTTCACTCTTGCACCTGCAAGCTCTGTTTGTGCCAGGAAAGTTCAAGTTGTCCTGAAAGTACCGGCTTACTGTGACATCTTTCCTAGGTTGCTGTCTCCTTGGCTCAATGCAAAGCACACCCCTCCCCTTCCCACATCACTCTCCGAAGACCTCATAGACCTCTGCTGGCTCTTTATCACCTGTACTCCCATCATTTGCATGCAGTTCTGATCCTACCACCAACAAGGGAATTGAAGAAAGGGCCCAGATCTCATTTATTTTCTTCTCTCTAGCCCTTAGCAGAATGTCTAGAGCATATTAGATTTTCATTAAATACACTCATTCACTGAACAAATATTTCTAAATCATCTATTCTGTATCAGGCAGTATTTAAGGCCCTAGAGATGTAGCAGTGAAACACCATGGGGGACAATTATCTGCCCTCATGGAGCATACACGGTGGTATGGGAGCCAGGGAGTAAACCAGATAAATAGTAAAAACATACTGTGTTACCCAGTGATGAGTGCCAAGGAGAAAACCCAAGCCCACCTAGAGGAGGGATGTGAAGAAATACGTGCTGAGTAAATGAGCTGTTCCTTCTCCTGGGGAATTTTATAAAATTTCAGGACAAGGGAATGGAGGGATACACTTGGGATGAATAAATTTGAGAGAAGCATGAGATCTAGATAGTACTCATTAATGTTTGAAAAATCTGGTATTGACCCTCCAGTGAGAGAGATTCAGAAGAACCTATGGTCTGTGAGCAATAGAATGAGCAAATGTTTATCTAAAATAAATGATTTTGCAAACTGCCTGCAATATCAAAATCTTGCAGCTTCTACCTGAATATTAGCATCTAGATCTGTGCATTTCTTTCCCTTGACGGGACTGAAGGCTTTTTTTTTTTTCCTGTGTTGCTCTCTCACATGAACACCTGGGTGCTCCTCATTGCAGATGCCTTGCCCTGCCTCCTGCCCTCCCCAGTAATCTGTGGTAAAGGTGGAAAGGTAATTCAGGCAACCTGGCCACTGTCACGATTCCTCCTAGCACCACACACACACACACACACTCTGTCACACACACAACACTCACACCCACACAATGCACACACACTTATTCACTCACACTACGCTCACACAATACACAAACTCACACAGCACTCACAATACTCATTTACTCAAACACACACACAACACTCACACATATTCATTCACACAACACACACATAGCACATACACAATTCACACACATTCACACACAACACTCACACTCACATAGCACACACAATGCACACTTATTCACTCACATAACACTCACATTCACTCACAGCACACACACAACACTCTCATTCACACAACACCCACACACACACTCACACACCACTCATGTACACACTTTCACACACACCCTTATACACACAACACTCACACTTCCTTACACACTCTCCTACATGCATGCTCACTTGTTCACACACATACACACACAGACACACCCTTTCACAAACACACTAAAATCCCAGCAGCAGAGGCTCCACTCTCCTTTCTTACTTGTCATTAGCCCGTGAAGAGGTTCGCTTAGGCTGCCACAGCACAGAGTCCCAGCTGCGCCGTTTCTCCCCACAGGCACTTTGGAATGTGGTAACTTAAGGCCTGTTGCTGGGTCACAGGTCAGTTTTAAGGAAGTAACCTCCGAGCTGTTTCTGCTTACTTTGCTGTCCAAGAACTCTAGGTTTCCTCATTCCAGTGTCTGTGGGGGTGACTGCTAGGGGCTGAATTGTGTTTCCCCTGCCTGCCTCAAAAAAAAAAAAAAAAAAAAAGTCACACACTGAAGTCCTAACCCTCTACCACAGAATGTTACTGTATTCGGAGACACAGTCTGTAAAGAGGTGATTAAGGCAAAATGAAGTCATATGGAAGAGCCCCAGTCCAATATGGCTGGGTCCTTATAAAAAGAGGAGTTTAAGATATAAACAACACACAGACAGAGGGCCGACCTATGAGGACGCGGGAAGAGGGCAGCCCTCTGCAAGCCAAGGAGAGACCTTACCAGACACCAACCCTTCTGGCACCTTGATCTTGGACTTCCAGCCTTCAGAATGGTGAGAAGATAAATTTCTGTTGTTTCCCTACTTTGTTAGTGAGCCTAATACAGCTGACTAACACAGTGACATTGTCCTTTCTCATCTGTGGCCACCTGCCCTTAGTGCACTGACCTCCTCTTTCACAGTGGATGTGAGAGGCAGGCTGGATGCAGCCTCCTTCCCAGGAAAACAAATCTCACATTATAGAACTCCCACGACTTGTGATGTGTGAGGCAGCTCTCCAGCGCAACCCCATGAAGGCTTTGGAGCAAGCCTCTGTTCTCTGACACAGGTGTGGCTCTATTCTCCTTGAGTGGAACACCCATTTCCAGATACCCCTTCATGTCCTCACCCTGCCCAGCAGGGAGGAAGCAGCCCTCCAGGAAGGCAAGAACTTCTTTGATCTGACCAAGTGGCCCTGCCTGGTATTTTCCAAAGAAACTCGCTTCATTAGACATGTTATTGACCAGTCAAGGAAGAAATTAAATTACTCCAAATCAGAAACTGAATTAATTAAAACAATTATTACTCTCACCTGCAGGACCAAAATGGGGTTGTTAAGATTGTGTTTTCCCCGCCTCTAAGAGAAAAATCTTCTTTGCTTTCCATTTTGAGACTCAATAAGTAGAAAAATAGCAGCACACTTCTGAAAAGGGCTAGAAAATGAAAAAAGAATGATAATTCATTATTCAGTAATCAACTCCGATTGCAAAAGCAGCAGATTCTGCTGAGAACATAGGGCTGTGGAGAAAGACAAACCCAGACCCTGCCCAGCTCGCACCCTCTGGGGCAAATCCTCTCCACAGAGACCTTATTAAGAGGAGAAAGTTGGGGAACCAGCATGGGGTACCACAATTTGCAGCCTCTCTACCTTTGTACAGCACATTAACATGCAGAGTCATTGTTTTATGGGCCTTGCACCCCTCCTCTCCAAACCCCACTCTCAGATTAAGATGTATTGTATAATCATCTGCCTTAAGGTTCCAGAACGCATCCCTCTCCACTGGGGCCTCTGAATAGAGAAGCAGATAAAGTCTCTGCAAGAGAACAAACCTGTGGAGCAGCTTCTATTTGTCAGTCAGTCCTTGCTCTGTGCTTTCATGGTAGGCAGAATTCTAAGATGGTCTGCAAGATTCCCACCTCCTGGGGCACACACACCTTCTCCCAATTATCCAGGCAAATACTAATCTAGGTGCTGCCATGAAGGAATTTTGCAAATGTAATCACCTGCCAAATCAGTTGACTTTAAGGAGAATATCCTGGCTGAGCCTGACCTAATCAGGTGAGCCCTTAAATGAGACTGGGTTCTTCCTGAAGTGTGAGAGGGATTTGACCCCAGAGACATTCTCCATTGCTGGCTTTGGAGATGGAAGATCCATTGGATGAGAGATATGGGTGACTTCTAGGGGCTGATAGCAGCCCCCAGCTGTAGCTGACAAGGAAACAGAGACCTTGGCTCTGCAACCACAAAGAACTGAATTCTGCTACAATCACATGAGCTAGGAAGAAGACCTTGAGCTCCAGATGAGGAAGCAGCCTGACCAATACCTTGATTTTAGCCTTGGGTGATCCTGAGCAAAGAACCCAGTCCTGCTGTGCTTGGACTTTTTTTTTTTTTTTTTTTTGAGATGGAGTCTTGCTCTGTCACCCAGGCTGGAGTGCAGTGGCACGATCTCGGCTCACTGCAACCTCCACCTCCCAGGTTCAAGTGATTTTCCTGCCTCAGCCTCTTGAGTAGCTGGGATTACAGGCATGTGCCACCATGCCTGGCTAATTTTTGTATTTTTGGTAGAGATGAGGTTTCACCATGTTGGAGAGGCCGGTCTCGAATTCCTGACCTTGTGATCTGCCAATCTTGGCCTCCCAAAGTGCTGGGATTACAGGCATGAACCACCACGCCCAGACTGTGCTTGGACTTTGGACTTACAAAACTGTAAGCTAATAAATGGATTTCTTTTAAGCCATTGAGTCTGTAGTTACTTGCTATGCAGCAATAGTAAACTAATATAGCTCTCAAAGATCCCTGCAGAACTCTGCTGACAGAGCTGAGCCACTTACATAATCTGCTCTGCAAAATGTTTTCATGTGTGCAGTTGTGTTCTGGCTCCCCCAGATTTGGAGCCCCTCAAAGGCAGGGACTATGGATACCTCACCTGTGAGAGGGAGTACCGTGGAGTGGTTAAAAGCACTCAAGTCAAACAGAATACCTGCTCTACCAGCTACCTTGTGCAGATTCATCCCCTGAACTTCAGTTTTGCTATTTCTAACATAAGACTAATGGCATCTACCTGTTGGGATTGTTGTGAAGAGTAAATGAGAAAATCCATACAAAACATTTACTACTATGCTAATGTGAGGTAAAGGATCATTAAATTTATGGCTATTATCATTATTTACTTTCAATCATAAGCATGTAGTGAACAACTACTTTGTGACTGGCTAGGTGCTAGGGATATGATGACGAATACCACCGAACCTTGGCCTTCAAATATCTCACAATCAATTTGGCCCCTACAGTGACTCTAGGAGTGTTCTTTTTGAAGAAGAAGCTTCATATTTGGGGGGCGAATAGCACTAGGGAGTAGGCTATGAGCAGATCCCGATTGTGCCTAGATTTCCTAGGAGGTACCATGGAAGAATTTAGGTGCTCTTTCCACAATCCCACGCATGTCCTGGAGAATCATGCTACAAGAACCAAGACAGGATAAAGACGCATTCCCAGTCTTGTTTGAAACTATGAATTATGTAGAGGCACTTAGTAAAATTCAGATCTAGGGCTCCACCCACGACAGACAGAGGAGTGCCTGGTGTCTATTTCACATATACCTCACACTGTGATCCTGCCCAGTTATCTGATGCTGTGTAACAAACTACCCCAAACCTTAAAGGCTCAAAGCAACCACCATTTTGTTTTATCTCAAGATTCTGTGGTCAGAAATTTGGGCAGAAGATAACTGGACAATTCTTCTGTTCCATGTGGTGCTGATTGAGGCCCCTTGAAGTATTCAGCTGGCAGACAAGCTGGTCTGGAAGGGTCCAAGAAGGCTTCACATTACATGTCTGTCTCCATATTGGGGATGCAACTCGAGGCTCCCAGAGACAGTATTCCAGGAAACATGGTGGAGAAACTGCCCATTTCTCAAGGCCTGGGCCTCAAAACTGGATGAATACAACTTTCCAATATTCCACAGGACAAAGCAGTCCCAGGGCCTACCCAGAACCAAGAGGAAGGGACACAGGCTCACCCCTCAATGAGAAGAATGTATAAAACTTCTTTAATCTGCCTATGCAGAGTTAGTAAACAATGTTTTGCTGCAGAGTATCAAATAGCTAAGGCCTCCAATCTGAACAGTTTCTGAGTGTTCTAGAACTGGGGTTAGCAAATTTTTTCTGTAAAGGGCCAGATAGTAAACATGCTCGACTTTGTGAGCCACATATAGTCTCTGCCACATATTCTTGTTTTATTTATAATCCTTTTAAAAATGTAGAAACCATTCTCAGCTTGCGGGCTATATAGAAATGGCCTGCAGGCCAGATATAGCCCATGGACTGTAGTTTGCCAGCTCATATTCTAGAATAATCTTCCATGACACACAGTCTGGCTGAATTGTAATTATGGTAGCAGCTTCTACCCATCGTATCCCCTGAGTAGCAATAATTCAGAGAAACAGCTGGAAAGGGCCTTGGAAGTCACCTACTCTAATCCTAATGACGTGGAAACTGAGGTCCAGAGAGATTAAGAAACCTGGAAGAAGTACCATGGCTGACTAAGGGTAGACCCTCAGAGATCCCTAGGTCTTCTTTCTTCTAATTCAGTGTTATTTCCACTGCAACAGACCATATCTCAAAATGCTGTGTTTCTAGTCAGCAGAAATCATAAGTATCTAGGAGTAAGGTAGACATAGCAGCAGTGAAATATGCTTGGACCTTTGGACCTTGGAGGGTGTTTACTCCTGGCTGGCTGTGGTCCAGGGTCTAAGTGGAGACCGATCTTGTGGCAGCGCTGCTTGGCCTGGGTCTGGTCACTGGCTGGAAAGCTGGAGTGCAGGTTGTCACTCCTATCGGGATGGATCATCAGTGTGGGAGGGATGCAGAACACGCACAGAAGGAAGGGAGGTGTGGGGAGGTTACATACAGATCTGCAGGAGGTGGGCTGGGCCATCAATGCCTCCCGCTGGAGAAGAGCAATCAGGGCAGAGGGCTATAGAATCACTTGTCATCTCCTTAGTGGGAGGTGCTATTTATCAGGCTTGTCACTTTGCTGAGTTCCTCAAGAAGCCTCTTATTTACTAGTATTTGCTTGTATGCCCCATATTTTTTCATGTCTCCATGCCTTTGGATATGCGGTCCCCTCTGTATGAGATCCTCCCAGCCCCGCACGCCTTTCTGGAAAAGTTAAATGTCATCTCCTCTGAAGAGTCTTCCCTCAGCTTCTCAGGAATATTAAGACACTTGTCCCTGGCTCTCACTTCTTTTTTATCGTATGTAAATAATGTCAATAATCTGGCCCTAAATCACCTAGTCTGCTTGCCACAGATAGTAACTATTTCTGTTATACATCTTTTTATTTCATAGATGTTATCTAATTGTGCTATAACTGTTTACTTTTATGTCTGTCAGGAATCATGTCTTTTTTTGTTGTTATTTTTGTTTCCCAGTCTCTACTATAGAGCACAGAGTGGATGTTAAAATAAATGTTTGCTAAATGAAAGAATACATGAATTTAGAAAACTGGGCATATCTGTAGTAATCAATAATACATTCCTCCTGGGGTCAGGGTGCTGGATGACTCTGACTGCCTCATTTTCTTTATTACTGGCTCTGAAGAGTTGGGATCAATTGAAATAGTTACCATGAGGAGCTTATGAAGTATTTTACTTTGGGACTCAAATGTTAGAGCTATTTCTTTAAAGAGTTGGTTAGGCACAATTTTGTTCAGGTTATCTTGCAAGGTCTGTCTTGATGAGTATGATGAGTATATCCATCCCTCTTTTCCAGTATCCTAGATTTCTGGACCAACCATATGTTCTGGCTCTTTCTAAAGGGTAACACACAAGGTCAACAGTTGGCTTTTGATAGCCTGATTCATGGAACATTTAAAACGTTTGCTTAATATGTAAATCATACTTTGGAGAAATATAATTACATACTCTAAATGGAGTCCTCAGCAGTCCCAGCTACTCTTTGCATGACCGTGTTGTTTTGATTCAGAGTAACTAGACACTGGCTGATCATAATCCCTTTCCACATATCAATTTATTTTCTATCTTGACTCCTGCCTTTTGCCCATGTAATGTGAACTTTTAGCAAATCCATCCTGATCCTTTTGCCATTACAATGCAAAGTAGCATGGTATTGTTGTTTTCCGACTGTTCTAGTAGACCTGACCAATTTATTTAACACTGATGTGGATTCTAGGCCCCTGGAAGAATGCCTTATTTGTCTGCTTGCCAGGAAAAAAGATATTTGGTGATTGGCCTAGCCCTTTCAGGCTGCCCATTGCTATAGCTATACTGCTGTTGTTTTGGTGACGTGGTAAAAAAAATAACTAGTTGGAGACAGAGTGTGGTGTTGCAGTGATATTAGACTACGCAGATAAATTTAAAATGCATGGACCTGTTCAAAATTTCACCAGCTCTCATAAACCTCCCCTTGCTGATTGGTTTCTTTGCAGGCAGGGATCATTCAGTAGGGATCATGGGTCACGGGGAGAAGACGAACACAGAGCAGAAAATAACACTTTGCATTTTTCACGTACAACGTGCCCTTATTTGTAGTTCTATAGTTTTGCTTGTTTTAGATCTAGTCTAATTTCTCCCACCCCTAGGATCTGGGGGTCAATGTGGGCGATGCTTAGAGTATGACGTTAAATTAGCCAGTGCAGTTTCATTTTGGCAAATATTATGGCTGTAGAAACCTAAGGACAAATAAAATCACATATACTCACGTAGGACTGTGGTAATAGAGACAAAATACTGGTAAATACAGAGAAGTCATTTTGATTTTCTGCTGCAGCTGGATCTCACATTCCAATTGTGGGTACACTACTTTCTGACTTTGAACCTCAGTGTCCCTGTCTGTAAATTGGGGATAATATAACACCTTGTGTGGCCTCTTGCATATCATTTAGCTTTTATACATGTTGATAGCCTATAGAAGTCAGGGCTGACCTGAGGCAAAATTATATTCCATGCAATGTTCTTATTTAACAGACTTAGAGGTCTACTTCCAAATTTGTCTCTGTGCTTGTGGGGGAAGAAACATGGAGATGGAGATACAGCTAACCTCTGAATGACTGTCTATTGCCTCCTGCTATGATTTGAATGTGTCCCCCAGCATTCACGTGTCAGAAACCTAATGCCCAATGTGGCAGTGTTGGGAGGTGGGAACTAATGGAAGCTGTTTAGGTAATGAACAGAGTAATGCCATTATGAAAAGGGCTCACAGGGGTTCTATGAGTGGGTTCCCTTTCTGGCACTCTTGCCCTTCTGCCATGGCATGGTGCAGCAAGAAGGCCCTCACCAGGTACCAGCACCTTGATCTTAGAGTTCCCAGAGTTCAAAACTGTGAGCCAATAATTTCTGTTCTTTATACATGACCTAATCTCAGGTATTCTGTTGTAGCAGCTCAACACTGACTAAGCCATCTCCCACTCCCAAGCGCAGAGTGGATGTTGAAGCAAATTCCGGGGGTCCCTAGCAGGGAATTGGTATGTGACGAAAGGTGGTTGTTAGTCCCTATATTTTGTGATACCCTATTCAGGGCTTCAAATTACTAACCTTTTCTCCCTCCACGAACTCCTCAAAATGTTGGCTCTGATTGTATTGTAGAAGAATTTAAAGAAACATCTCCAAGCTAAAACATCAGTTATGTGAAGGCTCTTTCTCCTTTCCCACTTTGCTGGTTGCGATTGTTGTTTCCAAATAAGAACAAAGAATTCTTCTGGAGGCAAGAAGCAGCTTTTTTGATGAGGGTGTACAGAAAGGCATTTTCTTAGTGGCATTTTCTTGAGGAAATAACAGAAATTCCCACTCTAAACAACAACAAAAACAACACACACAAAAAACATGGACTCTCATCACAGAGAGAGTGCATCTGGTATATTGGTAAGCCCTTGAAATCTATTGGAGGTGGTGACAAGTAGAAGCTGAGGGGTGCAGAAAGGAAAGAGAGAAAGGAGGTTAAGGGGGCAAGGAGGAAAAGGCAGGTCAAGAAAGAACTCATACAGTCAGTAGACGCCTTCAGTAAAACACTGAATCAGGGGTCAGCCAGCTACAACTGATGAGTCAAATTCAGCCCACTGACTATGTTTGTATGGTCGATGAGCTAAGAATGGTTTTTGCTTTTAAAATGCTGAAAAAAAATCTAAAGAAGAATATGTTGTGGCATGTGAAAATTATATGAAATTCAAACGTTAGCGTCCATAAATAAAGTTTTATTGGAACACAGCCACACCTACTGGTGATTGCCTATGGCTGCTTTCATGCTGCTGAGGCCGAGTTGAGCAATTGCAACAGAGACCATATGGCCCACGAAGCCAAAAATATTTACTGTCTGCCCCTTCCTGGCAGATTTACTATCTGCTGACCCCTGCTCCAGACAGTATTTTAAACACTGGCCTGTAAATTTGGGTTAGCAGTCTAAACCTCCCCAACAAGAAGCACTTAGCAATTATTTGTTATTGTGTCTGTTTTCTGATAAATCCAGGGCCACAGCTGCAAAGGCAGGTAGAGAAGGACCTTTCCCACTTTCTCTCCAGCTCTGTTTTGCCCCTCAGCCACCTGCACAACTCCACACACATCTCTCGCTGCTCTTTTTGTAAGCCAGCCTACCCTAGTTGAACTCAATGTACACAAGATTTTTATTTGTACCATCACATGAGAACTACATCCCACTTTTTGAAATATCACAGAAAAAGTTATAGATAGAAATATTTGTAAAATGTGTTACACTGATTTCCGTATTTTACAAAGAAACTATAAGCACAGCACAGCCATATTTGAATGATTAAATTTGTATTAATCAGTATGATATGCAATGCTATTTTATCATAATAGTGAATGTTTTATGTCATATGGTATTGACAGTCTGGCTAATTAATTACATTTGTGAAATATATTTTGTATTGCTACTGTGAACATTATCATATTTCACAAAGCCCTATGCCACCTGAAGCACACACTAGGTATTCGCAGATGTGTGTTTTCCCTAATGGCATTTTTTATCCCATTAGCACTTGCAAAATGACTGCTGGACAAGAAACTAACATTACCCAACCTAGAACTGTCTTTATCTCCACTGCTTTCCACCAACTAGATCTTTCCTTAATTAGATTCCTGTGTAAACTAGCCATTTTTTGAAATATATGTATATTTTTATTTTGGCAGTTTGCTTTACTTCTAAGTGACTGCCTGAGTCCTCATATATTCCCGAAGGAACTTGTTACATAATCCAAAGTCAGGTTTTAACTCAGGGGAATCTAGTTCAGTTGGAAGGACAGGAATATATTGACAGAGAGACAGAACAATAAAGTAGTTATAAGAGTGCCTCACGAACAAGCTTTCTTTGAGTGCCAGAAAGGATGGGGGCCGCTGACTTGGCCACTGAGAGTGGAGGGAGATGTGAGCAATGGTGGAGTCTAGGGTCTGGAGAAGGGACAGAAGCAGAGATGTTTTTCTTTTTTTCTTTTTCTGAAGGAAGACGGGAGCAGGTTCAAGGCTGGGAACATGACATGGAAAATCAATGTGTTTACAAAGAATGTGGATGGAAAGAAGAAAGAGGCTGTGGGTATAGCCATGATCTGAGAGGGAGTGTGAGTGTTGAATAGGTGTGTGAGGCTGGTTTCTCCTGCAAGTTGCACTCTGAGATACCCATTGTAAAGACAGAGGAGCATGAGCAGGGAAGTGGGTGGGTGTCAGGGAAGGAGCTTGTGGAAGAGCATTTAAGAGAAGGCAAGGGATAGAATTGGGTTTGTGTGCGTGTCCTGTGTGGCTGTTGGGAGGGATGGAAAATTGAAGGACAGGGAAACTGGGAAGGCATTAATTGCTTGCTGCCTGTTCTGTAACCTGACCATAAACACAGTTTCTCCATCAGGCTTTTTAATGGACTCTTGAGGTGAACCGTGTGGCTCTGTGCCCTGTCAGGAGTGATGGTATTGAGGCGGACAGCCCTGAGGCTCTGCTTTCCCCCTGCAGTTCATCATGTCTGAATTTACAAGGGAATTGTTTGGACAAGCCTGTTAAGTGAATGTTTTTCCAGCATTAGTAGGAGAGCTTACAGAGCTCCCATTGGATGGAAACAGCATCTAACCACCCCGAGCTATGCTGGGAGAGAAAATTTATATAATAACATTCACACAGCATCTTTCCTTTTGTTCTTTGGTTTCCTGCATTCTGATTGGTTGAAGGCATCTGTCCAAACCTCTGCTCAGGTAGAACTCAGCCTGCATCTATCTCCTAAATTGTCCCAAAGCATGAGATCTATCTGGGCACTCTAATTTGGTTCTGTTTCAGCAAGATTCACCTGTGTGTGTGTGCACGTGCATACACAAGCATGTAGCAAGCGAAGAGCGGGGAATCCTGGTTATGAGCTCTCCCAGCAGCCATTGCTATGGGAAAATAAGTGTTCAAGGAAAATGATCTGTATGCATTTTTTGCTTCTCTCTGTAGGAGCTACCCCAAGCCACAGCAATCCCAGATCCTGGAATATTACCAGTTATTCCGTTTCCAGTTTGTTTCCAGCAGAAAGCACTGGGGAAACCAAAGTCATAATAATAATGATAATTGTCCAAGCTTGAGTTTCATAGGAAAAAAGGCTAAATCTTAAATAGTTTTGGGATCTATTCGTTGGGAAGGGGAGGAAGAAGGTAATGGGGAAGGAGGTTAGCTACCCACCTAAGGCAAAAAAGTGCTGGGATTCTTTTGTGTCTCAGAGCGGTCCTCTCTGAGGCTGCCTTGCCTGAGGCATCTGTACACCTCGGCAGCAGGGAGGCCTGGAAGGTGATGCCCACACCAGAGCTGGAGAGGAATCTTCTCTGCCAGTAGAGAAGGTGGGGCCAAGGAGGACAGAAATTGTCGCCATGGCCAAAAGCCTTCCTGGGTTCTGTCTGCCCCATTAACTCTGTGGAGGGAGGGACTCGGTGGCAGCCAGTGCAGGTGTGAACACTCAAGTCATCACTTGGAAAATTGGGCCCTGGAGGCAGGAGCTGCCAGCTACTCAGTGATGGGCTCTCATGCATTCCAAGTCTGGGCTGTGCCCAGCATCCCTACCCCGCTCCCCTTTCCCTTTCCCGGCAGTGTACGCGGCCCCCAACTGCCATCTCCCTCCCTCCGATCCTTTGCAGTTTCCCATGTAATTTGCTTGTAACAAGCCTCATAAAGTTTGATCGTGCTTGCTAGGACTGCAGACGCACGAGTGGAATGAGCTCATGTTTCTGGCAATGGAGCACTAGGGTTAATGCAAGTCCCAGAGGGAGCTGCCTGCCTGGGCTTTTTCAGGAATGGGAGGCAATTTAACAACCTTCAGACTTTCAAAGTGTCAGAAAAGTAAAACCTGACATGCTTTTGGTGGGCTATATATTCCTGTTCTCTGAATTCTTATGTTTGATCAGCCCCCTTTTACTAGTCCAACCCCCTCTCTCCTCTGCCCCCATCTCCTGGGATTTCCGAATTACCATAAGACAAAACATTTATTGTCATCTCATTTCGCTGAACTGTTGGGCCCATCCAGTGTTTTACTATCTCTTCAGTCACTCTCCATGCCCCCAACCACTCCCTCATCTCTTCCTAGTCATCGTCAAAACCCTCCTCTTCCTTCCCTTCTAAGATACTTCTTACCTCCTCCTTCCATGCTCCCTCCTCCTCTTCTCCCTCCTCTTTTTATTTCTCCCTCTGTCTCTCTCTCACTTCCTTTGCAGTTTTCTGAACCTCTGCCATAGGGCTTATTGGCTTGGTATCTCAGTGGTGCATGGACAGATGGACGGAGACCACAGGAATAGGGTAGGCAATTTCCCAAGGTGAGCTAAAAAGCTTTGTTCTTGATTCTTCCAATCCACCCAAGCCGCTTATTAATTTAACAAACATGTATGGAGCACCATTATGTACAGCCACCATGTTAAACATTAGGACTGTCTTTACTGTATACCTTGGAACTTGCTTGGATCACCATGGCCATTATTACTGACATTATGTTTGTACAAATAGTACCATTATTAATAACTACATTTGCAGGCTTATTAAATAACTTTCTTATATATTATTCAAATAAATGCATCTTTGTTGGATACCTTATTTGTGTCAAACATTATGCTGAGCATTGGGGATCTAAGTTGTCTTCACAGGGCTTAAAAAATCTCTGGAATAGCCAGGCCCAAAGGTGTTCCTTGGCTAACCCAAGGTTACAGAGCTCATGAGTAGACAGCCCCAATTTTTTCAGTCAAAGCTAATGCTCTTTCTTTAGCATAGTTTATCAAACTTATTCATTGAAATCACCCAGGAAACTAAAGCATATTGATATCTGGGTCCCACTTCTACAGACACTGATTTCATTGATATGGGTATGGCGTGGGCTCAAGTTTTTTTTTTTTTTGTGGTTCTTTTTTTTTTTCAGACAGAGTCTTGCTCTGTCCCCCAGGCTGGAGTGCAGTGGTGCGATCTCTGCTCACTGCAAGCTCTGCCTCCCGGGTTCACGCCATCCTCCTGCCTCAGCCTCCCGGAGTAGCTGGGACTACAGGTGTCCACCACCACGTGCTGCTAATTTTTTGTATTTTTAGTAGAGATGGGGTTTCACTGTATTAGCCAGGATGGTCTTGATTTCCTGACCTAGTGATCCACCCGCCTTGGCCTCCCAAAGTGCTGGGATTACAGGCGTGAGCCCCTGCGCCCCACCCGGGCTCAAGATTTTTAAGTTTCCCCAAACGATTCTAATATGCAGCAAAGAACCACCGTCTAGAGTGCTTCCTAAGCTGTGCCGTCTGGTATTATGTTCTGTTGTTTTCATGCTCTGTTTGCACATGAATCAACCCTGTTTCCTCTGTGAGATTGTAAACCATTTGGGTACACAAGTGTGTATCTTACATTTTCTATATGGCCTATAAGGCTTACACAATGCCGAATGCACCATAAAGTATTGTTGGATTACTACGAGTATTATGACAAGTGGAAGGTGCGGTTTGGTGTCAGGGAAGGCTAGCAAAGGGGTTCCTGGCCCCTCAACCAATGGCTGTGGGCCCGAGCCATTTTTCCTAACAACTCTTAAAGACATCACCTAAGAGAATGCCTCTCCTATAAACCTCAAATAAGCTCCTTGACTTTCACTCTCTCTCAATGTTTTCCACTTTAATCCCCTACAGGATTCTTTTCCCTATTTTTTCTCTCCATTTTAATGACTATTTTGCAAACTGCAAACAGATACCAGGTTGGCTTTCCAAAACCCTTCCCTCCTTTCAGTGCTGAAACCTAGAAGCCAGGCTTAGCCACCAACCTGAGCAGGATCCAGGCCTTCTGCCCTTACACTTTGCCCAGGCAGCTGAAGCCAGGTTCTTAGCAGATTTAAAAGCCTTCAAAGGAAGATGGCCAGGCCAGTTAGGGAATGGGATTAGAGAATTTAGCTCAGATCAACACAAAGGATTATTTCTTAGCAATGCTCCTCACTTCAATGATCTTGGATCTAAAATATATAAAGTGAAATAGCTCTACTTCCCAAAATGTAGAGATGTAGACTTGTGAGAAGATGCGAGTAGAGAGGCTAGGATCTTTACTTTTTTTTTTTTTTTGAGACTGAGTTTCACTCTTGTTGCCCAGGCTGGAGTGCAATGGCACGATCTCGGCTCACCACAACCTCTGCCTCCTGGATTCAAGAGATTCTTCTGCCTCAGCCTTCTGAGTAGCTGGGATTACAGGTATGTGCCACCACGCCCAGATGATTTTATATTTTTAGTAGAGATGGGGTTTCTTCACGTTGGTCAGGCTGGTCTCAAACTTCCGACCTCAGGTGATCCGCCTGCCTCAGCTTCCCAAAGTGCTGGGATTACAGGCATAAGCCACTGTGCCTGGGGGATCTTTACTTTTTAGAAGCAGTTTAAAAGGATTCATTCATTCATCCATCCATTAATTCATCCATTTAATTAATTAGTTAACATTTATTGAGTCCTTTTGAACAAGTGCTAGAGCTAGAAATAGAGATGGATAGGGCATAAACTTTGCCTTCAGGAGATCCCAGTTTAATAAGGGAGAAAGACACGTATATAACAAACACATCTGTGAGTTAAGTGCTTCGATGGAGCACAGAGGGAAGGTTCCTATCCTGCTTGAGGGAAGGGAATCAGGGTAGTTAAAAAGGGTTTCTGGGAGAAAGTGAAGTGGGAGGTTAGAGTTAAAAGAGAGGTAAGCATTGGCCAGGTGAGTGTGTGCAGAGGATGGTGCAGGGCCCCTCCTCCTGTGAACACACAGAGCTGCATCTGATGCAGTGGGTTGTGGGGGGTGGGGACAGCATGAGGACATGATGGGGAGGCCAGCCAGTAGCACCTCAGGAAAGGCCTCATGAGACAATCTTGGGAGTTGGGGCTTCAGTCTGATGACGTGTCACACCCCAGACTTAGGGAAGTGACTGGCCAGCTTCTGCCGCCACATCACTTCTGCCACTAAGCATTTGGGGTATGAGGGTGGCACCAAAACAATGGTGCAGGCACTCAGTTGATTGTCAGGTGGCCATGCCACCATTTCCTATGAAGACACTCTGGTTGAGGGTTCAAGGACATTTCCCCCATTGTGTTGAACTTCTCTGCAATAAAAGAGAAATCATTGGCAATTTCTGATTGGCTGTTATATGCTCTTTGAGAACTGCAGTTAGGCACCGGACTGCAGATACATTGATATATTTTAAACAAGGACCCACCAAGAAAAAGAAAACTCGTGTTCCCAAAGGCACCTGCCATATCTGCTCTCTCTTGATGTTGGAGATTTTTGTAGATGAAATGTTCCATATCTTCATTTCTTAAAGTCCCACCCAAAACATGAGGTGTCGTTCTCTCACTTACTCTGCAGATCCAACAAGCTATTACTCTCCTCAGTCTCTTTTTAGCAGAATGAGTGCAAAAAACATGCCAGAGCTGAGGCCAGAAAAGACCCCACTGAACAGGTCTTTGTTTGCTGTTTTTTTAATCATCATTATGCCAGCCTCCAGAAATTCCATGAGTTCTGTTTGCTGAGGGGCCTTGAGTTCTCAATAAAGCTGAAGTTGCAGAAGCCCCAAGGGAATTCGGTGGCCCACACTGCATACCCAGGGACAGGCCTGGCTGTCTCATTCCTGTAAATATATATGTTTTATTAATGAGAACTCTGTTGAGCTTTCAGAGAAAGTAAGAAACTTATTTCTGTTCATTCTGGGTAAACTACTAGCCTAGCTTTTTCCAAATACTATCTATTGCAAGATGGTCATTTTCAATTGTAGGGGAAGAAAACTGTGCCTGAATAAGGGAAAGGATTTGGGGGTCAGAAGAATCAGGCTCATGAACAGCAGCAGGGACTTTGCAGGTTTTATCATTACCCAACCAGGGAGACAGGTAGAAGCATCCCTATTTCACAAATGAGGATATAGAAACTCAGGTAATTTGAATAATTTGCCCAGGATCATAGAGGTGGAAAGTAGCAGAACTGGGTCCTGCAGGTCTGCACACAGAGCAGGCTCCTAAGTAATATCTGTGGATTTGAAATTCCATGGGCAAATTTAGCTAGAAGAAGAGAAGACCTTCTCTGATTAATTTGGGAGAGTGATTAATGAGGGATGTAAAATTTGATAAAAAGAATGTGCCATCAGATTTGCAAAGTGCTTTTCTACTTTGAAGAACCTTTCACAGATTTATCTAATAGGATAGAAGGACCAAGTGGAGTAGGTTGAGCAAGAGATTTTATATCGATTTTTTTAGGCAAGTAAGCTGCAGCTTGACAAGATCCTTTAATGAATTAGTGACAGACTAGGGGAGGAGCCCAGTCTGCTGGCACCTTGGTCAGAGGCCTTAACACATTTGTGCTTTGCAAGCTTTCACATGCTTCAAAAATTAATGCAGATTTCCAGATAGCACCCCAGATCTACCATATCACCATTTCTGGAAATGGACCATGGGATCTATTAAAAAACTCTCCAGGTAATTTTTCCTGACATCAAAGTTTGTGAACACTTGTACTATTGTGTGTGTGTGTATGTGTGTCATTTAGACTTTGTGTGTTGGAAGAGCTAGTTCCCTTACACTAAGGTGAAACTTCCCATAAGCAACCTCTAGTCAATTGGTATCTTATAAGCTAAAAAAATTTGTTCTTGAAGAGAGATTAGAAAATACTCTCTCATTTTTAACAAGCCTCACTGTTAGGAAGTTATTCCTTGTATCTAACTACAGTATTTCTTTATTCAGTTTTTTTCATTGTCTTATTAGGAATAGAGAACATGCAATCACTATCCTTCATGTAATAGTAGTCTTTATAATTGAAAGAAATGTATATATCTTTCTTCAGAATTCTCTACCTCACACTAAATTCTCTGTCCTTTTAGCATCAGAGTTATGAAGTATTTTTAGACTGAAGCAGTTCTGAGTTATGGACCCTGAGGACAGCATCACAGAGAAACTCTTTTAAAGAGATCCTTTTTTTCCAGTGTGACATATTTGAAATAAATATTATTAAAGATTCACATTGATTTCACTTAAGAATGGAAACATATATTTTCAATTTCCTCTTGCTGCCCTACATTTCAGTTTTCTAAAAAAATCTAACCTACAGTTATGAAGCACATAAAAACTAATAGGATATTTTTTAAATTCACCGATCATAATGATATTCTACTTAATGCAAATCAATGAAAGCAATTGACTCCTTTTACTCATTACCCAATCAAGATTTACAGCTGCCTAGTATGTTGGTTACACAAGCTCACATTTTTTTCACCTGTCTGCAACTTCCCCCCTCCACCCTGCCTTATAAGAAAGACTCAGCAGAGGGGAGAAAACTGCTTTCTCCTCCTCTGACCTTTGCTCCCCATCCCCATTAAACATTGTTTCTTTTTCCAAATCCCTGAAAGGTAATTCCAGTTTGGGCCTAAGGAGATGATTCATGTGTATATTTTCTCATGCTATGAAAGATTATAGAATGTCCATAGAAAAGAACAATATGAAACAGTTTGGGAGATATGACAAGGTTAACAGAAAGAAGCAAAGGTCTCTGAACACAGTCAAGCCACTTTGGCAAGGCACTCCTCTCTTAGGACTTGGCTAATATTTGCTCCCTTGTTCTGTGACACTTCTGGTACTGTAGGGGACTGGGACTCCCAGCTCTAGAGGGAAATTGTCACATTGTTTAAAGTTTATTAAACTTAGGCTATAGGGCTAGATTCAACATGTAATCAAATTTCAAGTTTTGAATCCAGTCAAGAAATGGATAGCTAGTTGTTGTTTATTTACTTTGGTTCTACTTTCTTTTTACTTTGTAGAAAAAAATGAAACATTTAGAAACAGCCAACAAAAACATAAAATCATTTGAGAAGGTGTTGAGGCCAGCGTACTCTTTCTTCCTAGCTCGACCAAAGACCTTACATGAAGCAGTTATTCAGCAAAGACCTAAACCCCAGTGGAGACAGATAGAATGACATTAGCACATGGAATTGGCATGCAGAGTAAGTGCCTGTCAGCAGGAAATATGTACAGACACTGTGCTTTATGACCCACAGACACCACTCTTCCTATTGCCAGCCAGCTTCATCTGGAAAGACCGTTTTGTCTGATGTCCTAAATGTCACATACAAAAGAGCTTGTTTTGTTCCTAAAGCACCATTTCCTTACTCAAGGTTTTTGGCTGCCAATGCATAAAATCTATAAAGAAAAACAACAAGCCATGTCTGGGAAAGACATCAATAGCAACACCTTCCTCTGGCTCAGGGGATCAAGGTAGTAGAGGAAGACAAGACAGAGATAGCCAAGCCCTTTCCCTTGCAGCCAAAAAACAAATGTGATTTGCAGATGCCTTGGCCAATGATGGCCATTTGGCTCAGAATTGCCTCTATTTGTTTCACAGTCAACCTCGCACATGCTCTGATGGAAACAATAAAGACTCTCTCTTCTGTCCTACCCTGACCTGAGCACATACATACTTAAGAGAGAGTCTGAGTATACATACTTGGTTAGGCAAATTAGATATTCCACTACCCCCATAGGAAGCCTCGTGAAGGGAAGATGCTCACACCCCCTTCAACTCAGTCTTTATTGAGAACCAAGGTTATATTTTACAGAAACAGCTAGCTAATTCAAAAGCAGTTTCTTCAAAATAAAATATCAATAAAAATCATCCTTACTCCATTTCTTCCTAGAATGCTAAAACAAATAAAGGGCAACACTAGGAAAGTCCTGGGCTTCCTTAGACTGTAAAGTGATGAGATATTATTTGTGCAGGTATCCTTCCTGCTTTCTTGTATTCACAGAAATACACTTGGGAGGCCTCCCCAAATGCTGGCCTCATCATAGGACATCTCCATGGGCTGCCTCACTGCCTTTTTCATGGTCTTCCTGCCTTTCTTACCCTGCCATCCTCACCTCCTGTATTCTTGTTGTCTGGGAGCTGACTCTCCCTCCTTAGACCTGATTCCTGAGCATGATTCCCATGGGGACCTGACTTTCTGCTTGGTTTTCCACCAGTGTAATTGGAATTTAGATATTGATGGCTGTCAATAGCAGTTCACGGTATCTTCCCAGATATGTATTCCTTAGAAACTTTTGTTGATGTTCACAATCTGAAGAATGTCAGTGGTGGACATGCCAAGTAAGAGGTTAGACCCAAAAGAGTCTACACGCAAGTCATGATCAGGGGTTCTCATTTCCACAAACACCCCTGGATCCTGAGGGCTCTTATTCAGGAGGGGGGCCCTGCATGCAATTCCTTCTTTCAATCCAATTCAGCAAGTGTTTGGCTAGTGGTAACGGAAGCACGAATTCAGTTTACCATTGACCTGAGTACTATAGAGGAAAATGAATGCTTCATTTTCTCCAGGGTCTCTGTTGGTAAGACTTAAAAACATATGAAACAGTCATGAAGCAGCAGGACAAAGCTCACAACTGGGCACTAAACTTTAGGGCAGAGGTGACAATGCTACATGAGGTGAGGGAAGCCAATATGGATAGCTGTTCTGGAAGGCTGAGTGGGTTTGGGTTGAGCAGGGAGAAGGAGAAGGCCACTTGTGGTATGGTGACTGTGCTGGGCAGTAGAATTCAGAGCTAACCTAAAGTTGATGCTCCGAGCCATCTCTAAGCACTAAGGGAAAGGCTACCTTTTTTGAATTTTGCTTTTCCCCCTCCAAAGACCCCCAAGGTGAAGGTGTGGCAAGATGACACTTGTCCGTGCGCAGCCAGTCAATACAGACCGTGCCAGTGGTGTTAAAACCTGGTTCTCTAGCCACAGCACATGCAAAAACTTGGGAAGTGAAACATTTCCAATTGATAAAGAGCCCAAGGTCATGAGTTCAATCCCGGGACAGCCAGTCAACTTTGCCTGTTTCTCACTCTGAGTTTGTGCTGCTAACTCTGGGCCAACTCTTCCATGTTGGTCATAACAATCCTGGATAAGAACATAAGTGAAGTAGGAGAAATCTGCCACCACCATTGAAAAAATCCACAGCTGAATAATGGATATTTTGTTGGCAGTCTCAGAAGGTTTTATTTGTTTGTTTGATTTTATTTCTTGTAGAACACATCATTAAAATATACTTGAAGTGGCAATATAGCATAGTGCCTGGGTGTAGGCACTAGAGGCAATTACCTGGGTTAGAAAAGTAGAGATGATGATGAAAATAATACTTCCAAAGGATTGTTGTGAAAAATATGAGATGGCACCTTAGAAGAGTTATAAGAGTGCCTTGAAGCATATTGAGCGTGTGACAAATATCAAGTCATCATTATGATGATGGCCATTATCGATCCAGAGTGGATGTTAGAGGGCATCTAGTTGAATAGCATAATTTTACAAAGAAGGAAACTGAATTCTCAAGAGGTAAAATGACTTGCTGAAAGTCACGCGCAGAATGGGTACTAATACTCTGGTCTCCTGACTGTAAAAGAAATGCTTACCTTTATGTGTTATCTTCACCCTTAACAAAGCACATTCACACACGTTATCCCCAAACTCTCCCTGTTGCACCATGTTGCCTCTCCAAACCAAATCACGAAAACATTTTTCAGGCACCCGAGTATAAGAGTTTCACAGGTGAGTCCCAGAAAGAGGTGTTAGTGTAAAGAGATGAGGGAAGAGCACAGAAAGGCCACATTCCAACAGTGCAGCTGATGAACGTGAGGCCTTCAAGGCTGTGGCAAAGCTATATTCCATTATTAATTTGATGCTGTGTTAAATTGGCCATTTTATGAGCAGCAGACAGAGTTCCTTCAGGGGGACCTGCACTATCTTCCATGAGCTCAACTGTCCCAACCGGCTGTCAAGACGATGCCTATTCCTCTTTCATGATTAGGAGCAGGAGACCATAATGAAACTAGGTTTGCTCCATTTCTTCTTTCTTGGGGAATTTAGTCTGGTCTTTGGGAAATAATATCTGCTTAACTTTAGTGACTTGAAGCCTACCTCTCCCTCTGTCTTTGTCCCCTACCCAAATCAGCCCACCTTACAACGATGACTAAAGAGTTGGTGTGTCACGGTCATCCACTCAGTAGCGTGCTGTTGGCTGGTGCACCTGCCTGTCTTGCCTGAGCCTCAAACTCCTTTAGCAATTCCGTTTTTCTTGAAGCAAGATAAAGAAAGGCATGTCTCACTAGAACTCCCCTGAGGAAGCCCACTGTGTGTTGTTTGATGTATCACTTGGGTTGGTGGGATGGGACCACAAATGTATGTTATGTTAAATAACAGTAGCCTGATGGAGTATTCAGGTTAGGGGCAGAATTACTTGGGACAGTAAAGGAACCAAAGACTAACTTGGGATGTAGGATCCTGGAGGGAGACTACAGTGAAAATACAAGGAGCTATATTGGCTGCAAAACTGTGAAATACTTTGCTGTGGGATGTGCAATGTAAACTCTCTTTTCTGTTTTTCTTATGATTCTTCAGTACATCCATTAACAAAGCATGAACTTTTTCTTTTAAAAAACAGTGAAGAGGCCAGTATTGATATATAATCTGGTAAAGATAAGATGAGGACATTCTACCTGGTTGGTGGGAAGCAGGCAGCAGGAGGGAGAGTGGGTAAAAAATGTGCTGCAGTATCCAGTGACCACCTGAAGAGCAGAAGCTATCTTTCTACCAATAACTAGCTAATTCTTGGAAGGAATGGTCCACACTTCAAATTCCCTAGTTTTATAAACATTTTTCTTTCTTCTTTTTGTTTGCTAGATATGGTTATAAAATGAATTATGTCCTCTCACCCCAATTCATAGGTTGAAACTCTAACCCCCAAAGTGATTATATTTGGAAATAGGACCACTAGAGAGGTAATTAGGGACAAATGAGGTCATGAGGATGAAGCTCTAATCCAATAGGACTGGTGTCCTTATAAGAAGAGGAAGAAATTCCAGATCTCTTTCTCTCTCCACTCACACACAGAGAAAAAGGCCATATGAAGACACAGTGAGAAGGCAGCTCCCTGAAAGCCACGAAGAGAGGCCTCAGCAGAAACCAACTCTGCCAGCACCTTGATCTTGAACTTCCAGCCTTCAGAACTGTGAGAAAACAAATTTATGTTCTTTAAGCTATCCAGCCAGTAGTATTTTGTTATAGAAGCCCAGGCTGATTAATAAAATGTGTTGCTCCATTAAAAGAGCTCTTTCTTCTTCGCAGTTGGATATGACTTTATATTAATTTTCCTTGCATGTGATTTTGCCTAGAATGCTGTACCAGTCAGTGGCCCCTCCTATTGTAAAAAAACAATCTCTTATATAAGCTTACTTATTTGGTAGGCTGGTTTTCAAATGTGCTATGGTTTCACCCTCTCTCAGTGTTTTTATCAGAGGAGCAGAACCAATGGGAAGTGTGTGTGTGCGTGTGTGTGGGTGTGTGTGCCCCAAGTCCACAGGGTAAACATTCATGAAGGAAGGATCCAGAGGGAATAGAGTTGCAGCTCCAACTGTTGCGTCATGCCAATGAGGTCAATCAGCAGGTCTGCAACAATGAGGTGAGTGTGGAGGCCCCAGAATATAGAAATATTTTATAATTTCTTTCTCCTCTGTTGCTTGGAATCTTTCATACTCAGGGAGAGCTTAGTCCCTCTTTAAATCCACCTGATTGAGTCAGGTCTACCCACGATAATCTCTCTTTTGATCAACTCAAACTCAACTGATTGGGACTTTAATTGTACACACAAAATTTCTTTATAGTAGCACCTAGAATAGCATTTGATTGAATAATTGGGAGAAGGTTGTATGTATTATAGATTGGCTGCTGTCCCTCTTTGATACTTCAATTCTCTTGAAAGAATCTCCCTGGTAGCCCACCTTAACCAGAAACATTCTAGAAAGGGGATTCTGGGGAATACAGGTTATCTTAGCCTTGTTAACATATCAGAAATCCATGACAGTGTTCAATACTTACATATATCATTCTGATTCACGCTCATGCTTTTATCCCACAAAACATGTAGGGCTGATCTATTAAAACAAACAAACAAACAAACAACAACAAAAAAAAACCTCTTTCCTGACTTTCATGGAAATTGCTGCCAGGCTTTAGAGAAGACACATTCTCTTTTTCTTCCTTTAGTTGTCCTCCTTGGGTTTAAATCCTTCTTGCATGTCAGTCTTTGTTTCTGTTTGCTTGAATGTCATAGGAAGGAAAGACCTACACTCTTATTATTGTGGTTTGCTTGGTTGTAGCTCTTCCATTATAAACTGAGGAGGAATGATGTTTTTACCACTTACAAGCTGTGTGAAGTTGGGCCAATCCCTTACTTCTCCAGTGCTCAAAGAATAATCACCTCTTAGGATTGTTCTGTAGGTTAAATGACCAAATGCATGTAAAGCACTGTGCATGCTGCCTGAACACTGTAGGAGTTTGAAAAGTGATGCATATCATAATTATCATCATCAATATTATTATTTTCTCTAATTCTTTAAAGATAATAAAGAATAAGTTATTTACCCAGACCCAGAGCTACCCCAAACCAGAATTTATATCAATTGATGTGCTTCTCACCCCACCAAGAGTAATCTCAAGTTTCTTGCTACTTTAAGACATTTATTCAGAGAGGCTTCTAATTGTTGTTAGCCCTTCATCATTTTCTCAAAGATATTGCCTACAGCATTGACAGCAGCAATAATAAATATAATAACAATTCCATGAAACCTCATGTGTGCTAAAGGATCCACAGACAATCTGAACAGCAGGAAAGAAAGTTTCTTCCTATCAATTAATGGGAAGCCAAGTCTAATTTGCCACCTGCACAGCACTTTTGAACCTGTCAGGGACAAAGGAAGCCAGTGAACCTTCATCTTGTCACTAGTCTTCTTGGGGACTGCTCTCTAAAGTAAATGAAAATAGCATTCATTACAGTAAAAAATAGAACGGCTGTGTCAGCCCCCTATGTTCTCTTCCTAGGTAGAAACAGAGTCCATCATTGTCGGTGAGGAGGTGGCTCACAAAGCCCTCTGGACCTTTGCATTCATCTCCTGCTTCTGGAGAATGAACATTTCCTTAAACTCTTTTGAAATGTTTAGAATGTTAACTCATCAGTTCCCCTGTGACTTATGAGTCAAGAGACATTAGAAACATTAGAAGAGTTCTACTGTTTCACAGTCTAACTCTGAAAATTCTGGAAAGGCTAAGATAAATTCCAGGTAAAAAAAAGATAAGACTTCTGAGAATTTTTTGGCTCCCCTGAATCATCTAAGATAACAATAAAAACATGTATACAATCTATTGTTAGTGTACTCCTTGGTTTAAAAACTTACACAAATAAAAACAAAACAAAACAAACACACAAACCCCTTCCCAATAGTATGTACTAGTACTTCATAATTGAATTTCTTTTCAATTGGTACTTTGCTTACAATTAGAGATGCTGCCACTAAATGGCAGTATGCAAGATAAGGCCATGAAGTTAAAAAATGTGGACAATAACTTATTCAATAATTAATTCAACATATTTTGTTGAACTACCATGTGCCAGAAACATTGAAAACAATACTACTTACACCTTGATAATTTTGCCTTACATGAAAGTAAGCATATATTTATTGCTACTTTTATGTAGAAACCTTATACTATCAACTTCTAATTCATTGACGATGCACCTAATCAGAAATTACTAGCTATTATAGAACATTTCTCACAAATTATGCTAATCTAATTCTCATCTTATCCTCGTACCTTGATTAAAATTACCTCCTCCTTTGTTATGAACTCCAAATCCCATCTTGGCATGGCTCCACTGCACTGTCACATCACTTTGGAGCCTTTTTGGCACAGCAGCCACTCTGGGGGTTTTCCTTCCTTGCCAGAGATCCAGAGACTTCTTTTCCTTCATCCCAATTATTATTGATCTCATGCCCTGTTTGGAGCTTTGAGCTATGGTGCAAGGCTCAGGGACATCCAAGTGTTCCCTCTGCTCCCTCCTACCCACAGTTACCCACCCTATCTCATAGTGAAGAAGAGATGCTATTAATGGACGAAAGTTAAGGGGATTTTTTGGGGTCCAGATGCTGAGATAGTCTATCTCTTTAGGGATGATATTTCCTTTTAAGTCCTCTCTTTTCCATGATTTCAGTTAAAGAGATCATGGACTGCTCTGAGAAGGCTGAGTACGTGGCTTGCCCAACTTCTATTGCAGGCACAGGGGTACTTAGGCTCTAATTCCTTGGAAATTTTCCAGAGAAGAGTGGTTGAAGGTCAGAATCCTGAGTCCTGATTGTGTCTCTAGTTGTTTAGTACTAAAGATCCAACTTCCTTTTGAATTAGAGGAACAGATTTCACTTGTCTTTTAAATCCCTGGGTCTCAGCTCTGTTCTTCATGAGAGCTCTGTGTCTTCTCTCCTATAGCCTAGAATGACACAGAGGGAGTAGGAAAATCACATAAATGAGCCTCAACACCACTTCCCCTGCAATTACGACAGTTTTCTCTGCCATCCATTTTTTTTCTTGAGAAGTCCTTCAGATTTCTTTCTGATCAATACTTTATTTGCAATCAGTGATTCAGGTTGCCTGTAGCATCAGCTTTAGTTTATGCATATCATCAGCCATACATTCTTTTTTCAAGAATTGTTTTCCATAAGCCTTGTATCTCTTACCACAGAACATTTTTAAACAACATTTATAACCAGAAGATTTAATAAGTCTTAATAGATAGGAGATTCAAAGTATTTTTGTCAGATCAAATTGTCATGTTAAGGACATTTTATTGAATCTAGGCATTTATTATAAGATAATCTCTCTACATATATTATCTCTCATATATTCATACATATATACATACATATACACATATGTTATACATGTATGCATATGTGCATATACTATACATAAATACATAATACATTATATATGTGTATATATATATTGTTTTTGCCTATTTGTAATATAGGACATAACAGAAGTATGCTCAGTTCACAAGATATCAGGATAAAGAGATTAAAATCAAGGCAAAATAGAAAAAGATAACAGAATATATTTGTCTTGCCACATGTTTTCTCCAAGTGTAGGGCATAAACTAAACAAGTAGTTTAGGACTTTCTAAGCATTACTAGATATACCATATGGGCCCGCTTGTGTTTCAAATCAGAATATTACATACAAGCACCCACTTAAGTCTCTGGGCTGCCCATGTCCATCCAAGGCAGCTGAGGGTAAAAAGAATGAGATTTTTCTGAAATCCAGGAAAGTCTACTGTTAACATGATATTGTATCCAGAATTGGTTCCTTCTGGTGGATTCTTGGTCTCACTGACTTCAAGAATGAAGCCACGGACCCTCGCGGTGAGTGTTACAGTTCTTAAAGATGGTATGTCCGGAGTTTGTTCCTTCAGATGTGTTTGGAGTTTCTTCCTTCCAGTGGGTTCGTGGTCTCGCTGACTTCAGGAGTGAAGCCGCAGACCTTCACAGTGAGTGTTACAGCTCTTAAAGGTGGCATGTCCAGAGCCATTTGTTTCTCCCAGTGGGTTTGTGGTCTCACTGACTTCAGGAGTGAAGCCGCAGACTTTCGCAGTGAGTGTTACATCTCATAAAGGCAGTGTGGATCCAAAGAGTGAGCAGCAGCAAGATTTATTGTGAAGAGCAAAAGAACAAAGCTTCCACAGCATGGAGGGGGATCTGAGCAGGTTGCTGCTGCTGGCTAGGGTAGCCAGCTTTTATTCCCTTATTTGGCGCTGCCCACTTCCTGCTGATTGGTCCATTTTACAGAGAGCTGATTGGGTCATTTTACAGAGTGCTGATTGGTGCATTTACAATCCTAGACACAGAGTGCTGATTGGTGCATTTTTACAGAGTGCTGATTCGTGCATTTACCATCCTTTAGCTAGACACAGTGCTGATTGGTGCATTTTTACAGAGTGCTGATTGGTGCATTTACAATCCTTTAGCTAGACACAGAGCGCAGATTGGTGCATTTTTACAGAGTGCTGATTGGTGCATTTACAATCCTCTAGCTAGACAAAAAAGTTCTCCAAGTCCCCACTTGACCCAGGAAGTCCAGCTGGCTTTACCTCTCAATTTGTCCTCTAAACAGGATACCCCAACTGCTGTTGGGAATTGGGCAATGACAACTCTAGCTACTTCCTCCTGGATAGGGGTGAAGAAGGGGCCCTGCAGTTGTAGTGTCCTCCAGAGGGGAACTGTTTAGGCCAGTGAACAGGCCAGTGGGTCAGTTCAGGAGTCCTCGGTAGAAGTTGTGAGTTGAGGTCATTTGGGGTTCCATTTGTAAGACCATCTGTAGCTCGATGGCCTCGATCCTAGAGGAAACAAATTTGACAAGAGGGTTAAAAATATAGGGCCCAAAGGTGAGTAATAGCAAGATGGCTGTCATAGGACCTAGAAAGGGGAGAAGCCATGTTGCCCAACTCCAGAGGTTTGTATAAGAGTTTGAAAGGCATTGTCTGATTTCAGAAGTCCTTTCCTGTAAATGCCAGGCAGCATCTCATACTATCCCTGACTGGTTAGTGTAAAAACAACACTCTTCCCCTAAGAAGGTGCAGAGTCTCCTTTCTCAGCAGTGAGGAGGCCTAGGCCTCAGCAGTTTTGGTAGCAAACTTTACTTTTGTTGAAAACCTGTATTCCCAGCTACTCAGGAGGCTGAGGTAGGAGAATCGCTTGAACCCAAGAGGCGGAGTTTGCAGTGAACCGAGATCACCCCACTGCACTCCAGCCTGGGTGACAGAGTGAGACTCTGTCTCAAAAAAAAAAAAAAAGAAAGAAAAAGAAAACCTTGTAACTTTGGGATTTCAATTATTCTTTGCTATTAATAAGACCTCGTTCAGTCCATATTAACTTAGAATTGGTATAGATGGCTCCTTCCTGATTCTGTAAGTACTTTAAGGTTTGGCTGAGTGCAAACAGTTTGCAAGTTTGAGCAGACTAATTATTAGGCAATTTTCTTAACTGCTTCTACAAGAGTTCCCTTATCACTTACTGTCTACCTATTGTGTCTTTTTCCTTTAATCACCTGGGAGGAACCATCTATCGTCCTGTCCTGACTGGAGTTCCTCCTAGGTCTGGTCGGACCTTCGTATGGTAACTAATTAAGATTTAGATCCCCTGTTAGGAAATCTGCTGGGTTAAGAATTTTTGACAGGAAGGCTATGGGTTGTCAGTGGCCTCAGTACTTTCAGGCTATGCCCTTGTTTACACTGACAACAAGGTGGTATTGGAGTGTTATAGGGTTACAGAGAAGACCTTCAATTATCAATTATAGGTTTTAAATTTACCCTGGCTTTTAAAGGAATAGGGTACACTGTTTTTTTCTTTACTACTTCTATCTCTCTCTTTCTCTCTCTTTGATTTCTTCTTTGTCCTCTCTCTTTCTGACTCCCTCTTTGTCTATCTCTCCCTCTCTCTCTTTCAATTTCTGTCTCTCTCTTTCTCTCTCTCTCTGACTCCCTCTTTGTCTCTGTCTCTTCCTCTCTCTCTCTCTGTCTCTTTCTCTCTTTCCTTTCTGCTGGTCTTTCCCTGCCTCTGCCAGCTGCTTATGCTGCTGTTCTCCCCTCTCTTTCCCCTTTTTGATGGCTTTGACAGTGTAACACTGCTACCTCCTTAGGTTTTTGCACTGCATGCAATAACTCCATGATTTCCTTATGGTATTTAATGGTGGCTCCCCCAGAGGTTAGAAACTCCCTTTTTTACCATATTGCAGCATGGGCCTGTAGGATTAGATAAGCATACTTGCTATCTGTATACACATTTATTCTTTTTCCCTTTCCCAGTTCTAAGGCTCGGGTAAGTGACACTAGTTCTGCTAACTGAGCGCTAGTGCCTGGGGGAAGAGGCTTACTTTCAAGTACGGTTACATCACTAACTATGGTATAACCTGCCTTTCATATCCCATTTTCCACAGATGAACTTCCATTGGTATATAGGTCAGGATTAGCTAAGGGGGCTTCTAAGAGATCATCTTGGGAGGCATAAGTCTGGAGTATAATTTGTTGGCAGTCATGCTCAATAGGTTCCCCATTCTCTGGGAGAAAAGTGGCAGGATTGAGGGCTACACACATACATATTCGAAGCACCAGTCCCTCAAGGAGTAGTGCCTGGTATCTAAGCAGGCGGTTGTCTGATAGCCATAAACTTCCTTTGGCACCTAGTATGCCATTTACATCATGAGTAGTCCAGACAGTGAGATCCTTTCTTTGTAGCCTCTGACACTAAGACAGCCAGTGCCGCAACTACCCATAAACAGTGAGGCCAGCCTTTTGCTACTATATCAATTTCCTTACTTAGGTGTGCCACTGGCTGTGGGGTTGTCCCATGAGTCTGAGTAAGGACCCCAAAAGCTATTCCTGCTCTCTCTGTGATGTATAAAGAGAAGTTTCATCCTGTGGGAAGGCTTAAGGCTGGAGCTTGAGTTTGTTCCTTCCAATGCCCAGACTTCAGGGTTGATTCCCTCCTCAAGCAGGGGACAACAAATGGGTAACTTGTTCCCCAGATTCATGTAGATAATAGCTCCAGCTTTGGCTAATATGTCCCTCCCTAATAAAGGTGTGGGACTTTCAGGCATAACAAGAAAGGCATGTGAAAAGAGCAAAGTCTCCCAATTACAACTGAGGAGGTGGGAGAAATACCTGGTTACAGGCCATCCCAGGATTCCTTTGATGGTAACACTCAGTGAGGGTGATGACATGAGCTGGCGCTTGCCCCAGGCACCCTCAGTCCTATTGTTGGATCATCTGGTTGGGGACTTCAGGCCTAGAGAACCTTTGTCCTCTGGGGCAGTGCGCCTTCCAGTGATTTCCTTGGCATAATGGACATGGGCGAGGGGGCAGCTTGTTTCTTGTTGGACAATCTTTTTTAAAGTGTCCTTGCAAAGAACACTGGTAACAAGTCCTACTGGGTGATTGGCCTGCTCCATTTTCTGTTCTCTGAACGACCAAGGTTTGTTTGTCTGAGGATGATGAAGGCTGTGGCCTTTCTCTGATCTTGCTTTTCCTTTTCGGCTTGTTCCTCTTGGTCCCTATTATAGAACACCAAGGTTGCCAGGTTTAATAATGCCTCCAGATTTTGTTCAGGCCTAGGGCTCGCTTTTGGAGCTTTCTCCTGATATCTGCAGCTGATTGGGTAATAAACTTATCTTTTAGGATCAATTGACCCTCGAGTGAGTCAGGTGACAGGGAAGTATATTTTCTTTAGGCCTCCCGTAGCTGCTTGAGGAAGGCAGAAGGATTTTCTTCCTTTCCCTGAGTTTTGGTGGACATCATTGAATAATTCATGGGCTTTTTCCTAATTCTCCTTGGTCCTTCTAGAACACAGGTCAGCAGATGTTTATGACTCCAGTCCCCATGATCTGAGTCTAGATCCCAGTGGGGATCTATACTGGGGACAGCTTGCTGACTGGTAGGGAATTTGTCCCTTTCTTTGGCTGTCATTCTATCATTTACTTGACTAAGATACCAGGTATCTCCAAACTCTCAGGCTGCAGCTAAAGCCACATTCTTTTCATCAAAGGCCAGGGTTTGATCTAATAGCATGACATCTCTCCAAGTGAGGTCAAAGGTTTGCCCTAGACCCTGTAGGACATCTATATACCTATCAGGATCATCTGAAAACTTCCTCAGATCTACCTTGACCTGCTTTAAATCAGAGAGGGAGCAGGGGACATGTACCCAGGTTGGGCCAAATTCCCCTCCCCCTACAGCTTGAAGGGGAGATAACCAATAGCCCAGGGGTTTTGTGGTCCTTTGGAGATTTCTTTGCTTGTTTCCTTTTGGGCAGGGGAGATTAGAGGAGGCTTATCATTAATAGGAAGGGGAGCTATAGGGAGGCTAGGATATGGGGGTAAGCTGAGAGGTCCTCCTGTGGGATGTAAATTGCAAGCTTTGCATATTTGTATATTCTCCTTCAGTGAAAAGAAACTTTGGACATAAGGTATTTCACTCCATTTGCCTTCCCTCTTACAGAAAATGTCAAGCTGCCAGATAGTATTGTAATTTATACTTCCCTCAGGTGGCCAGTTTCCCCATCAGAGAGAGAATATTGGGCCAGGCCATAGTGCAGAAAAAAATGAGCTGCCTCTTTTTCAGGGTTTGTGTGTCAAATTGGTCCCAATGGCTTAGGATGCATTTCAAGGGTGAGCCTGTTGATGCCTGGGTGTTTCCCATCTGAAAGACAAAACAGCCTGTGGTTTTGGTTTGTCTGTTTCTCCCCCTGCCCAAGAACCCACAACGGTCCCTGGACCCTGCTGATCAGAATAGTTGTGCTCACTGACTCAGCAGCAGAAACACCTCTTGCCCAAGAACCCGCAATGGTCCCTGGACCCTGCTGATTGGAATAGTTGTGCTCACTGACGCAGCAGTAGAAACAGTAGTTTTCCTCCTAGACCACAAGGAGGACCAAGGAATGTTGGATTTAGTGGCCTTTACCGACACATTCTCGAAAACCTGCACCCTTGCCTGTCCTCCTAGACAAGGAGGACAAAGAAAAATCAGATTTAGTGGCCCTTACTGACGCATTGTCGAAAACCTGTTAGAGTCCTAACCATTCTCCTGTTAGTATTGGGACTTTGCCCCTGTCCTATAAAGATGTTATGCCCCCAAAATGAAGTGGAGGGCCATACCCTGAGGGAGGGAAGGGAACTCCAGGGTTGGAAGAGTGACACCTTTTGTCCTCACTTGAATAGGAAGGATATCATTTCTGAGGCTCCCCATATCCTAGCTTCAGGAATAGCTTTTGTTAGGCCTGCTAGTCTGAGGAGGGATCCCAAAATTCCAGATAAGATAGTCCCCCTCCACCCCCAACAGGGCTTTGGGCAAAAATTATGTCTTTCTGATTGGTGAGCCCAGGTGACTAAAGAAGGGAATAGAGTCCTGAAGTTTTTACTAGAAATCATTCTTATAGGAGAAACTAGAAAAGCACCAAGAGAGGGAGTAGTTTTTAGAAGTGGGACTAGCCTTGGAGAAGAAAGGCAAAAGGAAGTTTGTCTGACAGGCATTAGGACCCAGGAGGCAAGGGTCAGGATAGATAGGATAGATGGGTGAGTCTTGCTTGGGCGACGTGACTTTGAGAGTTCTGCTCATGGCTACAGGGTCAACCAGCTTTTTGTCGGGATCCCGAACCTGAATGGCTTTCCTCTCTGTCAACCCTTGGCTCAGCCCAGAAGTATAAGAAAAGCAGAAACTGGTTCCAGGCAAACCAATGCTCCTAACTCCAAAGAGTCAGGGATTGTTAGAGAGCTCTTTCCCAGAAAGCCTGACACCCATGACTTTAGTCCGGCAGCCACGCTAGTCACTTTTAACTGGCTGACAGGTGCCCAGTATTCAGCCCCCGAATTCTAAGGATATTCTAAGGATAAATATGACAGAATAGCAAGCGAAAGAGATCTGATGGTACTCACCACTTGGTGATGGTCCCTTCATGGTTGCCAAAATATTTCCGGAATTGGTTACTTCCAGTGGGTTCTTGGTTTCACTGACTTCAAGAATGAAGGCGCGGACCCTCGCAATGAGTGTTACAGTTCTTAAAGATGGTGTGTCCGGTGTTTGTTCCTTCAGATGTTCAGATGTGTCTGGAGTTTCTTCCTTCCAGTGGGTTCGTGGTCTCACTGACTTCAGGAGTGAAGCTGCAGACCTTCACAGTGAGTGTTACAGCTTTTAAATATGGCACATCCAGAGTTGTTTGTTTCTCCTGGTGGGTTTGTGGTCTTGCTGACTTCAGGAATGAAGCTGCAGACCTTCTCAGTGAGTGTTACATCTCATAAAGGTAGTGTGGACCTAAAGAGTGAGCAACAGCAAGATTTATTGTGAAGAGGGAAAGAACAAAGCTTCCACAGCATGGAAGGGGACCCAAGCGGGTTGCCGCTGCTGGCTCAGATGGCCAGCTTTTATTCCCTTATTTGGCGCTGCCCACATCCTGCTGATTGGTCCATTTAACAGAGAGCTGATTGGTCCATTTTACAGAGTGCTGATTGGTGCATTTTTACAGAGTGCTGATTTGTGCATTTACAGTCCTTTAGCTAGACACAGAGTGCTGATTGGTGCATTTTTACAGAGTGCTGATTGGTGCATTTACAATCCTCTAGCTAGACAGAAAAGTTCTCCAAGTCTCCACTCGACCCAGGAAGTCCAGCTGGCTTTACCTCTCAATATTTCTAGACCACTCCTCTTAGGAAAGAAAGATCAAAGATAACACCCCCAATGAAGTATATTCTAATTTGGAGCCCTGCTTTCAGTTGGATATCTAATTTTCTATTTTCAAGGGCATTTACAGCTCTGCCTTAAATAAGTTTTATACACACACACACACACACACACACACTCAGCCATATATTGATATACACGAATGAGTCATGACGGGTAAATTTCTATAAACTCTACATCTCACATTAGTTTCAGAAATGTCTAAAAATGACTGTGAACTACCTAGGAGCCTTATAGGTCACATTTAGTTGGGTTGAACTCAAAATCTCATGAGAACAAAATCTGCTGTGATTTGCCTTGTCCTTGTTCTGACTGGAACATCTAAGGTAGAGGATCCATAGAGACTTCTAGCTCCAGAGGGAGCCCTTTGACCCATTTTCTACCTTCCAATTGCAGAGTTTGACTCACAAGCCCTTCAAGGGATAGCATAGAATCCTTCTAGAACTATGATTAGAAATTCGAGGGATGCCACTTAGACTGTGGATGAAGATTATTTCTAATAAAATATAAATGTAGTAGCTTCATGATTTCATATAGTGTCTTCATGACTTTTAAAAATCTTTAAAGGTATATAGATATTAATTTTTAAATATAAAGTGCTGTGAAGCCATGAAGGAGAAGTACTAAGGAAAAAATGATCTCCAGATTGGAGGAGGAGTTGAAATGCAGTGGCACAGACTCTCTTGAGACAGTATTACAAAAACAAGATTGAATGTAGAGTGAAAATGGGAAAAAAGGAGTGAAATAGGAAAACAATCCAAAAGGTAGATTTTAATGGAATGAAACAGCAAATAATAACCAAAATGGTGGCTGGATGCAAAAGCATCCAGCAGCTAAATATAGTTTGCAATGAGGACTCAGGTCACAGGTTAGAGAGAGGAGGTAGATAAGGCAGAATATCCCAAGTAAGAACCAGGTACACCTACCAGGGTGGTAAGAGAAGCCCCAGTGCTATCAGCTTACTGCTGACCAGGAGTCAACTGGTGAACTAATGAAACAGAGGGAAAGGGATCTTTGAAGAAGTATCATTTGTTGAGCTATTTGCCAATATTAGCAATAGAGCTATTCTATGCTTCAAAACCTGAATTAAGCCAGTTACTGTGACTCAGACCTGTAATCCCAGCACTTTGGAAGACCAAGGGGGGTGGTTCATTTGAGCTCAGCAGTTTGAGACCAGACTGGCCAACATGGTGAAATCCCATCTCTACAAAAAAATACAAAAATTAGCAGGGAGTTGTGGCACACCCCTGTAGTCCCAGCTACCCGTGAGGCTGAGGTAGGAGAATTGCTTGAGCCTTGGAGGAGATTGCAGTGAGCTGAGATCACACCACTGCACTTCAGCCTAGGTGACAGAGCAGGACCCTGTCTCAAAAAAATAAATGAATAAAATCTGAATTAAGTTTCTTTTGTAGAAAACAATAACCTCATTAATTGAGTGGATAAATATTTATTGCATACTTACTATGTGCAAGACATTATGGTAGGTGCTGGAAATAAAATAAAGAACAAGATGAAGTCTTTGCCCCCATGTAACTTTTATTAGAGAGGGAAGATAGAATACAATAAACTAGTAAATAGATGAGAATATGAAATTGGCCCTTATTATCTGTGTGGAATTGGTTTCAGGACCCCTTTGGACACCAAAATCTGTGGATGCTCAAGTCCCTTATATAAAATTATGTAATATTTGCATATACCTATTCACATCCTCCTGTATACTTTAAATTACCTCTATATTACTTATAATATCTCATGCAATGTAAATGCTATGTAAATAGGTATTATACTGTATTGTTTAGGGAATAAGTTCAAGGAATAATGTCTCTACATGGTCAGTAGAGATGCAACTATAATTTTTTTCCAAATATTTCTTTTCTTTAGTAGGTTGAATTTGTGGATGCATAACCCACAGATACAGAGGGCTGACTTTAAACTGTGATTAGTGCTATAAATACGATAAACAGGGAGCTGTGATTGATTTAAAAAGCAAGCAGATATGGGCCTGTTCTAGATAGAATAATCTAGAAAGGCCTCCCTGAGGTGGTAATGTTTGAAAACAAAAAAGTGAGGAACCAGTCATACAAAGTTGTAGGACTGTGGTTTAAATCAGCAAAGGCAGAGGAGATAGCAGATGTGGTGGCTCAGAGGAAGAAATAGCTTGGCATGTCCCAGAAATGGACAGCCTGGTGGGAGACACATGATACCGTTGAGGTACAAGGGGATAACAGGCAGTTGGAGATCAGAAAGGCAGCTCTATTATTGGAACGAAAAGAAACCTAGATTAGAGGACATGGTATAGATCTCTGGGTAAGTAGGCTTGCTAATGCGCCTCAGAATTAAACTTGCTAACCCAGGCCTAATTGAAAGATACCAGCCACTCCAATGGGCTCTTCATCTAAAATTTACCCCCAAGAAAAGCAGAGAACGCATCTTCCCAATGAGCAAGTTGCCACTCCAAACAGAGAGAGAAAAGAAGGGGCTGATCTGTATACACTCAATTCCTTCTCCAGAACCCACCAACCAAAGAAGTCATTCCTCTTCCCCTGGGTACCAGAGGCGAAGCCAGACAGCTTACTCAAATAATGGTCCCTTCATTTGGATACTTGAAGAAAATTTATGCACACAGGTATGTGCCTGACATATGTGCATTGACTATCTCTTCTACCAGTACGTAAACCTCATTGGTTGCTTTTAAATCTACCCATAGTGTCTAGTTCCATTACACAAATTCAATTTTTGCTCTTTTACTTGCTGATTAATAAGGTTAAGAACAAATCTATTCAACATTGGCTTTGAGAATTTGAGGCCGATGAGAAAAGTTACCTCTTCCTTATGTCGTCCAAAACCTCTATTCTCCTTCCGTAAACAGTGCTGTTATGAGAAACAACTGGCACATAAGGGAAAAAAATCCTACTTAGAGTGAAAAAAGCCTTTTATCCTTTGGGAAAGCAGACTGGGCTCGGTCTGATTCACACACAGTAAAATCCTGCTTCTCCTAGTTCTTCCTGTTGCGTCCCTTAGGATCTATTAACAATGGGTTTCTCGGCATTTGTGGCTGGCAGAAACGAGATCACCTGGCCAGAAAAGCTCCGTCTCACTGAGGGTTGAATTCTAGCACAAGCAGGCTGAGTACCCTTCCTCTATAACTGATTGGGCCCAGCTTCCACTTTTTAAAAATCAACTTTAAAGTTCCGAGGCACACCTGCAGGAAGTGCAGGTTTGTTACATAGGTAAATGTGTGCCATGGTGGTTTGCTGCGGATCTACCCATCACCCAGGCATTAAGCCCAGCACCCATTAGCTGTTCTTCCTGATGCTCTCCCTCCCCACAACCCTCTGACAGGTCCGCGTGTGTGTTGATCCCTCCCATGTGTCCATGAGTTCTCATTACTCAGCTCCAACCTAATAAGTGAGATTCCACTTTTAAGGAGCTGTATTAGTCCAGTCAAAAAGGACCCTTTAGTGTGTACTGCCTGCTGCCTTCAGTAAGACAATTATAGTTCTCTTTTTCAACATTTCAATTTTTGAAAAGGTGTACCTAGTTCAAATAATTCAAATAGTTCTATGAGGCTTACAATAAAACTCTCAGTTATCCTCAACCCCGGGTTCTTCCCAGAGGCAATTGCTTTCAATTATTTTAATTATTCTTTTGGTGGTTACCTCAATAATTTTAAATAACATGTTTACTAGTTTTTCTATTTTAGGCATAATCTATTGAGTTTTCTACTATAAACAAATAAACATTGGGCTGATACATACACAGCCTCTTGAGATTGCTTGCACACACATCCACATTCCCTTGCCCACATTTTCCCACTATAGTTATATCACAATTTTTTATTAGAATACTCTGCATTGTTTATATTACTTTGGGGTTATAAATAACATACCTACACTGCTGAGTCATAGGTAGCGCTACAACTTTTTTCCTGTACATTTTTCTCCTGGAGTTAATAATTTAACTCCTAATTTGCCTATATACTTTTTAATTGAGTTATACATGCGACTATCTCTAATTCATCTCCAAACTAGGTCTCCTCTCAACATCTTCAAAACACATCAGGTAACCCACTGACTCCCCTTTGTTTCTTGGTACATCTCTCTCAAAGCCTTCATCTCTCTGGACATTTGGTGGCTGCTCTCTAGGTCTGCTTCCCAGCTCCCTGCTTCTTGGATCTTCCTGAACTCTTATCCTCAGGGGTCCCTTACATTTGCCTCTGTGTTGGATTCCCTGATTTTCTAGATCCCATTTCTCTCTCTTTATCGATTTACTCTCAGATCTTCCAGTAGCTTTCCAAGAGGGTGCATGAGTCAGAGATACATTTTAGATAACTCTTATATCCTTAAAAAGGAACCTTATTTTATTCTTATAAATCCTTATTTTATTCTCCCTAATCAACTGCCCATAGAAATAGTTTTCTCTCTGAACCTTAGGGTCATCTCTCCACTGTCTTCTAGTTTCCATGTATTGTTGAGAAAGTGTAATTGTTTGAATCCCAATCTTTTATTTTTGATTGTTGGTTGTTTTTTTTTTTTTGTCTTTGGAAAACATTTAGCATATTCTCAGTTTCCCAGCATTCTGAAATTTCAAAATGTTGTGCCTATGAATTCTTTTTCATTAATAACACCGGACACATAGTGGGTGCTTTCATTCTAAAAACTCAGGTCTTTCAGTTCTGCGAAATTGTCTAATTACTTCTGTAGTAGTTTCCTCCTCTTCATAATATCTTTTCTTTTCTGAAACACCTATTTTTTTTTGGATGGACCCACTGGGTTGATCCTGTAGATTTTTGGACAAGGGCGTGGTGTTTGTTTTTATATATTCCCTCCTATTCTCGCTCTTTCTTTCTCTGTGTGTTTTGCTTTCTGAAATACTTCCTCAACTTTATTTTTCAAGAATGAATGTTTCATTTCTGCAATTGTAGTTTTAATTCCCAGTAACTCTTTCTTGTTTTCTAAATGTTCCTTTTTATGGCCTCTTATTTGCATTAGAGCAGCATAGTTTGCATGGAGGTTGAGATTATAAACCGAAGAAGCAGATTTCCTGGGTACAAACTGCAGCTCAACTGCTTAACCAGCTGTGTGACATTTGACAACAAAGTTACATGCTATGTGGCTCAGTTTCTTCAACTGTAAAATGGGGATAATAATACCATCCACTTCATGTAGGGTTATTGTGAAGACTCAGTAAGCTGCTATGAAGGCACTTGGAGCAGTGCCTAGCCCATAGAAAGTTCTCTGTAAACGTCAACTGTTGTTATTATACATGCAGTAGCTCCTTTCCTCTTTCTGAATATAGTAATTACAGGAATTTTTTTTAAATGCTTTTCTCCTTCCTTCTTCGTCTCTGCACCTTTTTCCTATTTGTAGTTAGGTGTTTGTTTGGGTCTCTTTCTTTCATGTTAGAGGCATTCCTGAAACATTTCATGATATTTTAACAGTGAGGAGTTAAAATGCTGATAGGATGCTCTGCATGTTTGCATTGGTTTGCTGGCAGGTGGGCTTCTCTGTAGGTATTCTGCTGGACATTTCATTATATAGCCCCCAAGTGCAGGAGGTCTTGGGCTGCTTAGTCTCTTGCCTGAGGGTATAAACCTGGCAACCAGAGTTCTTGGAACTGAGCTGGGTAAGGGGACCCAGGTCTTCTGGTTCACTATGCCAACTTCCACTTATCCCCACTGCTTTCAGCAGATGCTATGGCCTCTGCTGAGCCTCATGTCAGGGAGCCTGAAGTACCTCTTAGGAGTCTTCCATTAGGGTTGGAGCTGACAATTGCCTAGTTTTGCAGAATAGTAGAGGGGAATCTGAGAACCTATCTGCTTAATATATTCATATATAGACATTTCACAAATACTCCTAAGTTCATTATCACTTGCTCATCTTCTTCTAGCTCTAAAATTCTGTGGCTATTTTCCTCTTTCATTTTTTCTTTATCTTTATAAATGTATGTAGCTTTAAAAAAATCTCTTTTTTGTCATGTTTTTGGAGTTTGGGAAGGATACATAAATGCACAGGTATGTCTAAAAATCTGCCACTCTTTACAATGAACACTTTTCAGTGCATTTCTAGTGATTTTGGGTTCTGTGCAATGAACCATGAATAATGAGGACCACAGTCCACATAATTAATAAATAGAAGATGCTATGGCAGAGTCATTAGTCAGGGAGCTGAGCTCTGAGTCTTGGGAAGGCACTGCCCTGATCTGCCAATGGGCTCTCAGGATGGGATAGCATCTCATGTGTGGACTGGTTGGCATGGCTTGGGTGAGCAGTGTGTTTTCCCAGGACTGTCACTCATTGGCTTTATAACCTTGGATAGTTAGAGACTGACTTCCATTACCTCCCTTGTGAAAATAAACACATCTCTACTTCTCAGTTCTGTTTGAGGCTTAGCTATTATATAAACTGTAAATTTTTGCATGAATATTGGAAACCATTCTATTTTAGTTGATCCCCCATCTTAGCTTCCAAATATATCAATCTGTGCCCATTTATTTCACAGCACAAACCACACTAAATTTATATTCTTCTGTTCTTCTTTACTTTAGACAAAGCTGCTTCTAGGCAAGTATCTTGCTCATTATTTACTTAGCTCAGTATCTTTGAGTTCTAGTGCTGGACATGGTACATAGTAGGTGTTTAGTAAAATGTTGGCTGAATAAAGAGGAGACAAGAGCTATATGTTCCCAGAATTGAACCCACGGTCTTGACCTCTTTAGTCATAATTTCTAACCAACTATATACTATTAAGGGAACCCGCTTTCATGACAGAAGATCCATTCTTCATAGCCTCTGGGCAGCCATTGGCCTAGCAATTGCTGCTGGCCTTAAATACCAGGGGGCAGACCTGAAGAATAATAACCCTGCTAAGACCAACTGCCCATCCTATTTCCCATCTCTTGAGCCATATGTTTATCAACTTATATTTAATAAATACAGCAGCAGAATTTGATTATAGTGAGCCTGGTGATAGTTAAACTCGATTGCCAAGGAAATAGAGTTAGAATCCTGAATTGTTTTTATGTATTGCAATGGGCAATTGGAATGCCTCTTCCATATGGCACTGACTCTGTCTGGACCGCACAGCCCATTCCCCGTCAGATGGTTCCATTTTGGGTCAGCGATGATTGCAGAGAACAATGTGTAGAGGCAGGTGATCCCCAAGTGGGTCCATTTGATTTCAATTCTTTCCCCCCGATTGCTGTCCCACTGAAGACCAAGGGACTTTGGCACAGTTGGGCTTGCATCCATACATTTTTAATGGGCACATTGGTATTTACAACGCTGGCTCTATCCAGGGCTTTGGAAAGGCAGAGACAATGGTTGGAAGAGAATAAATGCCTCATATAAAGGTTAGTGGAGATTGTTTTCATGCTTCCAAAGGCGGGGGTGGGTTCTTTTATCTGCACCAGTTCACCTGCTTCCAGCTGTCACAGTTCTGCGGAGCATCCACAAACTGCTGAAGGCTCAGCCAGAGGGGAGGGTGTTGCCTGCTGCTCAGTCTTCAGAGTGACATTTTCCCTTCTCTGAACACCCTGCCAATCCCCAGAATGCATTTACCTTCCTTTTTGAGGCTGCCTGGGGAGTACTTGCTATCCTTTGCCCTGGTGGGAGGAGGTGGCATCCTCTTCAATCATTGAATAGAAATTATAGAAACTTCCTTAAAGATATTTCCTTCTGGCTCACCTGTTCAGCTTATTAATAAAGCAACTCTGTAGCTTCAGGGGGGAAGATAGCTTGGTATGAGCCTGTGGTCGCCCTTAGAAAAAAAGGGCTCCATTCAGATCCCATGAAGAGACACACACCTCTCTCGGTGCCCCTTACTAAAGCTTTTGTGAATGCTCTTAGAGTCTGTTACGGGGAGGCTGGCTTTGGCATATTATGAATATCAATAGAGTTCACATCACCATTCTCCCTATCATAAAGAAGCATTCATACCATATTCACCAGTGTGGTGGAGACAATAAGTCGGCTCCCCTCCCCAGCCCCTTTCCCTCCTTGTCAAGACGAATCAGCTCAGTGAGGAGCGTGGGCAGTCTAGCATCAAGTAATTACTCTGAAACCTGGACTCTTGAGCTGGCAGTCACTTTTCTGTGTGTGTCTGTCACATATCCTTCATGAGTTCCTTCTTCTCTAAATGTTCTTTTCATCTTGCAGTTATCTTTTTCTCTCTCTTGCTCTTTTTCTGTGCTTTTTCTAAGAATCCACAGCCAGGCTAACCCTTCAAGGGACTTTTGAAATGTCACTGTGACCCCCTGCTCAATAGCCAGGACCATTGAGTCCTTTTCTCTCCATAGAAAGACTAAATACCTTTCAGCTGGAGTTTACAAATGTCTTAAAGTTGTAGAACCTTCTTAGTTAAAAATAAAATTAAGCCTCTTTGCTTGAGTGGTAAAGTCTTAATGGCCTACATAAGGCAAATGGCAATAAAGCAAAACAAGTACTGCTTTATAGCCAACCATTCATGTGAAAAAGGTATGTAAAATAATGATAATAGTCATAACAACAAGTAGATATTAGGGAAGGAAGGCTAGAAATGGGGGAATACAATGAAATGATCTTTCCCATTAATGTGATTCTCTGTGTAACTCCTGCGAAACAAGTGTGATGCATTTCCTGCCTGTGTGGGGAAACCTGCACTAACCCTGTGCCCCCTTT
Organism: Homo sapiens; assembly: GCF_000001405.40. Lineage (NCBI taxonomy): Eukaryota > Metazoa > Chordata > Mammalia > Primates > Hominidae > Homo > Homo sapiens. The sequence goes on along the minus strand of NC_000001.11, from coordinate 177,310,667 downwards.
TTTGATGTGATCCTTAATTGTGCACAGCTGCATGGTGAGGATGAGGCTGTCATCCTGACTCAGGCGAAGGGAAGAAGTTGGCCTCTTTGCCTTCTATTATGTTTGTCTTTTGCACTAATACCAGAGTCACCCAGCTATAGTTGGACACAATTATTCTACAGAGGCTCAAAAGGCCATTGTCCAGATCTTGGTCATTTGAGAAAAACCATCTGAGACAAAGAGTTCTTTCACAGTTGGGTCTTGCTCTCTGGAGAGAAGCCTAGAGTCATTGCAATGTGCTCTGGGGTGTGGGGGTTTAGAGATGTTTTGGGACTACATGGTAGTGGCCAGGGGTAGCCAAAGCAGCATCCCTATACTCTCCCCAAATCAAAACCACTGCAAAAAAGTTCTTCGGCATCAGAATTATCCAGTTTTATGTTATTTTGCATCTTTATATCCCTTTTGGGTTTTCTCTTTTGTTACCCCCAGCATTCAGGAAATCTTATTTAAATATTCCCCCTGGTCTCAGCTGTGCTATAGGGTTGGCAGGACAGGGTCCTGACTCATGTTTGTTCAGAACTCTAAATAGGAGTATCTCTGTCCCCAGAGCAGCAGTGGTAGCCCTAGTAATTAGCAAAAGATTTCCCTCAGGCAGCATTTTCCAAAGTGGGTTGTATATTATGTGTGTTCTGTTGGACTATTATTAAGCCTTATGGGGCAAAGCAGGCCATCGTCCAATAAGTTTGGGGAATATTGGGTTAAGCAATTTAAACAGGTTTATTCCCAGTAATACTTCTCAAGGCCTTTGTATTAGTTTTCTGCGGCTACCATAATAAACTCCCACAAAGTTGGTGGCTTAAAGCAGCATAAATTTATTCTCTCACAGTTCTGGAGGTCAGAAGCCTGAAAGCAGTGTCACGGGGCTGAAATCAAGGTGTTGGCAGGGCTGTGCTCCTTCTGGGAGGGCTAGGGGAGACTCCGCTTCTTGCCCCTTCCAGCTTCTGGTGGTTGTCAGCATTTCTTGACTTGTGAGCACATCCTTCCAGTCTGCAAGGCCAGGATCTTCAAATCTCTGTCCACTGTATCTTCATGTCACCTTCTGCAGTGTGTATGTGGAATCTCTGCCTCCCTCTTGTAATGACACATGTGATGGCATTTACGGCCAACTCGATAATACCAGATAAGCTCCTCCTTTCAAGACCCTCAATGTCGTAATATCTTTTGCCATCTAAGGTAACATTCAGAGATTCCAGGGATTTATATCTTTTCACAGGTCCACTGTTCAACCCACCCTAGCCTTTAATACATTCTGAGTACTGTGGATCTCTAGGATGAGCTGAGAGTCACAGAGTGTTTCTCGAGCCTCAATGACAAAGCAACTCTCCTTTCACGTACTTTTTGCTGGATTTGCATTCTGAGGAACACACTTTGGAAAATCTTAGCAAGAGAAGATGAGTCTTGGAGAAAAGTCAAAGCCAATCAGTCCAGCTGCCCTTCTCTCTGCGGATCTGGATTTTATTTGACTAAAGCAGATGGCACTTTCCTTGATTCAGGAGATGATATCATCACAGAGATAAACTAGGAAAAAATATCAGCAATTTCACAGGACACCTAAGCCAGACTCCACAGGTGAAGAATCTCTAGGGAATGGTAAAAAATAGCATTATATTACAATTTCAAAACCTGGATTGGATTCCTGGTCCCCCTACATATAAGCTACATGATCCCAGGAAAGTATTTCAACTTTCCTAAGCCTCTGTTTTCTCTTCTATGAAGTAAGGGTAATAACCACACCTACCTGGTTGTGTCATGTGAATACCATCTGTAAAAGTGCTTTATTAAAAGAAAACTTTATACAACCTAAGAAATTATTTTTATTGTGTGAAAAATAACTTTTTTTAAAAAAAAAAGTTCATGTCTTACAGGATTGTCTTGGTGATAGGGGGTAGATCTCTGTTCCTCTTCTCTGGAGATCAAGTTGTTCTTTCACAGCAAAAGCCCAGAGCAATACAACTGTGCATTCTCATCCACTGTTATATTTCCAATTCTTTGAACCTAGTATGTGTTCTATAAATGTGAAAGGAATGAACTGTCCTTGCCTATATCTCTTCTCCCTTTTATCAGTTCCACAGAATCACAGAATGTGTGGGCTGGAAGGGCCCTTGTGATATTGTCTAGAATAATAGCTCCCAAATGCTAATTTAGGGACCTGCAAATCCTGGCCTACATGAGAAGAAGCTGGCAGCCCATTAAATACAGTTGCCAGCATCACCTTGGGGATTCTAATTCAGTGAGTTTGAGATGGGACCTGGGAATCTGCATTTTAAGAAGTTCCCTGGGTGATGTGATAGAGCAGTTTCATACACTGATCTAACTTTTCCCACCACCTTCATATGGAACCATTCCTAAAATATCACACTAAGCAATCTATTTTAAAGATTTTCCTGAAATTCTTGCAACTTCCTTCACTAGAGATGTGCTGTGTACCAAGTGGTCATGTGAGACAGCCACAGGCCCCTTTTGGCTCATTCAATCATTCATTTACTCATCCATCAATTCATACATTGTGTACCTACTACTTACTCTATGGCATTTCCTCTCAGGAGGTCCCTTGTCATCACAGACTCCATGATTTAAAGCCTCTTTCTTTCTCCTTTTTTGTCTTGAGTAAGTAGAGATATAGGATGGCTTGTCTTTCTGCTTTACTGTTGGCTTTTCTCTTTTTTAGGGATTATTTCTAAAGTAAGGAGGAAGCATTTCTTCCCCTAAATGATGAATCACTGAATGCCTCAGAATTATGAATCATTTCTTAGGGAGGATCCCTGAGAAACATAGTCCTCTAAAGTGTAAGGTAACATAATCTCCATTTCCCCAATTAAAAATAATCTAGATAAGTCAGGAGCATTGAATGATTTTTCCGATGGCAGAATCAGGACACGTAAGGCCTAGTTTTCCTAGCTCCTATCCCCTTTCATTTCTTAAGGTAATATTTATTCAGAATTTTTGATTCTAAAATAATGTACATGAGACCAATGTTCTCCAATTTCAAAAATACTAACCTTCAAATATTCGTCTGACTGGGTTAAAGAATGGTCCTTTTCTTCTACAGAACTCATAATTACTTATTGACATCTTCTGACACTCACCATCCTATGCTTATAAATAAGTATCACATGCCCCAAATTGAGCTAGCTAATGCCTATTAAGTGGTGGATGAGTAAAATGTTAACTGTATTTTCCTAGGCTGCAATGGGACCTCAAGTGGTTTATTTGTTTGTTTGTTTTCAGAGCCTCTCCAGCACTGGAGGGTAAAAGTGCTTGCCTCTGAGCCCTGCTTCTCCTGTCTTTACTTTGCCTCTGTTCCAGGGATGCTCTGATCATTTGTCACCAGCAGTCTCCAACATTGGCAGGGAGGCAGGTCCTCAGGCAGCTCTGAAAGCTGGCATGGGATCTCCTGGAGTAGGGGTGCAGCAGCTGGGAGCCTCACTGCCCCTTTTCCTTTGGTTACTGGACTCAGACTTCACAGGACCCAAGGATGGTGCTGTCCTCCTGTGGCGAGTCACATCCTCTGTGTCAGAGGAGCATGCCAATCACAGAATTTCTATGTTCCACTTTTAACAAAGGTCTACCATGTCTCATTATGTTCTTCCACTTAAAAGTCTCTGGATGAAGGTGATGTCTTTTTTTGCTCACATTTATCCAGAAGTCAACAGAAGGGATGTGTAGGCATCAGAGAAGGTATCAGGGCCAAGAGCTGGGGACTGAAGTCTGGGGATAGATTATGGCTTAGGATTGTGGTGGTCTTCATAAGGGCAATGAGAAACTACAGATTTGCTGTATTTTCCAAGATGAACACAATTAGATGCTGGTGGCCCCAAGGAAAGGGCAAGATGACTTACCTTTTTTGGTACGTGTGTCTGACAAGTAGAAAACGCTCCTGATTTGATGAAATTGGTGTTCTTTCTTTTTTTCTTTTCTTCCTCTCTTTCTTTCAAATTGTTGATATTTTCATTTATGATTAATATCATGAATTTTCATTTCATTTACTGGGAAGGTCATTATTCAAAATAGTCCCTTATGCTGTTAGCAGTAAAACCTGAAGTTCAGAGGATCTAAAGAAATTAACTGTTTGAAGGTCAATAGATAGTGTGAATTATGAAATTTAGAAAATCCCCACCTTTTCCTCTCTCTTCTCCTACTCCTTCACTTCAACCAGTAGTCCAAATCATTTGAAAAGTAAGAAAACTATTTTGTGTACAAATGCACAATGCTTAGGTCTCCTCATTGATTCAAATAGCTTACCTGCCTCTTCTCCTCCACCCCAGCCCATTGCCATTCCCCATCACCTTCCTTATCCCAAGAGAGCCTAGATTGGGAAACTCTCACTCTATTTGTAAAACTGTGAACACAGGCCTAGCCCAGCAGATCTGACACTTGTTGTTTGTCCCCTGACATTATAAAGGACATTTGTGTATTTCCTGAGGACAGTCACAGGAAGCCACCAACGTCAGCCACTGTGGCTACCCTTCTGGGATAACTGGAATGGAAAGGCATGCCTCATTGTGTCTCAGGTTTGGATTTATTTTGACGTCGGGAAATGGAGAGTAGAAAGGGAAAGTGTAGGGCAAAAGGAAGACAGATGAGTGGTTAATGGAGGCTGAAGGGGCAGATTGAGAGAGAATACACTCACAATAGACAGAAGATGGATTGATAGATTGGACCTGGAGATGTAAATAGGATAGTTTATTTAAGCTGCTTAGAGTCTCTTCTTATCTATCCATCTATTTATCTATCTGCCTTAAGCAGGGACTGATAGGGGAACAGACAGATAACATGAGAAGGATGGATTAGCAGCAGACTGGGAGCCTCGTGGCATCTCAGATTCCAGGAGAGCAAAGGGACCTGAGGATAAGCATCAGGAGGACAGATTACAGAGCTTCCCTGGAGGATTTCCTGCCCCTCCTGCGCCCCAAATAAAACAAGACCAGTGTCCAGACAGAGAAGGTTACTGGGGCATCAGAGAGCCCATTCCCACACCCCCCGCTGCCACCCCTCCTCTAACAATTTGCAGCTGTTCTCTTCTTCGACCCCAGAAAGTGGACAGCTGCCAATCTGAGAGGGAAGCTGAAAGTGGGGCTTGGTGCTAGCATATATTTTTACGCCAAAGCCTTGCTTTAAATTCCAGTCAGGCTTCCAGTCTTGCAACAACAACAGGGGAAAGGAAGAAGAGGAAAAAGAAAAGAAGGAAAGCTAACCGTGCTCCGGCTGTTCGGGAAAGCTGTCAGCTGTCAGGTCTGCTTAACTGACAACCTGTTCTCCAGAGCCCCAGGGGGTCTGGTAAGGGGAGGAAGAGGTGAGGGCCAGTCTGGGGTGGGGGGCCTTTGCCAGCCTGCACACAACTACATAGTGAGTTTCCTCCACACCCACAAGCTCAAGCCTGTCAGGGCAAGTCCCAGGGCTAAGCAGCAAGCCTAGGGGTGGGGCGCAGGGTATGCGGTAGGACCCACTCTATTCCACGAGTCATCATGGAGCAGAGGTGCCACAGGGTACAAAGCTGCTGTGCTATGGATAAATCAGGCCTTTGCAGGACACCCCCCTTTGTTGGGACAGGAGAGGTTCCTTACAGCTAGGGAAATGAGGAAGAGGGGGAAGATTTCCAGAGGCTTCCAGAGCTCAGTCCAGACTCAGAGGTGCAAGGGAATCCTTCCTTTGGCCTCTGCCACCTTGGGACTGGGAACAGCCTTGAGGCTAGCTAACAGGCACTCCAAGGACTAGTTGGCCCTTTCTACCTCTCATCTACACACTCTGGCTTCCATGATCCTTTTCCTTTCTCTTCCTCCCTTTTCCTTCTCCTGGCTCCAGACTCCTAAGTATGAAATTTCCACCACTCACAAGATAACCTTCTTCAGGGCAAATTCTTGTGTCAAGTTGGAAGACATAACTGTGCTTGGTTCCAGTCCCTGCTACTTACTATGTGATCTTGATTTCAGTCCCTAATGCTTGCTCAGGTGTGATCTTGGGCAAATCAGACTATCTCTAAAAGGGAGATATTTTTTAGTCCACAAATCAAACAAAATTGTGCATATGGAGACATTTCATAAACTAGAAGAGCCTATAAGACATTCTGTTCTGATTTACCTTTATTTCTTTGACAGCCCCTAGAACAAAGACTTACACCATAGGCATGCAATAATAGTCAAATGAACAAATAAACGTGTGGATGAATGGGTGTAGTAGAGAAAAGTTACCCTGTGTTTGCTTATGAGAAACAAGGGAGATTGTTTGAGACTGAGCAACAGCAGCCTTGAGGCTAGCTGGCAGGTGCTGGTCCCCAAGGGCCTCCCTGTGGCCCCACAGAATCAGAGGTGCAAGGATGGGGTCTGGGGATCTGTACCTCAACTGGCTGCACAGCTAATCAATGTCTCAAAATTGGGACATTTCTGTTCTAAGTAGGAAAGCAGAAGGCAGATAACAAAGATTTGTGATATTTTTTTCAGGGTAGAAATGATGGCATCATTGAATCCTTGCACATAGAACCCTGCCTGACAAACAACAGATCGATACCTCAGGATGCAGTTTTCTTCATGAGTGTCACAATAGCTTTCTGGGAGAAGGTGGGAGACAATGACAGTGAATATAATGTTGCTGAAAAGCAGCCATAGACTTATAGGTGGGGCCTTACATGCATGGAGAGAATATCCCAAGAGGATGGCATGGCAAGACCAGGGGGAGGCAGGCGAGGCCCTGAGGCACAGAACTTAAGGAGGCACCACTCAGAGGTTTGTGTAGGTGCTTCCTTAAATTCTCATCCTAGGTGCCTTGTCTGCTTCACCCTAGTGCTTGCCCTGGGATGAGGAGAAGAGTTAGAAAAGGCTTCTAGAAGGACTCCTCAAGTCAGAGAAGATGAACAAGAAGGTGTTGTGCAGTGACTCTTAGGGAGAAAGGCATTTCTGGCAGAAGGAGGCACATAACCAAAGTAGAGGTGATAGAAACATGATGGTGTGGGTGAAGAATTCCCAAACTGGGAGCCGGCAGAAACATCACATTAAAGGTGAGAGTTGGGAGATATGAGAGAGACAAGGTACAGAACACAAAGGGTCTTCTCAGCCATATTAAAGGCTTGGAATTTGTCCTCCTGGTTGTGGGAAGCAGGAAGATGACACAGGCAGTTGGTGCTTCAAACAGAACCTTCTGGTCAGTCTCTAGACACTGTCCTGTCCAATTCACAGATATAGTGAGCTACAAATAAAAGCTACATACGTAACTTTAAATTTCTAGTAGCCACATTAAAAAAGTTTAAAAAACATTAATTTTAATGACATATTTTATTTAGCATAATAGATCCAAAATATAATCACTGTAATCACTTCAAAATGTAATCAACATCAAACAATATTAAATGAGGTATTTTACATTCTTTCTTATTGTATAAAATCTTCAAAATCCTTTGTGCAGTTTACATGTATACCACATCTCAATTTAGTTTAGCCACATGTCAAGTGCTCAATAGCCACATGTGGCTACAATGTGGAACAATGCAGGCCTACAAGATGGAATCTAGAGGCTAAAACATGGAGGCAGGCTTTATAAGAGTCAAGGGGAAATGATACCTTTCTAATTCAGGGTGTTGGTAGTGGGAATGGAGAGAAGGTGCTAGATTGTCAAGTGACTGAGCTTTTTCTAGTGTCTTTGTGAAATCGTGATATAGCACTTACCTTCCTGGGCCACGTAAAGATTTTTTTGAGATCATGTATATGAGACAGCCAGCACAGGCTGGTAGGGAACGCGTGCTCAGTGGCATTCCACCCAACCCAGGCTGTTTGCTCTCTTCGGGAACAGGAATTAACATCCCACTTGGGTGAGGTGGAGCTTAAAGCACTGAAATGGCACAGCAGGAGGCATAGACTGTGGGCACTAGAAGTCTTACAGAGCAGCCCCACTGCACCTTCCCAGGCCTCTCTCTCAAAATCACCTAGGTAAAGGGACATGAGCACCTAACTGTCTTGGGGAGGCTGGGAGAGTACAGTGAAGCCAGTCCAGGAGAGGCAGAAAGCAGAATTGCTGACATTCCAGGCAGCAGCCACTCTGACTATCAGCAGCCAGCAGTTGGCAGCAGCTCCAGATGATTGAGAACTGAACAGCTTAATTGCAGGAGTGTGAACATTGTGGAGTGCCAGGCTGGCATGGCTCAGTGCGAGAATGTTTCCCCAGAGCCTGCATTCCTTGACTTAGGTTGATGTGCACATGCTTTCTTGGGAAATGCCCCCAGCCAAACCCCTGTGCACAGACCAACGGCTTTTATGTTGCCTGGAAGAAAAAAATGCATTTCCAAGTAGATGCAGGACATAGCTCTGTAGACAGAGCTGCTTATCCTGAGGAGAGAGGCTGGCAGAAAGAGGAGGGAAGACAGCTTATTCTTTACTCCTTGAAGTGTCTATGTAGGGTGTCCAAGAAGTAACATAGAGGATACAAATCTTGGCTGCATTAAGGTCCTTCTGAGCACGAGGGAGTCCTGCCTATCTCCAATTATTCTCACCAAGGTGACTTTCAGATGAATATTTGTTTATTTTCAAAATGTTTTTTCAGGGCAGCCTAAGTCACTGGGTGGGTGCTGAGAATCTGAAAAAGTTACCAAGTAATTAGGGCCTAGAGCTGGTGAGAAGCACAGCTCAGGTTCCCTTGGGATCCCTCTGACTTACCTTAATTTGCTGCCTCTGTATTAGTCAGTGTGAGCTACCTGCTGTAACAAACAACCCCAACATTCCACAGGGATTGCATAACAAATGATTATTTGCATAGCAGTCTGATATGGAGGAGCAGCTCTCCTTAGACAGATTTCCCCAGACTCAGGTACCTTGTACTTTCCATATCAGGGCTCTAATCTTTACTAACCTTTATTCCTCAGGGCCCTTTTCTGTCTCCTCCTAGGATGGCAAAGAAAAGGAGAATTGCATATGTGAGCATCCACAGACTAGGCCTGGGAGCAGGTGATATTTCACCTCTGACCAATTCCTTTGTTTAGAGCTCAGGCACATGGCTGCATCCAACTCCAAGACAAGCTGGCAAATATAGACTAATTATGTGCCAAGGAGAAACAGGGAAAACGTTTGTTGAACATCTAGTCAATCTGCCCCAGTCATTCTTTTTTTTTTTTTGCTTGCTGATGAGACTAAGATAGACTTTTTGTGCTCTGACTTGACCCTAGAGGTTTGAGAGTCAGGACACTGCAAGAGTGGGGCAACATTAATTAGAAGGTGATGCCCTGGAGTTGCAAGGTGATTATTAATCAGGGCAACGTGATGGTCAAGCAGTTGTAATGACAAACTAAATTTTTCTCTCCTGTTTTATGAACCTATCTTATCAGTTTCCTCAGCCAACAGAAGGTGCTGCAAGCTGAGTGCCAACAGAGCAGACCTCTAGGCTGCTCTTCCCCTCACTAAGTGATACCACATTGTCACCCACAGCCCCCACTTGCCAGCCAAGCTTAGTGGATCATTTGAGCGATATTATGGTGGAAGAGTGCTTTCTTTTTGCTTTAAAAGGCAACTGTCCAGAATAAGCAGCATTATCTGCAAAGGTGTGGGGATTCCATTGTGGAAAATAGGCAGTGGTACTGGCGGAGTTATGACAGAAATGGTCATTTTAACAGATATCGTGATGTGCCACAGGGCTCCCATCTCCAGGGTTGGCACACACATCCCTTAGCTTCCTGGACTGCTGCCTGCTTGTAGCTATGCCTCTTACGAGGAATTGCCCTCAGTCACAGGGAACTGCCTGATACAAAATTATGCCTCCCCCTAGGGAGGTAGCCCATGGCCAGTGGCTTCCTAGTTAGGGATATTGAAAGCCTGGCACTCTTGCCTCATTTGGGGACAACTCTATAGGGGCCATGCAGGCTTCAGAACTCCCAGAGAATCAGCTTAGGCCTCAGTTACAACCTCATTTTAATTCAGCTTCTCCTTCTGCCCAAACCTGCCTTCTTTACTTCCTTACATATGTATCCCTCAAGAATTCCTCTGGTGCGACTTCACATCTAAGAATTTTTTGGTACTAAGAGTGGTTTTAGGAAACTGACTTTTAAAATGAGATTTTGGAGAAGGGCCAATCATTGGCTCTCTGGAATTGTAAACCCCATCACTGGTAGTGGGTAGAGTAGAGCTAGACTCCAAGATGTTGCAGCAGTGTAATTATTAAAAGCAGGGAATTTGCTGTGCAACTGTTAAGACTTTCACCAGGGGTAGACTGATATGAGATATCCTTAGAGGGGGATACATGGCCTGCTGCAGTGTTTCTTGTGCTTGAGAGGCATAAGGGAAATGGTAATTACAAGGGTTATGGAATTGGGTGGCTATTATGGTGCCCCATTGATTTGTGAAAGATAAATAATGACAAGCTCAGATGATTAATTACCATTTCAAGGCAAAATGTGAAAAGCCCAAAAGGCTTCCTTAGCAGCATTTAAGGAAATCCTAATTTCCTGCAGCCAAAATACCAAAAGAACAGAAAACAAGGCTCAGGACTTAATCACTAAAGTAGTGGAGCTGCAGATAGGATTGAATTCTGAGCCTCAATAAGTCTCCTATGCCAACTACTGGGTCCTAGTAGAGAAAGAGTAAGGGCACTGAGACTTGAAATAGGGTAATCTGAGTGGATGCAGTTAAGAACCTTGACTTGCTGGGCCTTCAGTAGTACCCCCCACTATGACCACGATAGCCCCCTTTCCTGTGTTAGAAGATAATAGCCCTCCCCTTGCTTGAAGATGGTACAGAAACCTCAAATTAGGTATACATTTTATATGACAATATTTGCCAGCTTCAGGATCTACCCCTACCTTGCCCCCTGGCAACTAGTCCAATAAGGAAGATCAAATCCTGCTTATACAACCAGACTAGCAATGTGCTGAGACTGCTGTAAAAGGAGAGAGAGTATACATCAAAGGATCTGCAGAGTATGGCTCCTATGCATTGGTAGTAGCTGGTAGCATATGCATGGTACTAGCTTCTGGGATAATGGTCAAGAGGGGAAGAACATAAGGTTGGGTAAGTTATAGAAAGGAGAAGCCTCCTTTTTATAACTCGACACCTGGACAAGGACTCAGGAAATGATACCAATAAGTTGTTAGAAGGGCTGTCTGATGCTGGAAAAAGCAAAGGCCCACACTATGTGAAGCAGAAGTGCCAGAATTGCCATGGAGGATAGTGAAGGAGAGGTGAAAAGGTTCAGAGGAGCTGGCATGCTAGAGTGCGTATACTATGTATGGCTGGAAACCTATCAGTGAATATGTTCCATGGGAGGGCCTGAAGGACATTCCAACTGTAAAAACAATAAACAATGTATTGGTAAGAGTGGGATCAGCTCAATGATGGCTGTTCTCTATAGGCCAAGGCTGATGTTAGCAGAGGCTAATACAAAACAGGGCTTCCTAAACACAGTGAGCCTAATTAGTTCCCCCAAACAATAAAGGTCCATTTAGAGGTACTCAGTCCTTAGAATCAAAGTAGTTGCAATTATTGTAATGAAGCAAAGTGACCACAGATATCACAACGTGTGGCAAAATTCAAGTGGCATTTCAGATGCGCTAGAGGAATGGCCTATACCTTCAAAGAACTTTGGATGTATTAATGGAATTTGGAGTTTCCATAGACAATTAGAAGAGCAGTAAAAGTGAATATTGCTTAGTTTACACCACAATATATATCAAGACTGAATGTTAAGAAGGCTGAGAAAAAGAAAAAGCCCCTCAAATTAAAACTTACAGTTTCTTTTCTTTTTTTTTTTTTTTTTGGTCCAGTTTCCAGGCTTGCGTCAGTTGGCAGACCCAGGACACTGGCGGCAGAAAGAGATGCTAGTTTTGTATGAAAAGGAATCCTGCAACTACATAGCAATTGTATTCAGTTGAAATGCCTCTGTCCTTTCCCCAAGGGAATATAGCCCTTTACTCAAGTGAATACTTTGGGGAAAAGAATGCCAAGACTTTTCAATGATTGTCAGACATAGGAGCAGAATTGACATTGATACCCAATATGAGACCTAATATCTATAATGGCCATGCTGTCAGAGTGGGGCTGTATAGTGCCAAAAAGTAAATGGAATCCTAGAATCTTAGGTCTGACTCACAGTGGGTGCAATGGGCCCACAGACCTACCTGGTGGCCATTTACTTGTATAATTGGATTAGATATTGGGGTTTGACAGAAACCCTCACATTGGTTTCTTCTATTTTTTTCTTTCTACTTTTATTTTATACACAATGGGTATATGTGCAGGTTTGCTACATGGATATAGTGCATGATGCTGAGGTTTGGGGTGTGAATGCTCCTGTCTATCATCCAGGTAGTGAGCATAGTACACCAAAGGTAGTTTTTCAACCCACACATCCCTCCTTCCCTCCCTGCTCTAGTAGTCCTCAGTGTCCATGGCTCCATTGTTTATGTCTATGTGTGCTCAATGTTTAGCACCCACTTATAAGTGAAAACACGTGGTATATGGTTTTCTGTTTCTGTGTTAATTCACTTAGAATTATGGTCTCCAGCTGCTTCCAGGTTGCTGTAAAGGACATTATTTCATTCTTTTTACGGCTACGTCATATTCCATGGTGTATACGTACCACATTTTCTTTATCCAATCTACCATTGATAGGCACCTATTGGATTTAATGTCTTTGCTATTGTGAATAGTGCTGTATAAATATCCAAGTGCATGTGTCTTCTTGATAGAAGAATTTATTTTCCTTTGGGTATATACCCAGGAATGGGATTACTGGATCAAATGGTAGTTCTGTATTAAATTCTTTGAGAAATCTCCAAACTGCTTTCCACTGTAGCAGAACTAATTTACATTCCCACTAACAGTGTATAAGCATTTCTTTTTCTCTATAGCCTCACCATCATCTGTTGTTTTTTGACTTTTTAATAATAACCATTCTGACTGGTGTGAGATGGTATCTCATTGTGATTTTGATTTGCATTTCTCTGATGATTCGTGATGTTGAGCATTTTTTCAAATGTTTTTGGCTGCTTTTATGTCTTCTTTTGAGAATTGTCTGTTCATGTCCTTTGCCCATGTTTTAATGGGGTTATTTGGTTTTTGCTTGTTTATTTAAGTTTCTCATAGACCAGATTATCTGGATATTAGATCTTTGTCAGATAAATAGTTTATGAATATTTTCTCCCATTCTGTAAGTTGTCTGTTTACCTGTTGATAGTTTCTTTTGCTGTGTAGAACTTTTCAGTTTAATTAGGTCCCACTTGTCAATTTTTGTTTTTGTTGCAGTGGCTTTTGGGGACTTAGTCAAAAATTATTGGCCAAGGCTCATGTCAAGAAGAGTATTTCCAAAGTTTTCTTTTAGTTTGAGGTCTTACATTTAAATCTATGATGATTTTCAGCCATTTTTTTAGTGTGGTAAAAAGTATGGTTCTAGTTTTAATCTTTTGCATATGGCTAGGCAGTTATCCCAATACAGTTAATTGAATAGGAGGCCTTTCCCCATTGCTTGTTTTTGTCAGCCTTATTAAAGATCATATTATTATAGGTGTGCAGCTTTAATTATGAGTTTTCTATTCTTTTCTATTGGTCTATGTGTCTGTTTTTGCACCAGTACCTGCTATTTTAGTTACTATAGCTTTATAGTATAGTTTGAAATTAAGTAGTGTGATGTCTCCAGCTTCGGTCTTTTGCTTAGGATTGCTTTGGCTATTGGTGCTCTTTTTTGGTTCCGTATGAATTTTAGAGTAGTTTTTTCTAATTCTGTGAAAAATGATGATGGTAGTTCAATAGAAATATCATAGAATCTATAAATTGCTTTGGGCAGTATGGGCATTTTAATGATATTGATTCTTCCAATCCATGAGCATGGAATGTTTTTCCATTTATTTGTGACATCTTTGATTTCTTTCAGCAGTGTTTTGTAGTTCTCTTTGGCCACCTGTATTCCTAGGTATTTCATTTTCTTTGTGGCTACTGTAAATGGGATTGTGTTCTTGATTTCACTCAGCCTGAGTGTTGTTTGTGTATAGAAATGTTACTCATTTTTGTACACTGATTTTGTATCCTGAAATTTTACTAAAGTTGTTTATCAGTTCTAGGAACATTTTGTTGGAGTCTTTAGGGTTTTCTAGGTTTATATCATATTGTCAAAGGAGGGAGATAGTTTGACTTCTTCTTTTCCTATTTGGATGACTTTTGTTTATTTCTCTTACCTGATTACTCTGTCTAGGAATTTCAGTACTATGTTGAATAGGACCGGAGTGGGCATCCTTGTCTTGTTCTAGTTCTCAAGGGTAATGATTCCAGCTTTTGCCTTTTCAGTGTGATGTTGGCTGTGGGTTTGTCATAGATGGCTTTCTCACATATCAATACTAACTCTGAATGTAAATGGGCTAAATGTTCCATCTAAAAACCATAAAATGGCAAGCTGGATAAAAGAGACCCATCTCACATGTAACAATACCCACAGGCTCAAAGTAAAGGGATGGAGAATGATATACCAAGCAAACAGAAAACCAAAAAGAGCAGGAGTTGCTATTCTTATATCAGTTAAAACAGACTTTAAAATATTAATTAAGAAAAACAAAGAAGGGCATTAAATAATGATAAAGGGTACAATTCAACAAGAAGACTTAATTTTCCTAAATATATACACACCCAGCATTGGAACACCCAGACTCATAAAACAATTTTTTTCTTGACTTACCAAAAGACTTAGCTACACAATAATAATGGGGGACTTCAACACCCCACTGACAGTGTCAGACAGATCACTGAAGCAGAAAACTAACAAAGAAACTGAATGTAAACAGGATTCTTGACCAATTGGACCTAATAGACAACTACAGAACACTCCACCCAACAACACCAGAATATACATTCTTTTCATCTGTACACAGAACATATTCTTTTTTTTTTTGTTGTTGTTGTTGTTGTTGTTGTTGAGATGGAGTCTCCCTCTGTTGCCCAGGCTGGAGTGCAGTGGCGCGATCTCAGTTCACTGCAAGCCCTGCCTCCTGGGTTCACGCCATTCTCCTGCCTCAGCCTCCTGAGTAGCTGGGACTACAGGCGCCCGCCACCATGCCTGGCTAATTTTTTGTATTTTTAGTAAAGATGGGGTTTCACCATGTTAGCCAGGATGGTCTCGATCTCCTGACCTCATGATCCACCCGCCTCGGCCTCCCAAAGTGCAACATATTCTAAGATTGACCACATGCTCAGTCATAAAGCATGTCTCAATAAATTAAAATAAACTGAAATCATACCAAGCACACTCTCAGACCACAGTGCAATAAAATAGAAATTCATATCAAGATCTCTGAAAACTATGCAAATACAGGCAAATTAAACTTTCTCCTGAATAACTCCTGGATGAACATTTAAATCAAGGCAGAAATAAAGAATAAATTTTGAAGTTAATGAAAACAGGAACACCACTTACCAAAATATCTGGGATGCAGCTAATGCAGTGTTAAGAGGTAAGTTCATAGTGCTAAATGCCTTCATCAAGAAGTTAGAAAGATGTCAAATTAACAATCTAATTTCATACCTAAAGGAATTAGAAAAAAAGAACAAACCAACTTCAAAGCTAGCAGAAGAAAAGATATCACTAAAATTCGAGAAGAACTAAGCAAAAGTGAGATCAAAAAATCTATACAAAAGATAAAAGAAACCAAGAGTTCCTCAAAAGAACAAACAAAATTGATAGAATGCTAGCTAGATTAACAAAGAAAAAAAGAAGAACCAAATAAACACAACCAGAAATGACAAAGGAGACATTACAACTGATCCCACAGAAATACAAAAGATCCTCATAGACTACTGTGAACAACTCTATGCACACAAATTAGAAAATCTAGAGGAAAGATATAAATTCCTGGAAATGCAAAATCTCCCAAGATTGAATCAGGAAGATATTGAAACCCTGAATAGATCAATATCAAGTTATAAAATTGAATTAGTAACAAAAAACCTACCAACCAAATAAAGCCCTGGACTAGACGGATTCACAGCTGAATTCTACCAGGCATACAAAGAAGAGCTGGTATTAATCCTACTAAAACTATTTCAAAAAATTGAGGAGGAGGGGCTCCTCCCTAACTCATTCTATAAAGACAGCATCAGCCTGATACCAAAATATGGCAGAGACACAATGGCAAAAGAAAACTTTAGGTCAGTATACCTGATGAACATAGATGCAAAAATCCTCAACAAATACTAGCAAACTGAATCCAGTAGTATATCAAAAAGTTAATATACAACAGTCAAGTAGGCTTTATTCCTGGGATGTAAGACTGGTTCAACATACACAAATCAATAAATGTAATTCACTACATAAACAGAATTAAAAAACCATATGATTACCTCAAAAGATGCAGAAAAAGCTCCAGTAAAATCCAATATTCCTTCATGATAAAAACGGTTAACAGATTAGGCACTGAAGGAACATACCTCACATTGGTTTCTTACCCTGAAGAATAAGAGATATTATAGTAGGGAAAGCCAAGTGGATGCCTGTGAATCTGTGCCCCCAATCAAACTAAGACAGGAAATAAAAAAATTAATACTGCAACCAAGGAAAATGGTAGAGATTAGTGCTAATTTAAAAGGTGCAAAGAATTCAAAGGCGATGGTTTGTATCAAATCTCTATTCAATTAACTAGAATGGACCCTACTAAAATAGAATGAATCACAGCTGAATGAATTACTACTGCAAACTTAATCAAATAGTGGCCCTAACTGTAGCTGTTACGCCAAATGTACATTTACGAAAGCTGATTACTGAAGCCGCCAGTCTCTAGCCTGACTATTGATCTGGTGAGTGCATTCTTTTCCATCCCTATCAGAAAGGAGAATCAGAAGCAGTTCACACTTGTGTGATAAGAACAAGAGTATACAATTATGATCTTCTCTCAGGTTATGTTAACACTTTGACTCTGTCATAATATTACTAGAAGGGAGATGGGGTGTCTGGCATTCTTCAGAACATCACACTGGCCCAGTATCATGGTAGTCAGATCAGATTAGCAAAAAGTAGCAAGTGTATTGGAAGTCTGGCCAAAGCACATATGCTGCAGGAGGTGGAGATTAAAGCTTCATAACTCAGCACATCAATAACACTTTTAAGGGTCTCCTATGGTTTGAATGTGTCCCCCCATGAATCCATTTGTTGGGAACATAGTCTCCCATGCAAGAGTGTTGAGTGGTAGGGCCTTTAAGAGGTGATTATGTCATGAAGGCTCTGCACTTATGAATGGATTAATGTCATTACTGCAGAGTGCTTTGGTTATTGCCGGAGTGGCTTCCTGATATAAGAATGGGTTCAGCCCATCTCCCTTTACATTCTCTTGCTCTTCTACTTTCTGTCATAGGATAATGCAGCAAGAAGGCCCTTGCCAGATGTGGGCCCCTTGATTTTGGACTTCCCAGCACCCAGAACTGTAAGAAATAAATTTATATTCATTATAAATCATCCAGCCTGTGGTATTGCATTATAGCAGCATAAAATAGACTAAGACAGGGTCCACAGTTCTGGAGAATACCAGAATATTCCCTCCAAATTAAATTAAAAATTGTTGCACCTTACACCTCTTGCTACTAAAAAAAATAGCACAAATATTGATAGTTTATTCTGGTTCTGAAGGCAGCATATTTTGCATAAAGGAATACTACTGTGAGCCATTTGATGGATAACACAAAAGTCTGTGAGCTTTGAGTATTGTTCAGAGCTGGAAAGAGCTCTCAGCAGAAGGACAAGGCTGTGGTAAAAATGGTCTTGACACTTAAGCCATGTAACCTAGGAGCCCCTATAGTAGTAGAGACATCAATGATAGGAAGCATCATGTATAGAGTTTATGGAAAGCCTTGGAATTCTGGGGTTTTGGAAAAAGTCCATGCCATCTATAACAAAGAACTATACACCATCCAAAAGTAGTTCCTGTTGTGATACTGGGCCCTAGTAAATACAGAGCTTTTAACCATAAAGCACCAAGGAACCTTATGGGCACCAGAGCTCCCTCTTACTAGGTGAGGTGAGTCAAAGCCACCCTGTCATAAGTTGGGGCCAGCCTTGCAGCAATCCATTCTAAGATGGACATGGTACAGCCAAGATTTGGCACAAGCAGGGTTGGAGAGCATAAGTAAGCTAAGCAACAGGTGGCACACAGCGCCATGCCATCCCTCTCTGTTGTACTAGCATTTCTTTCAAAGCTCACACATATGGCTTAATAGAAGAGCCTTGACAATCACCTAAAAGAGAGGTAAAATGACCAAGCTTTATTTATAGTGAGCTTCTGACAGATAGTGATGAGGGAAATCCTCCCAATAGGAAGAAATCTGATGTGGTGTGCCATTGGTCATCAACTTTGTGTTGAAAGAACAGTGGCCAAAGGCAGAAAGATAGATACATGAACTGATGGGCAAGGATGAATGGCTTGGTTGTTTGGTCAAGAACATGGAAAAAGAAAGATTAGATGATTAGAGACAAGGAGGTCTGGGAAAGAGACACGTGGATAGATCTATAGAAGTGGACAGGAAGTATGAAGGTTTTTGAATTGCATGGTAGTGCCCACCAGAGAACATCTATTACAGAAAAGGTATTAAACAACTAGATGTAATGACTTGGTCAGCTGATGAAAGCCAATCCCTTTTATTGGCAACTCTGGTACTGGTAAAATGGGTGCGTGAACTACATAGCCACATGGCAAGGATGGAGGCTATGAATGGGATTCCCATTTACTAAGCCTGATTCATTTAGTGCTGGTGTACAGTGGTCCTTGGGGATAGCTAAGAATGTTGGAGATGGGTTAAGATCTTTGAATAAATACCCTGGATTATTAATTGTTCTCATCCTTTTACCATATTAGCTTTTGATTGCCTTTATGTACCAACAGATAGTGCTGAGAGTAATATTTTTCGTAAGCCAGTTTGACTCTACAGTAAAACAATTATCTCAGATACTTCTAGTAAGAATATAAGAAAGAATTTGTCCTCCCCCTGCTCTGAAATCAAGAGCCAGAATATACTTGCCAAAGAAGGGGCATTACATATGAAGGGCATAGCAAAATTATCTATAATAGGGGATGATATGATCTTGCATATTGAAAACTCTAAGGAATTCACATACAAAAAAGCCCTAATGAATGAGAGTTAATAAGTTTAACAAGGTTGCAGGATATAAGATCAAAATACAAAAATTAATTGTAGTTCTATACATAAACAATGAACAATCCAAACATTAAATTAGGGAAACAATTTCATTTACAGTATCATCAAAAAGAATAAAATACTTAGGAAGAAATATAACAAAAGAAGTATAAGAGTTGTATACTGAAAACTATAAACCATTATCAAGAGAAATTAAAGACTTAAATCAATGAAAAGACATTCTGTGTTCACAGATCAGAAAACTTAATATTGTTAAGATAAAAACAGTCCCCAGATTGATTCACAGATTCTACACAATTGCTATTAAATCCCAGCTGTCTTTGTTTAGCAGAATTTGATTAACTAAACTTAAAATTTATATGAAAATGCAAGGGACCCAGAATAGCCAAAAAATCATGACAAGGAAAAACAAAGTTAAAGGATATACGTTTCCTGATTTCAAAATGTACTACAAAGATACAACAATAAAGACAATGCCTTTTTTGTAGTGGTATAAAAATAGACACATAGATCAATAAAATAGAATTGAGGGGCTGGAAATCAAGCCATACATTTATGGTCAATCGATTTTGATACATGTGCCAAGAAAATTCCACAAGGGAAGAGGGCTTTTCAACAAATGGTGCTGAGACAACTGGACATCCATGTGCAAAATAATAAAGTTGGACCCCAATCTTATACCATATACAGTAATTAAAACAAAATGGATCAAAGGCCTTAAACTAAGAGATACAACTATGAAACTCTCAAAATAAAACACAGACATAAATCTTTGTGACCTTCGATTTGGCAATGCTTCCTAAGATATGACACCAAAAGTATAAACAGCAACAAAAAGGTAGAAAAATTGATCTTCATCAAAACTTAAAACTTATGGTCCAAAGGGCACTATCAAGAAAGTAAAAGAACTATTCACTCAATGGGAGAAAATATTTATAAACCATATATCTGATAAAGTTCTTGTATGCAGAATATATAAAGAAAGAACTCCTAGAACTGAACAGTAAAAAGAAAAGTAGCCCATTTAAAAAGATGAAAAAAATATTTAAATAGACATTTTTTCCAAAGAAGGTATACAAATGACCAATAAGCATATGAAATGATGCTCAATATCACTAGTTGTTAGGGAAATGTAAATGAAAATGACAATGAGATACCATTTCCCACCCACTACGATGGCAATAATCAAGACAGATAATGACATATGTTGAAAAGAATGTGCTAATGGGAGTGTAAAATGGTGCAGCTGCTTTGGAAAATGGACTGACGGTTCCTTAAAATATTATAGAGTTCCACGGTGCCCAGTAATTCCATGTTAGGCATATACCCAAAACAACTGAAAACACAAATGTTTATAGCAGCATTATTGAAAATAGCCAAAACGTGTAAACAATACAAATAACCATAATCTGATGAATAAATAAACAAAAATGTGCTATATTCATTCAATGGAATATTATTCAGTCATAAAAAGGAATGATATACTGATGCCTGCTGCAGCCTAGATGAACCTTGAAAACATTATGCTAAGAGAAAGACAGCAGACACAGAAGGCCACATAGTATATGATTCCATTTATATGAAATGTTTGAAATAGGCAAATCCACGGAGACAGGAAATAGAGACTGCCAGGAGTTGGGGGCTGGTGAAGAATGGGGAATGACTGCTACTGGGTATACGATTTCTTTCTTGGGTGATATAAATGTTCTGGAATTGGATAGTGGCAATCTATGCACAACATTTTGAATAAAAATTACTGAATTGTACACCTTAAAGGGGTGAAATTTTTGGTGTATGAATCATACATCCATAAAGCTGTTATTTATAAAAGAGGAATGAAATGGAAGGCATTGGCCCAGGAGGCTGGGTATGGAATGTGAACATCAGGCTGACTTATCATTGTGTCTAGGAATTTGTGCCTAGACATAGGTGCTCCCATTGCTTGGAACATTATCCTTCACCTTTCAGCCTATGCACTTCTTATACTTCTATTATAACAGGAATATAAATGCTGCTTCCCTTCTGTCTGTATCTAAAAGCCTTATGGCAGTACTGCACCCTGGTTCCTCATCAAAGAATTCAACCAGGGATTGACTGCAATCCGGTACTTGCCGTAAGTGCTCTTAAGATGTGCTATTTGAAAGAGGCAGTCTAATGGGCATGTTAACTAGCCATTTTCTTAGACACTCCAAGCTCTATCACTGTAATAAGCTGTATCATCAAAACAATGTTCCTAGGCCACATGACCCAGCAGGGCACAGCCTAACTCATTTCAGCAATGAGTTATGCTGTAATATTATATTCTCTGCTTTTATAGAGGGTCTACATAAAAAATATCTATTTCAGTGGCTTATCTGTGTCTTCCACAAAACTGTAATTGAAGAGCCTTTTCATTACATTACTCGATGACTCTTATATAACGGCCCAGATGATAAATTCCTCTTTGTTTCCAGGAAGTTTGCTTCTGCAGGTAGATAACATGGATGTTTCCTTTTCTTCCCACCCCTCCCCTCTCCTTCCTTCCCTTTCCCTTCCCTTGCCTCTTCTTCAAACATAGAAACTATCTAACAGAATGAAAAACCCTATGCTTATTGAGCATGTGCTCTAAGCCTGCCCCTGCTCTTTATATGTTTTATCTTATTTGACCATCACAATATCCTATGAGATACATACTTCATTGCTGTTCTTTCACAGATGTGCAAACTGAGGCTCAAATAAATTAAATGACATACCCAGCCATTCACATCTTGTAAGTGGCAGTGACGGGGTTGAGTCAAGGCAGCCTGACTCCAGAAAGCACACTAAATCCCGTTCCTTCTTTTACTTAGCTATGGCACTTTCCCACAAGTTTCATTTTCTAAGTCATCTGCAAACCTTTAGAATTAAGAAAATGTACATACTAAGCCCATGTTTGCTTTGTTTCCCACACCTCCTAGCTGAAAATGCTTAATAAGTAATTTGGATTGATTCATTCTTCCAAGTCCTGAAATCTTTGGAAGAATAACCCTACAAAAATTCTGGCAGTTGTTTTTATTAATGATGCAAGGGTGGTAATCACACAGGTTGGAAGAGAGAAGGATAGAACTGAAAACAAAAATAATTCATTTCAGTTTTTACATGGGGTGCCTAGGGGCACTTAGGTACCTGGCACCTAAGTAGTCTAAAGTCTGGGAGTTCTGGGTGCTTGTACGTTGTTGGTGTGGATTTAATCACCTTGTCTGATGTATGTTTTTGTAGAATGACAGATACTCGCTGTTCTACTTCTGAACAGATTTGCTTTGATATGCTTTGGGGAAAAGACCTTTATTCAGCCAGCATGATTCAGCTGGTCCATGGGGCTGCTTATCTGTAAACACACATTGATAAGCCAGCTAGCTCAGAGCCCTCAGAATTTTGACTTAGTTAAGTTTCCTTTCTTTTCTCTCAGCTTCCTATTCTCACTCCATTTGTATAGGTCAGACACTTGGCTTCTAATTGGTTAAGAAAATAAAGGCCAGTAAAGCACCAAGATTTTCATAAGTGAAGTCACTACCTCAGAGCCAGCAATTGACCCTTTGGTTTCTTAGCCTCTGTCCTTCCCAGGAAGCTCTTACTTTCGAGCCCTGAGTACTGCAGGAATATAATAGGCATGCTCTCCAGGAGCTTGCTCCTCAAAGTGTGGTCCATGGACCAGCAGCATCAGCATCACCTGGGGGCTTGTTATAAATGCAGAATCTGGGGCCCACTACAGACTTAGTGAGTCAGAATCTGCAGGTTAATTAAAGTCAGGGAAGCACTGGTTACACACATTGCACCTTAAGGAGTGGAGGCATCTCATTTACCAAACAGAGCTCCCATGGAAGTCCCACAAGTATTCCTTGAACTGAGTAACAAGTGCTAACTTGATGCTCAGGAGTCAGAAATTAGGGCACCAAACACATAGTGTGTGGCTTCAATGGGGCTCTGCTGCTCTTATTGCTCTTTTATGCTCTCTGAGAAGGGATGCACATGTTATATTTTAAATCTTTCCCTCTACTGAGATGTAAAACATCTGGACACTTGGAACATTGCTCCAGCTTTATTAGAAGCCTCACAACAAATGCCATTAGAGTCTCTTCCAGGGAGTCACATGCTCTCTTTCTATGTTCCATCAGTACTTTGTACATCCCTACTAAGAATGCTCCACTCTGAATTGTTCATACATCCCACTGCCTGCTCCCCACCCCACATCATATTGCACAATTGTTTATGTTCTGGAAACATGTTGTGTAGAGTTTTGAATATCCTGCACCTAGCCTAGTGCCTATCACTTAGTGAAGGAAGGAAGGAAGGAAGGAAGGAAGGAAGGAAGGAAGGAAGGAAGGAAGGAAGGAAGATGGAATTTTAGGGAATTGAAGGGACACATTCTGGATGTTGGGGAGTATGGAGCAAACATATGCAAGGAGGTAAATGTTCAGAAAGAGAAGGGAATGAAAAATTTTAGGGAGGTGAGGATGTAGCAGTTGAGTGACATATGAGACAAATGAAGAATAAAGGTCACTTAAATGG
Organism: Homo sapiens; assembly: GCF_000001405.40. Classification (NCBI taxonomy): domain Eukaryota; kingdom Metazoa; phylum Chordata; class Mammalia; order Primates; family Hominidae; genus Homo; species Homo sapiens. The sequence continues at coordinate 177,287,010 of NC_000001.11, read as the reverse complement.
TAAGTATGGATCCAACATGCAAATCCAGATCTGACTTTACATCTTACACAGTCTCCTGTGCCTGTGCCACACTGCTTGTAACATCATGAAATGATAACAGAAATACAATTAGTACCTGCATGGGAACTCCAACTTCCTCTTCCATAGGGGAGCAAACTGGGGGTCAGAGAAGTGGAGAGACTTCCTCACGATGACAGAGCTGGCTGGTAGCAGTACCAGAATGAGAAACCAGAAGAAATCTGTGTGTCTAATGCCATCAGACTACCTAAATTTCCCAATCTATCCTTCCTCCTTAACATGCGTAGTGCATGTTCTAGAGAGAAGGAAAGCATGCCAGGAGTGCAAGCCACAGTTTTGTTTCTTGGGTAAAATGACTCCCTTGGCCCTTGCTCTTTGTGGTTTGCTGTCGGTAGGAGCCAGGACTCTTAGTATACAGCAGAGTATCACTTCATTACTCTCCTTGGCCATGACCCTAGATTCAGACCACAGGAACTATACAGTGCGAGACCTTTGGATGCTGGTGGGACCCAGTCACCTCTAGACTTCACATGGAAGATGTTTTCAGAAATTATCAAATTTTTAATGACATTCAAACTCTCCAATTGGTGGTTTATAGAAAATAGCAACAAATTGAAGGCAGGATGTTGCAATTAAAAAGCATGGAGCTGAGATGGTGGTCATCAGGAAACCAGCAAGTTAATCACTCTATTTCCAGCCTAGATGGAAAAATGCCTACTCTGTGCTTCAAGCTTCTAAGGGGTGAAACATCAGTCCTTTTCCTTCACTTGTCACAGTAGCTGATTATTTTTGCTAAAATCAATTACAGGGAAAAGTGTGAAGATACTTCCATCTCATAGAAGCCTTCTTCTCCGTGGAAAATTGCCTTCTCTCCTCCATCCCCACACTCCTAAGGCCTGGCCAGGGTCCCTGTCATCTCTAGGACCCAAATGTCACTTATTGGTAAAGAGAGGTAGAGAAGGAACCAGATGAGACTTCTATTCCTAGCTCTGATACTAGACACAACCATGAGAAAGTTCTTTAACTTCTCAATTTTTTTTTTTTTTTGACATGGAGTTTTGCTCTATCGCCTAGGCTGGAGTGCTACAGTGCAATCTCGGCTCACTGCAGCCTCTGCCTCCCATGTTCCAGCAATTCTCCTGCCTCAGCCTCCCTGGTACCTGGGATTACAGGCACACACCATCACGCCCAGCTAGTTTTTGTATTTTTAGTAGAGAGACAGGGTTTCACCATGTTGGCCAGGCTGGTCTCGAACTCCTGATCACAAGTGATCCACCTGCCTTGGCCTCTCAAAGTGCTGAGATTACAAGCATGAGTCACCAGGCCTGGCAAATTTCTCAGTTTTTTTCTTTTTTTTCTTTCTTTTTTTTTTTGAGACAGTCTCACTCTGTCGTTGTCCAGGTTGGAGTGCAGTGGTGCGATCTTGGCTCACTGCAACCTCCTCCTGCTGGGTTCAAGCAATTCTCCTGCCTCAGCCTCCCAAGTAGCTGGGACTACAGGCATATGCCACCATGCCCGGCTATTTTTTGTGTTTTTAGTAGAGATGGGGTTTCACCATGCTGGCCAGGCTGGTCTCGAACTCCTGACCTCGTGATCCATCTGCCTTGGCCTCCCAAAGTGCTGGGATTACAGGCATTAGCTGCTGCACCCAGCCAACTTCTCAATTTTTTAACCTCTTTTTCCTCATGTCAGAAATGAGATTGGACCGGATGACCTCTAAAAATCTTCCAACTCCAAAAATCTAATTTTCTATCTTGCCATTGGGTTAACTTCTAAGACTGATTTCTTTTTCAGGGCATTTTAGTTTTCATGCAGAATATAATGGCAAAAAAAAAAGAGAGAGACTTTTCTGAAATGCAAGAGAATCGACCCATCTGATGAAATTGCAGACTTTCAAGTGGTATTTTGGGACAGGACATCATGTCGGCAACATATTCTGTCTACTTACAAGGCAGCTCTGCCTATCATGACCACTATTTTTATATTTTGATAAAGAAAAAAAACACAGAAGAACTGGAACTAAACTATTGTAATACCCAGTATTGGAAGTGATATTCATTTATGTTTTTGGCTGTTGATGCATGAGTGTGCTTGCAGAGCATAGCAATATTTTATTAGCAGGTATTAAATATATTATTTAGTATTAGAGGTATTAGTCTCAAGCATTAGGGCAGATTAGCATTTGATGTATCGTTCTTTGGGGTTACAATTAAAACTTGAATTCCTAATTGTTATTATCCAATGCACGGTTGGAACTATATTGTGATTTTGCTCTTAATTCCACAATGAGTTCACCAACATTGACAATCCAGCACTAATTAATGACAATTCTTTATTTGCAACTGTGTCTGTGGATAGGTGGTTCACATATTTTGATTATTATGGACTTTAAAGGTGACAGTTTCAACTGAGGACAGCCTTTTCTTATTACGGCATTTCTTAGCCAAGCTTTCTGAAAAACTCTGTGCTAAACTCATGGTTTCAAGCCTTTGAAAGCCTCTTAAAGGATGCTACCCATCCCTTACACCCCCTCTTCTTCCACCTGTGTTCTAGAAGCAAAGTCTTTGGCCTGCTCCTTTGACACAAGTTCTTCTACACCAAGCACCCTATCACTGTCCCAGAACAGACAAATCAAACATCTATCACAGGTAACAGATGACTAGGTCAAATATAGACATTTCTACCTCTGTAATTCATATTGGTTAGGCCGTCTATCAATATGATACTTGCATCTGGAATCAAAGGCACCACTAAATATTTACCAATGTGTAGTAGTACTTTTAGATGGAGTTGGTACACTAAGCTTCATAGTTTAAACCTCCAGATAGGCAAGATATGGAAAGCTTAGTAAATGGATGCATATATTCCCTAGAACCACAATACATCACGCCATCATCTTCCTGAAAACCTCCCAAGACAAGAGATCTCATATCTCTGAAATAAAGAGACACAGCATCCTTACTAATAATTCCATAGGTGCGATTTTCTCCCAGTCTGGTTGCTGATACAAAGACAGAAGGCTGAGGTTTCCCATCCCTCACCACAACTGTGGGACTGGCCTAGGTGGGATGTGAGCCCTCATGTGATGACTCTGTTCCCACTGGGGCAGTCATGCTTGTGCTACTGAGGCTCCACACTGCTTTGTGCACTGTACATTCTCAATGGCTGTCCTCCCCACTCTGAGTATTGCTGTGCCTGGCAGTTGACAGTTTGCTAAAGGTGCACCTTTAATTAATGAGTAAGAGTCCCTGTCCATCCACTCCTACTGCCTGTAGACATACACTTTCAGAGTGCTAAAATCAGACTCTGGTATCTACCACTCAAACCCCATCACTGGAAGGTATCAAAGCCTTCCCACCACTTGTCAACCCCTTCCCACCAAAAGCATCCTCATCGGGTACATCTCAACACTCCTGCTGATGATGTCATCTGCCTATTCCATCTCCCATGGGTGAGGAGCTCTGTACAAACTTCCCAAAGCAAGCAGTGACTTTAACTAGAAATAGACAGCCAATAACCGTGCTCACCCCAGATCATCCTATCACTCTGTATTTCTACCCTGGAAGCCTTCAGGAAAGTGGTGAAGAAAGAAATGCCCCAGGCTGCTTATCTACCAAGGATTTCAGTTTCTTATACGTTGAAAGACCATGCAATGATTAAATATAATGTCAAATTCTTCTGCATGCAATAATAAACATAGAAGGCCCCTGGGCAGAGAGACATAATCATTGTCTCATTGTCTTCCATTTCACTTTATGCCAACTGAGATATACCACAGGTAGGAAATGAAATATTTCATATTTATGTGGTGACTCTCTCCTGAACAAAATGGGGGTTGTCATGCCTATGCATTGTGGTTGGAATGTGAAGCATAGACAAAGAAGTGATTCTCCAAAAGAGATGCTATGAAGTGATTCTCATACCACCTGGAGGGAGGCACTAGGAGAAAAGGATGCATTGTTCTGTGTTGTATACATCAAAGCTGCTATTTGGGTTGGGAATGTGGTAATCAGACAGAATGGAGGGAGCCGATGCTACATTTCTGTCTTTCCCAATTTTCTCAAAGGGTGATCCCAGATCATAAGATGCAGCATATGGGAAATTCTCCTAATGTCTGCAGCAGTGTCGACAAAGAGGAGCCCCTTTAGCAGGACTTTGCCCAGTGCAAAGACTGCAGTTCCTCTTACGAGCAAGACCTTTTTAACTATTCTCCCCATGTGGGAAATCCTGGTTTTAGGACCCATGTTAGCCCTCACACCCAGGGAGAAAAAAAAGGTGATGGGAGTGTAGTGAGATAACTCTGGGATAGTACTACCTCGCTTCTCATTTAACCTCTCTCTCTCATACACCCCTCACAGCCCAGTCAACACAGGCACTCATTCACTTGTGTAACTTGTGTATCTGTCAATCAACCAGCTTCCCACACAGTACTATCCCCGCTTCATGGACACTCTTGTGTCATGCAAATAGCAATTAAAAAGAAAAATCCAGGTAACCCAGGGGACTATACTCTCTTTTTTTTTTTCTTTTTTCTCTCATTTTTCCCCCTAAAAAAGGCCTTTTCCAAAAATATATTAAACCAGATAAATGTTTACTTAGATGTTCAGGTGGTTGGAGCAGATTAACAAGGAAAACAATCACAAAATAAATAGTTTTGTTTTGTTTTTGTTATTTTTTTTTAAAAAAGAACATTTCCTACACATTGTCTCTCTCTAACTTGACAGAGCTTCTTTCTTCGACAGAGAGATGCTGTTGGAAAGGAGCTCTGAAGGGACCACAATGGGAACTGGGAACAATCCAGGGCCCTGAAACTTGGTGGGGGGAGGAGGCAGCAGAGGGAGGAGTAAGGGAGGGGAGCAAGGAGGCCGCTGCCTGCCCTTGGCGCTGGTTCCTGTTGGTTGTACTTCTTGTGTTTCCCAGTCAGCGTCTGGGAGGGCACAGAGGAGGCAGCATACAAAAGTAAGAACCAATGTCAGGATTCACAAAACAACAACATTTTAAGAAATCTGGTTAAAAAGAATACAAAAGTGACTCCACAGAGGGGAAGGAAGAGCTCCGACCCCTCCCATTGTTGTCCCCTCTTGCTTTCTTGAATGACAAGAATCACTTTTAGGATTTTTGTTTGTTTCATGGTTCAGCTGGTTCTTTTTCTTAATCTCTTCCTTGGCTCCTTTCTTTCAATTGCATTCATTTTAGAAAGCACCAATCAACTTTACAGATCTGAGGCTGCTTAGTTGTAGCCTCCCTGTGCCAGTGTGTGTGTGTGTGTGTGTATGCGTGCGCGCACGCACGCAGTAGCTGTTTCTCTCTCGCCTGCTTCAGCTCGAGCCTCGAGGTCCCATCTACTGGATGCTGAAAGTCTCGTGGGAGCACACCCTGTTGGCACTAAGGTGAGGGCTTAGATTATCTTTGTACCCCAGATTCATGGATCCCCTCCTTGCCCAGTGCTGAAGTGGGCCGCCCATTAGCTACAGAGTTTGCCGGTCTCATATTCCACAGGGTTTGGCAGCTTAGAATTGAAAGCCCTCAGGGAGGACTGGATCCTGCCCACCTCATTGTTGGCCAGCTTAAGCCGATGCCGGAGCAAGCAGGAGAAAAGGTCAAGTCGGACTTTGCCAGGTGGAGAAAGCTGGTTCACCCGGTCCCTGAGCTCAATGAGCTGCAAGAGTGCAGAGTCCTGGGAACCTTGAGTATATGGGTAGTCCAACTGGAGAATTAAGTCCCGGATAGCATCTGGGTCAAAGGGCAGGCTGTAGCCAAAGACCTGCAAGGTGTTAATTTTCATGTAACCCAAATTCTTAGAGGGATCAGTCATCTCCAGGGGCTCATAGTAGATTGTCTCATTGGAGCTGTCATCCAGGGACTTGATTCGGCTCCGTAGGTAAACATGAACTGTCTCAAAGAAAGTCTTCCACCTATTCCCCAAGGTGATAGTCCAGTTTTGGCACTGGGCAGCTGCATCCACGTTAGTCCTTTCCCAGTCAGGAAAGCTGCCCTCATTCACAGGCATGAACCAGCTCTCAGAGTGGCTGCCCCCAAAGGGGTTGACGTAGATGGCCATGACAGGCTCCAGGGTGCTGTTCTTGGTGAGACAGATCTGCAAGGACAAGGCCAACATCACGTGCACCAGCCCAGGCTTGTACTTGTTGCTCTTCAGGGTGAGCAGCATGCGCTTCCTCCAGGAAGGGTCAAACCAGCTGCCCAGCCGCATGTCATTGCTGATGAAGATGGAGTGTACCTCAATGCGGCTATCCTGCTTCTGCAGCAGGTACTTTAGCTCCAGGTCCTGCAAGTCTGTCTCCAGCCCAAGAAAGTTTTCCAGGGACTCGGCCACCTCTGGCCGGCACAGCCCCTGGGCCAGCACATAGCCCGGGTTGCAGCTCCCACAGCGTGTGCTATTGTCTGGAGCACAGTGGGCACACGCGGGCCCTTCGCCCAAGGCACATGGGATGGGGCCCTGGCAGGAAGATTGGTCATAGGGGCAGGTGCAGCTGTGGCTCTGTTCCAGGAAAGTGCCAGGAAAGGTGCTTTCCCCACAGTAGAGGAGGGACTGGATTCGGTTCCACCAGTAGGACAAGGACCTTGGGGAGCAGAGATAAAATGAAGTAAGAGTCAAAAGAAGTCACACACTGACACCCTTCTTAAGGGCAGCAAGACATTGACCACTAGGCGTGGAAGGCAATGAGGAAAATAAAATCCCCAAGATCTCTGAGTGGCAGAAACTCTACTTTGCTACTTTGGACTGATTGAGCAAAGCCTAGAGCTCTGTGTCTGATGGGTCAGCACCAGAAATACTGGACACCAAATTTGTACTGAGAGCAACAAGGCTCATCTCTCCCAAGTCCTACTTCATTCCCTTATTCAAAAACCTACAGAGGATCTCCAGCATCTTTTGTGTCAAATCTGTTTTCAGCCTTCTAAATAAGATGGTTCTTCAAATCTTCTAACTTCTTGCCAACTTCCATTCCCTCTTCAAGGTTTCTGTCCTTTCTATTCTCTCTGCTCCTCTCACTCCTCCACCAAGAACAGAAATTTTATATGGCTGATTCTCTTAAAATTTTGATTTTAGCTCTTATGTTACCTCTTCAAAGAAGTCTTTCCTGATGTCCCTGCCGAAAGAACCACCACACTCATTCTCCATCACGTAACCCTGTTTTATTCAATCCATGAAAATTATCAGTAGCTGAAATTATTTATTTATTGTTTACTTGTTTATAAACGGCTTCCCTGTTAGTAAATACCATGAAAGAAGGAACACTGTCTTGAGACCAACAGCTTCTCAGAAATGAGAATTGTTTCTGTGCATGGTAAGCCTTTAATCATTATTTGTTGAAAGAAGAATAAATGAACTCCTCTCAAAACCACTTCTTCGTATGCTTCTCTTCTTACCTGTGCCTCTGATAGAGCTGTACCACTGGGTTGCTGGCCGTGAAGGCAGCTCCTTTGCCTGGAAGACTGTCCTACCTCACATGTACCAGATCATTTCCCTCTCTTCCCACAAAATGTGGCCAAGATTTTCTTCTCCAAGGAAGCTTTCATTTCTGGTTTTACCTCTAGGAGACTATCCGTTTGATTTATGTTCTACCACCATAAATTTAAGTGGTTGCCACATAGTTATAATTTTCTAGTTTTTATGTTTCTGTTTGTTAAATCTTTCCAATTCATGAATACCCCTGCAGCTTAATAGTAAGGCATGGAATACGGATTCAAAAACTTGTTAAATAAATAAATGAATCAGTGGATGAACAAGTGGATACTTGTAATGATACAGCCCCACTGTATCCCTGAGGGTGCAGGTCTCCACTTTTTTTCCTCCTGTGACCCAGAGCAGAATCATTTGTTTGACACAAGCCAGTGTGTGTGTTTTTCATCAGATGCAATTGCTGGATGAAATTTAACTCCATCCCTTTTTTTCTAAGACTTATTAAAATGGAAATCAGTAAATGAGAATTAGAGTATTACTAGAATAACATTTGAATCAACTATAATTTAGATAATAGTAAAATCAGCCCATCTTTTTTTCTCTCTCTCACTTCAGACGCAACTCACAGCTGAGAATGACACACATGAGTAGGTCAAGATAACTGGAAGGCTATGTGTGAGTCACCACTCCCTGATCCCCTACATTGGACAGAGGGTTCTCCTTGGCCTCAGCAGCTGTCAGGGGAGGTGCTGAGCTCTGGCTGTAGCAGCCAGGGGGTGCTCACCTCTCCTTGGGCAGGCGGAAGCGAGGCTGGCGATGGCAGCGCTTGCAGAGGTTGAAGAGCCGGCGTAGGATCCGATGGGTCTTTTTGAACAGCACTTTCAAGCCAGCTCCCAGCTGCTGGTAGCGGTGCTGAAGGCTGGTGTCCATGGCCCAGAACTGGGAGATAGCTGTGGAGTTCAGGAACCGGTCATCGGGCAGCCTTTTCAGCAGGGCCTGGAACTCTTCTGTGGACAAGAACACAGGACCTGAGCTGACGGGTAGCTATGCAGAACTCTGGTAGGGGCAAGTGGACGCTGCCCAGATCCAGGGCCCTTCAAAGTTACTGCATGAGAAAGGAGGCTGCACACCCATTTCCCTGGGTGCTTTTTTAAAAAAATCAACACCTTTATTGAGAAATAATTAACATGTTGTAAAATATGGCCTCGGGAACTTTCTCATCTTTTCTACTCCTATGCCTCTGAATTTCAAAACAGATCTCTGCCACCCTCAGAGGGGCCAGAGTTCCTGCTATTGCTAATGACCTTGGATGCATCTCTTTCCCCCTTTATACTTCCTTCTAAGACATCCACAACACTATCTCAAGGCCAATCCTCTTCAATAACACCACAAAACCCATATGGAACATGTGGGGCCCTCATGAAGGTGAGTGTGCACCCAGACTGGCACATGTGGGCACAGAGGAGATGCAGCACCCAGCTCAGAAATCTTTCTATAAATCCTCCAGTCCCTGAGACCAGCCTCTCCCACCCATGTCCTCCTCTCTGACTAAGATACTCTTCTTCTCTTTTCAGCTTCAGCTCTTGGACAGATATCCATTCTGCCCTACAGCAAATTTAGAAGCAACCTGCCTTCTGCTTCTAAGCTCCTGCTGAGTCTAGGTTCTCCTTAGAGCTTCCTGGGCACACCATGGCTTCTGAACTCATGCTCAGGTTTCTGTGCATTGCTCTGCTTTTCCTTGGGACCTGCAGCTACCAGGTCTCCTGGTAGAGGTCTAGAGAGCCCTGATTTATTCATCAGCAGTAACTCATAGTAGTAAAGGCCCAAAGTCATGTTATGGACCATAACCCACCACCATAGCCCAAAGCATGAGCCTGGGGACTGGAATGTGATATTCTCCTTCGCTACCGAATGCCTTGTCCAGGACTTAAAATGGCAACCCCTGGGGCCTCAGCTCATTTTGATTTCTCATGTACCTGGTTCCTCATCTCCTCAGAAGATTGGAGAATCATGCCTAGTAATGGCACTAACATCTAGTATGTGCATAGGTAAAACATTTGAGTGTATGGAAGAGCATGCAGAGCAAAAAGACAAATCCCATGTGTCTGCCATTAGTTTTTGCCATTTTGCCATATTGGCTTCAGATTTTTTTTTCTTTAAGAAATAAAGCAAACCAAATATACTGCATGTGAGGGCCCTAAACTTCCCTTTCTCTCTATCCAGATGTAACCACTCTCTTGATGTCTTCTTTTCCATTATCACATATTTTTTATTTTTCAACAAATGTAGTTATCCATAAAAATACCATGTATTGGGTATCCTGTTTGTAAACATTATATAAATAGTATTACATATGTATTATACTTAATAAATTATAGTATTATATGAAGACATTATATAAATATATATATAATGTAACCTTTTTGTCTTGCTTTGTTTTATTCAACATCATGTTTTTGAACTATATCCACATAAATATCATTCATTTAGTGTTGAAATGTGCAAATATACCATGCAGAGTTCTTTATACATTGAGCATCTACATGATCTCATGTGAGCCTTCCATTCACTATTATCACTCTCCCTCTTTTTCAGATGAGGAAACTCGAGACCTTGAGAAGCTGCACGGCTAATCCAAGGTCATAAAGCTTGTCAAACCAGGCAAGGATGCAAAACCAGTTCTCTTGAATCTAGGTCTCAAGGTAACTGATATTAGCTTTAACAGCAACAAACAACAACTGAATTGTATTGGATGTCATCTAGAACCATTCTATGCACTTCATTGATTCAACAGATATTTATAGCGAACCTTATGTGCAAGCATTGCTCTAGGCACTGTGGAAGCAGTAGCAAAAAAGACAAACAAGGTCTGTGCCCTTAATTATGTTTATCTTTGTTTATTAAGTCCTTAAAACACACCTATGTAAATGGACATAATACCAATGTCCTAGAAAAAAATGAAACCACTTGAGCCTCAGGGTGGTGATATAACCTGCTTGAGGTCACAGACACAATTAAGTGGTCATGTCAGGATCCCCATGAGGATCCTCAACTCTCAAGTTTTGTTCTCCCCATGTTCTTGCTCTGTACCTCACAGCCACCTCTCATTGACAGGGAGGAATTCTGGCTGCTCACCTGACTCTTCAAACTGCCGGTTGTGAGTGGCCCAGGAGTCCTGGATCTGCAGCAGGCTGTCCTCCATGGCCTGGATGTCAGCATCAGGGCAGTTGCATTCAGGGAAGGTGGGGCTGCACTTGCACCAGCAGTCATTCTCCTTGCAGACGAGCTCACCCTCAGAGCTGCATGTGATGTAGCTGAGTGCTGCAGCTACAAAGCGCTCACGCAGATACTCAGGCAGCAGCACCTGAAGGCCTGGGGAAAGGATGTGTCAAGGAATCTCTGGGAAGAACCAGTGAGGACTCAGTTTCCCATGCCCAAGCCTGCAGGAATCCCAGCTGGAGTTCTGCTGACTTGTGCATCCTGGGCCCAAGCATGGGCACCACAGGGCCTAATCCTGCTGAGCTGGTTGGGGGAGAAGGCTACTACTGCCCCAGTGACAGATGGGGGAGGATCTGAAAATGCAGATGGGAAAATCAAAGCCCAAGGCTTAGCTAAACCCCTCAGATCAGCCAAATTGAGAGCGTGCATATCATAAGAACAGGCTTATTGGCTACACATCAGCATTTCTGGGATGGAAACAGGAAGATGTTTCAGATAAAAGAAGAGCTTACAGCCCTCTTGGGTGAGAAAACAAGGTTTGATGGGCTTTTTGCCCTGCCTCCTGTAGCCATCCTGTTTATAGCTTAACTGAGATTAGCAGTAGGCATCCTAGGACATTATTGAATTCTGACCCTTCTGGGCCTCCCCACCCTAGCTCTGATGACCAAGGAAGCTGTCCTGGTTAAGAGATAGGAACAGATATTGTGGGGATACAGTGCCCAGGTACTATGTTGAGTACTTTTTATATATGATTGCAAATAACATTTGTGCTCATATTGAGGTTTTTATAGGTAAGGAAATCCAAGTCCTAAGACCACAGTGACCTGCCCAAATCACAGCATTCATAGAATCTGCTTAGTGTCAGATCCTGCCCTTGTCTCATCAGCTAATACTATATAACTGGGACTGGCTGTCCTATTTCAATAGGATTTAACTCTGAAGAAGATTTGAAGGTGGGATGGTGGTCAATGCCCTGAGATCAGTCATGCCTGGATAGATATGAATGGCTCTCAGCTCTCTTCCAATTAACTTCTGATCTTGGATAGAATGCACTAAATTGCTCTGAGCTTCAGTTTTCTCACCCAACTGCAGTAACTACCAGTTTACCTACAGCAGAACATACTCCTAGTTGGCTTCAAGCCACTCACAAGGCGGCTGCTGGAAGCTTACCAAAGGATGAACAAAGGGTAGGCATGCCTTTGGATGCAGTCTGGGCCACGTTCGAGGTCAGATCTGCAGGAGGCTCCCCAGTAGCGACACTGTGAGACCTTGTGCCAGGAAAGTGAGGAATATGAGAACTTCTGGATATGGTGAGCTCCTCTTTCCTCAAACGTCTGCCAGCTCTTTATTTTTAGGCCCTTGACCTTGTCCTTGGCAGGAAACCAGAGAACTCAAAGTATGTATCCCAGTCTCAGCAGACCTCAAAATATAACTTAAAATTGCTAGCAGCAGTGGGTGTTTGTTGTTCTTTCTTGAGGTCTACCTCCAATTCTGTACTGCCCCTAAATTTTCCTTCCTTGGCACTGTGCCTACTGTGGCATTTGAGTGGTTCCCCTCACACACCCAATCCACATGCTTGCTTTCAACACTCACCCTCTCCAAGTCCTTTCATTTCACCTCCCCCATCACTTCCCTCCTCCTCACCAGAACACTTCCCATGCTATAAAATCAGTGCCCCGACAAATGTCTGCATGAGTGTTGGGGTATAAAATTAAATAGCATAAACTATTCCAAATGAACAACTAGACATTTTGAACTTCACTCACTGCTACTTTCCAGACACAAACCCAGCCCATCCAGGGACATCAGTGAAGAGGAATGCTAATTGCCTTAGGTAGCTCTAAATAAACGAGTTTTTAGTCCTCTTTCTTATATATTTCTTAATTCCTAAAGCATTGCTGGGTCGCATTTGACTCAGGTTGCCTGGAATTTGTAATCGTAGATCCTGAGTGAGGGTTATTGATTTTGTAATGCTGAGACAATAATATCTTAAACAGAGTACAATTCAGTTAGGCCTTGAGAAAAATAAAGTTTTCCCACTGAATCAGTTTGCATAGCCCTGCCCCCAGGATGCCTGCAGGGAACAGACAGCAAGAGATGCACGTCTCCCCTTAGCCCTCAGCCTCCAGGGTTAGTGTGGTTTTCTTTCCTTTATCTTTCACAGTTTTGCTTGTTCTGTCTCAGATCAAAAGTCTTATTCTTCTCAAACTCATCTCCTGACTTTGAATTGCCCATGTGCAAGATCACAGACAAATAACAGAAAGCAGGGGCCACCTTCAAACTGTGGTTCCAGTAAGTAGTGGTCCCCCACTTTGTACAGATCTTAGTTGAGCTGGAGATGGTAGTCTTCTAACCACTCTGTAAAGGCCAGCTATTACTCAATGTGTCTTTAGGATAAAGCAGAGGGTTTTCTGGGAAATGAAGATCGTTGAACTAGGTAAAGGCTTCTTATAAGGATGGGTATGCTGTTTCTTATAGGATTGTGACAGAGGACTTGAGATGGAATGTGAAGTGGGATGATTGAGGTGTCATGTGATATAAGCAATGGGTCTGGGGTATAGGACAAACCATACCAGAAGGTTTCTTAAAACATGATGGAAAGTTGTTAAATACAGGTTCCAGAACTTGTGGTAGTTCTTGTCTTAAGAAAGGTTTGATCAAATGGAACAGGCAGAATTTTTTCCCGCTATTTGATCTAGGAATTTTTTTTTTTAAATCAGGTGTGAAAGGTATGAAAACCATCATAGTGCTGCTTACCAAGTAACTGTACTTTGTTCTCTGGACTCTGTACCAAGACAGAACTGACTGAGTCCAGATTGTCATAGTTGCTGCAGCCCAGAGGACCGGTCCTGGTCTCGGTGACCTAGAGAAGGAAGGAGTAGGGAGTGGGTTTAGATAACAAGTGGAGACTCCCTTTATACTTCCCTTCTCCAGCTGCTCCATCTCAGGTTCCACATCCTGTCCTTGACCAGCTGTAGAAGTGATACGTCCCTTTTCGTACTCCAGAGGTATAAAGTCACTTTCTTCCTTGGCCTGAGGCAGTGAGTATCTGTTACATATAGCTGGCAGCAGCAGTTATATATAAGTAAGAGCCTTTCAGAGAGAGCTAAAGGGAATTTGTGTCTGGAAAGGCGGAGAATGCTGGAGAAGGAGTGAAACCTTAAGCTCTAGTCACCCCTTCTCCCTCCAGAGGAAGGCAAGAGGCCATATGTGGTCCCTGTCAGCCTGCTGGAAAGCCCAGCTGCATCCACTTGATGTGGTACTCACAGACTTTACGGATCCTAAAGATGAAAAGCACTAGAGAAATATGAGTTATGAGTATTAGTATTAGTATTAAACATTTAAGTCCCACCTCGGCACTGAGACATCCTTAGAGAAAATCAGCTATGGGCTTACTGCATATTTTAATAAGTATATTAAATATACATAAACTCTTATAGCCATGTAATATTTCAAAACACCATAGAGTCATTTAAAAATATTATAAAGTTGGCCCATCAGTTTTCCCTGATGTTTAAAGTATAAGATGAAAAATGGGAAGCTTTAAATGCACTAAAATAATTATGTAATAAGAATGATGGGGACCTGCGGCCCTTTCTCAGGATCTCTGAAGTCTTTGCCAACAATCAATCAACAAGTATTTATTGAGCAGCCACTGTTTAATTCCATACAATTCTTCAAACATTTATAGTGCACCTTTCCTGAAGTTAATCGTGAAGCCCACTCTGATACCTCTGACGTCCTCTTCTGGCTTCAGGCCCCCCTGCTTTGCAGCAGGCACAGGAGTTGCAGTTTTGCATCCCTTTCTGCAAGTATGTGATCCATGTCTGAATCCTACACTCTATAGGCTCCAAAGAGGGAAGCTCATATTTATTTTGCTCACCATGTTGTCGACAGCAATTAACACAGTTTCTGGCACACAGTAGGTACTCAATAAACAAGAGAATGCATGTATAATACATTCCAGGCTTTTCAGGGTAGGGAGGTGTGTGCAACAATGTACACATTGTGTACTGCATCCTCCAGGAGATCACACCCTGTGGGGCAGGTAGGTGCATACACAGCTGACTGATAGACATCCAAGTCACAGTAGAAGCCCACATCATGATGAGCTCTAAGGAAGCACAGCTCTAAACAAAGGGAAACAAGAGAGGAAGTAGCAGAAGAGGCACCATCTGTGTTGGTTCCTAAGGAGAAGTAGGGAGTGGACAGGTGGGAAGAGAGGAAATGTACTACAAGGAAAAGGAGAAGGGACAGTGTGATCTCTGCAGCACACAGCTTGGAAGTGCATAGTGCATGTGTCTAGCACCCTGCCTTGTTACCATGGTGAATATGAAAGTGTAAGGGACATTCTTCAAGGGAGTTTAGTAGACCTAGGTTTAAAAAATACACATGGAGCAGAGTGATAAAGTGAGAGATTGTGTGATGCTGAGCAAAAACAGTCGGGAGAGAGGCAGGAAGGATTCCTGTAGCTTGAAGTAGTCCACGAAGGCTTTATGAAGGAAGTAAGCCATGAATTCATTTTCAAGAATGAGTAGGGGTGGCAGGGAAGGGAGGGGAAATTGAATAAAGAAAGGTATTTCTTTTGTGCTACCCCACACAAATACCAAGGGGTAGCAATAGACACAGAGCATGAGAGGCAGCAGGGAGAACTAGACCGAGGCCACGCCAGGGGCAGGGACAGCTTCTCTACAGTTTTCCAAATTCTTCCTCCAAGAGCATCCCACTTAACTTTCCCAAGAACTCTCTGGGACAAATCTCATTACTATCACTCTCCAAGGAGGAAAGTAAGGTTCAGAGTTACAGTCCTTGAGACCACAGAGCTGTTGAGTAGCAGAAACAGGATTCTAACTTTAGAGTCCTCAGACTCCAGTTCAATACCTTTTTGTCTCCTGAGCAGGTAGGTCAAAGGACTGCAGAAAATAGAGTCTAAACCCTTTACATGCCATCACTGTCAAACACAAGTATTCTAAACAGACCAGTCCACCCAACATATTTTAGTGATCTCTTCTCTCCTCAGAATGTTAACATTGAGCAAAACAAATTGTACTGACTTCAGATCAATTTGATTATCCTTACAATGCAGATTAGGAAACCAAGGCTCAGATAAGTTAAATGACTTATTCCAGGTCATACAGTCACCTGCAAGGATAAGATTTATTTGGTTCACTCATTCATTCTTTTATTTACTCATTTGCTCATTTAACAAATATTCAAGGAGCATTTGGAACTCGCAGATGAATAAGACATAGTCATGGCCAGTAAGGAGCTTAGAGACAAGTGGAAATGTACTTAAACAACCCCAGTGTTCTGGCTGTTACACATGAGCCTGCCTCCCTCCACATGTGGACACAGGTGCTGAATCATGTTTCTTTATTGGGTGAGTGGGTGATTGGCTACTGGTCAGACTGGACTGGGGAAGCAGAGGCAGCCTCATTTCAAGGTGAAGTCTTCACTTTCTATATAGTGTTGAATTCCCCATATGAAGAGCCATGGCCAATAACTGTCCCAGCTACTCTGGGGAAGTTTGCCCCTCTAGGGTAGGGTGGGCTGAAGGACAGAGGTGGGACACAGGGGTATGGTATTTGGAGGCTTGCCTGTCCCTGCCTACAGGTAAGCTGCCCACTCCGTCGTCATTGGGTTTTTCACTGGCTTTTCCATCCACTTACTCCTGACTTGGTCACTCACCAACCAGGTCCAGGAAAGAAGGAAGCTAACAAGCCTTAAGTGGGAATAAGATGTGACCCAAAGAGGAGGACAGGCTAGAGAATAGCCACAATAGGAGCTTTCCTTTCCCCCCACTTCTCCCTCCCCCATCCCTGCCTGCCACCAATGCATCTGCTTCCCGCCCCCCACCATCATCTTGTTCATCATGCTGGGCTATCTTTGATGCAATTTTCTGACCTTTACTCTGCTGTTCTAAAGGTCAGTCCCACAAGAGGACAATCAATTAGGTAAGTCATTAAAAGGGTGTGAGTAACTTCACTTTAATTGTGGCACAAGGATGGGAATTAGGAGACAAAGACCATGATCCTCATGCTCATTTCCTGTTAGAGTGAAAAACCCACAGAGTGAGAAAGGCCCACTCAAGTTTCACTAGTTTCCAGAGTCATAGTGCTTTTCATTGCTATTCTGCTCTGACACACTGTCTTCTCCCTTCAGAAGTAAAGGAGGTGAAAAGAATAGAGGGAGCTGGAGAGGGTCCCATTGCAGTTATTGCCTGAGTACTGACTTGAGTAAGCAGAATAGCTTGAGAACCACCCCCCCCACCCCTTGCCCCAAAGTGAGGAAAACCTCAGCATCTCTGGAGGGTTGTTCAAGAGAATCCTGCACTTTTCTTTGTAGAAGAGGCAGACAGCTTTGGCAGATTATAAAGAGAGCCTATACAGGTAATGGAGAGTGCAGTTCACTCAGGCACACACTGTTCAAAGAATGCCTCAGATAAGCTTTCAGAAAGAGCTAATAATTGTGTGCTAATTGGTCTGTTGACAGAGACCATCCTGCCTTGAGAAAGCCCTGATGGATCTCAGGTTCATTAGCACTTCCAATTTTCCATAAATACCAGATCATGCAAACCCTCATTCCAGCCAGTCTGCTCTCCCCACCCTCCACCGTCCACTTTCAGGCTGCTCTTGTCCTACCTAAGGGGACACCTGCAAACTAAGAGCAGAGTGAAATGGGCTTCTAATTGTGAGCAATCAGAGGGATGGGAGAACAGAGCTGATGGTGTACGTGCTTTAAAAAGCTGCAAATTGAATCCCAGGCTGCTGCAGTGAGGAATTCGGACAAGTCACTTTTAAGGAGGTTTTGTGAGAAACTCTTTTTCCATCCTGGGGTCCACCTGAACTTTTGTGTGAACTCCCTTCAGTCAGCTTGTGAGCATGTCAAGCCCTCCCCACCAAGTCCTTCCTCAGCCTTCAACTAAATAGAGGGTGAGCTGTAATTTAGAAACAAGCTCCTTCCCTTCTTTGTGGCTCTAATCCCTTCTGGGGAATTATGGACAGGATGTCTATGTATACAACCCTTCACAGTGTGCAAAGTGCTTGCTGTGCTCTGTATCATTTGGTGATACCCCAACCCTATGGCAGAGCCAAGAGTGATATTCACAGTATTTATCAGCAGGTAGAACAGAAGCACATTAACTCATCAGAAGGGATGGCAGCCCTAGTGCCAGGGCAGGGCTCTAGAGGCCTCCTCAGGTATACTCTCCCTTTGGTTACCATCAAAAGGAAATCCGGGGGCTGCAGGGGAGGAGTATATGTGGTTAGGGTAGTACATGGGGGTTGGAGTGAAGACTATTCACTGGCTGTATAGAAGTGTTTCAATATTTTAAAAACTGATGTAACCACATCAGCTGAATGTAAGCCCTGTGTGCAGGTGAGTCAGATAGTTGGTAATATGCATCGTGGATGACAGAAATAGAGTTCAATGACTTCTCAAGGTCATAGAAATAGACAGCATCAAGGCCAAAACCAATCCCGTCTTCTTAGTTGAGTAAGTTTGTTTCCCACTAAACCATGTAAGTCTGCCTTCACCTCTCAAGTATTTTATGAAAAATCTTGCCACATGCCAGACAATACTCTAAAGGGACCTGGAGCTGTGTACCTGCCACAGAGTCTCTGCTGCTCTAAGACCTAGTGTCTTGGTGAGTGTATGTGTCAGGAAGGTGATAGGCATGTAAACATCCTCAATGTAAAGTGACAAATTCTGCAATAGAGGTGTGTGCCAATTTGGGTAAACCTTCCAACAGAGGGGGATGTTCAGTGAGGTCTTAAGGAATACATTAAATAAACAAAAAGGTGCATATGTCCATGTTAGTGCAAAGAAGTTGCTAAGTAAGGGTAGTAAATGTACATCTGCTTAGGGGAACAAGAAACAGGCAGATATGCTGGGGAACTTTTCCTCCACCAAGGCAGAGTAGGTAAGCAGAATACCCCATCCCAACTCCATCCACCTCTCTCAAGAGTAATGAATGTGCTGGAAGCCAGCTGCTGAGTAGAGGAAGGTAGGTGGCAGGTGTCGTAGCACCAACAAAAGAGTGTTAGCTAGCAAGGATGTGCTGCTGTGTATATCCAGGCTATTGGCCTTTGCTGTATGGATCTGTAAGTACTAAATGTGTGAGAGCAAAGTAATGTTCCCTGGCAGACAACTTTACTGCCAGGACAAAATGGGCATGTCAATCCCATAAAGTGAGCAGAACTGTGGGGTGGGATGCCAACACACAACTTTGCTCCTTAGTCTAGCAATGGGTCCTTGAACAGGCCACATCAGGTCTCTAGACCTTGCTAAGTTGTGTAAATGTGAAAACTTGAAGAGAAGAAGGTGGGGGAAAACAAAATCATCCTTGTTTTTTCATGGTTTTCTTCCTAGGGGGAGAAGCCATTGTACTCCCAGACAGAAAAAAATCCCAGATCAGTCAGCCCAGTGGAAGCTGAATATTCATCTCACTTTCAATGTGTTCTTAGAGAATCTTCAAAAAGTGGTTTCCAAGGATGGTGACCTCTTTTGAGGAGATGGGCAGTGGCTCTAATTCTGGAAAGTGCATTAATAGGCACTATAAAAAATGTAGTTTGGGCTGTCTAACCACCTTTAACTCCACCACCCACAGACTGCTTAAGAGGCAGGTCCAGAAAGCCATAGTTATGACTATGCAAGCCCAACTCTTTGTATTAAACTAAGGGTAGACTTTGAACCAGATTCTTTCTCAAGAGAATTGAAAACTATGATACTGAAAGAAAAAATTTACAAGGTGATTGTAGATACTCATAAAATTCAAATAATAAAGAATTATAAAGCACCTAAAATATATCAGGAACCGAGGACATGGCGATGAACAAAGTAGTGATCTCTGCCATGGTGGCATTGACCAAGAGATAAAATAGAAAGATAATATTCAGCCAGAGTCAACTCCACAGCAAGCCAAAGTTACATGTAAGTTGAAGTCATCGAGGTACAGAAAAGTATGGAATAAATAGATAAAAGATCTCCAACTAGGGAAGCAAGAAGATGACACAGATGGAGATGAAAAAGTAGTGACACGTATTTCAACAAAAAACAAAAAGAATAACCTGGGAGTATGACCATACTTTTCCAAGTTCGTGTGCCTAGGTTAGATTTAGTGCCTAGTCTTTGGAGAGCTGTGATATTTTTCACCAGAGTTCTCTTAATAAACTATTCTTATATTCAAGCTACCTTGAGTAGATCTCTGTTTCTTTCAACTAAGCATGCTTATATGTACTTGCATACACACTGAGCAGAAGAGCCTAATCTATGTGGAAAATGCCATGTCCAGGGACTCATTCATTAATTCAACAAACCTTTACCCACTGCCCACAGTATGGGAAGCTCTGTACTTTTAGTGGGAAATCATAGTTGAACAAGACCCAGCCTCTTCCACAAGGACCTCATAGTCTCACGTGGAAGTCATCATGTTAGCTGACATACATTCAGTTTTACAGTTCAAATGATATGCCTTATAAAAGAGGCATATGTTTGAAACCCTAAAGGGGCATTTGACTACCTTGGGAGTTAGGAAAGGCTTCACAAAAGAGTAACTTTTTTTTTTCTTTCTTTTTTTTTTTTTTTTTTTTTTAGAGTGAGTCTCCCACTGTTCCCCAGGCTGGAGTGCAGTGGCGTGATCTCGACTCACTGCAAGCTCCACCTCGCCAGTTCATGCCATTCTCCTTCCTCACCCTCCCGAGTAGCTGGGACTACAGGTGCCCGCCACCACGCCCGGCTAATTTTTTGGTATTTTTAGTAGAGACCGGGTTTCACCATGTTAGCCAGGATGGTCTTGATCTCCTGACCTCGTGATCCGCCCTCCTCGGCCTCCCAAAGTGCTGGGATTACAGGCGTGAGCCACCGCGCCCAGCCAAAAGTTACCTTTTTAAGCTGAGCAAAGGGTGAGGGGGAGCCATTCAGGTGAACAGACAAGCATTACAAGTAAAGCAAACAGCAAGTGCCAGGAAAGTGAGATATGAGAATATGACATATTTGAGTAAAGCCTGATATTTAGGTATGATTGGGTTATACAATATGAATGGAAGGTGAAGAGTAGAGCAGGGAGTAAGGGGGCTGAGAAAAGTACCAAAGGACTTGTTAAAAATGAAACTAGAAAGACAGCAGAGACAGATTTTCAATAGTCACATCGTTTAGTTAAGAACAGGAATTAATCTTTTTCACACTCCAGCAGTGCTATGGTTAATATTATTATTATTATTATTATTATTTTGAGATGGAGTCTCACTCTGTCACCCAGGCTGGAATGCAGTGGCATAATCTCCACTCACTGCAAGCTCCAGCTCCTGGGCTCATGCCATTCTCCTGCCTCAGCCTCCCAAGTAGCTGGGACTACAGGCGCCTGCCACCACGCCCAGCTAATTTTTTGTATTTTTACTAAAGATAGGGTTTCACCATATTAGCCAGGATGGTCTCCATCTCCTGACCTTGTGATCCGCTCACCTTGGCCTCCCAAAGTGCTAGGATTACAGGTGTGAGCCACCGCAGCTGGCCTACACTTTATTATTAAACCTCATGGAAAACTTCAAGATAGAAATTATTTTAATTGTGCAACAATTTTAGGATGAGTAAACTGAGGTTCTGAGAAGTTTGGCAACTTGTTCAAAGCCCCACCATGAGCAATGGCAGAATTCAGACTCTTGGGTTGCAGCCTATGTTCTTTCCATTGCATCACACTGCCACCCAGGATGGGGAACAATAGTTTGGGCTCTGTCCCATGTACAGTTTGGAGCCACTGAAGCATTTTAGGCAGGGAGCAATATGATACAATATGATATGATGATTTGCACTCATGGTAGCAACCTAGAGGTTGAATCAGGGAGAAGAGCTGAGAATAAAAATAAGAAAACTACTTAACAGGATAATGCAAGAAAATCAGGTAAAAGTTGATGAAGTCCTAGATTAAGGAAATGGCAGTGGGCATGAAGAAGGGACAAAGGGCATTTTGAAGACATATGCAAGAGAATGATTATATTGCCTAGGTTTTCTTCTATGGTTTTTATGGTTTAAGTCTTTAATCCATCTTGAGTTAATTTTTGTTTAAGGTGTAAGGAAGGGGTCCAGTTTCAGTTTTCTGCATAAGGCTAGCCAGTTTTCCCAGCACCATTTATTAAATAGGGGAATCATTTCCCTATTTCTTGTTTTTGTCAGGTTTGTCAAAGATCAGATGGTTGTAGATGAGTGGCTTTATTTCTAAGGCCTCTGTTCTGTTCCATTGGTCTATATATCTGTTTTGGTACCAGTACCGTGCTATTTCGGTTACTGTAGCCTTGTAGTATAGTTTGAAGTCAGGTAGCATGATGCCTCCAGCTTTGTGCTTTTTACTTAGGATTGTCTTGGCTACGCGGGCTCTATTTTGTTTCCATATGAAATTTAAAGTAGTTTTTTCTAACTCTGTGAAGAAAGTCAATGGTAGCTTGTTGGGGATAGCATTGAATCTATAAATTACTTTGGGCAGTATGACCATTTTCATGATATTGATTCTTCCTATCCATGAGCATGGAATGTTTTTCCATTTGTTTGTGTCCTCTCTGATTTCCTTGAGCAGTGGTTTGTAATTCTCCTTGAAGAGGTCCTTCACATCCCTTGTAAGTTGTATTCCTAGGTATTTTATTCTCTTTGTAGAAATTGCGAATGGGAGTTCACTCATGATTTGGCTGTTTGTCTATTATTGGTGTATAGGAATGCTTGTGATTTTTGCACATTGATTTTGTATCCTGAGACTTTGCTAAAGTTGCTTATCAGCTTAAGGAGATTTTGGGCTGAGACGATGGGGTTTTCTAAATATACAATCATGTCATCTGCAAACAGAGATAATTTGGCTTCCTCTCTTCCTATTTGAATATGCTTTATTTCTTTCCCTTGCCTTATTGCCCTGGCCAGAACTTCCAGTACTAGTTAAATAGGAGTGGTGAGAGAGGGCATCCTTGTCTTGTGCCGATTTTCAAAGGGATGGCTTCCAGCTTTTGCCCATTCAGTATGATATTGGCTGTGGGTTTGTCATAAATAGCTGTTATTATTGTGAGATGCGTTAAATCAGTACCTAGTTTATTGAGATTATAGTGATGAATCAAGGAATTTAAGAAAATGAGGCCATTAAAGAGTGAGGAAAGTGTAAAGTTGGTCAGGTCAAGGAACAGGAAGGAACATAAATGGGATCTTTAAGTTGTAGACCCAATGCCTACCTTTCATTTTCTGATATGATCCATTTTTCTCCAACTTTGACACAGTCCCCTACAGGACTAAATGGGGAGAGAGGCTTTCACAGAGTTCTGTCTTCTTGGTAAAACCTACTCCATGCCACAGTGATTTCTAGGTGGCACTGAGAGCCAGCTTGAGACTCATGGCCATAATTATAACATAAGATCACTCAGCATAGTTTTAAGTTTTATCAGCTGCATTTAGCAGTTCACGTACAGGAAGGCATGGAATAGATGGAGAGTTGGATTTAACCAGGATGTGTGTGTATACATGATGAAAGATAAAAGAGGGAAGAGAGTTAAGAGTAAAAAAATCACATCAGTGAGTTTTTAAATCATTTTAAACTGTCTAAGATACTAGTCTCTCAAATATACCCTACCTCCCTGTTAATAGAAAGTCATCCTTATCTCTTCTACTCTCACTCCAGACTCTGTAAATCCCCTAATCTCACCTCTTCTCTTCAGTTAACTTCCACTGTGCTCTGTGGATCTCATGATCAGTTCTTAGCAAAATCCCATATAATCTCAACTACTTCTCAAGAGTGCACTTTGCCTTTCGGTTCTAACCACGATATAGCTGACCCTGAGGACATGGTTTCCCCTGCAGCCTTCTCTAGCAGTGGCCATCTCATTTCCCACCCCTCATGCTCCTGGGCATGGAAGTAAGGAAGGCGCTCCCTTGTGATATCCTGAACACTGTTCCTTCATCCTCTCTAATGATCTCTGGCTCCTTTGAAGCCAGAACCACTGGACTCTTAGCACCCACTACCTGTCCTCATTGCAGTTTATTTTTCTTGTTACTCCCCCTCATTCATTGCCATTAAGTGATTACATAGGGAATGCAGTTACTAATAAAATTAGGTTCCAGGGCATAGTATTCCTTCTATAATCTCAATATTAGGCATCACCCACTCATACTTGCTCTAGTCTCTTTCCCTAATGAATTGTCAAACCTACTTAGACTTTTAACCTTTATACCTGACCAACTTTTCACTTTCTAGCATCCTCAAAGGCTTCTTTTCATTCCTTGGCTGAATTATATTCCATGGTCCATTACTGTAATCACTCCTTTGTGTATATTCTCAACTCTCTTCCCTCTTTTATCTTTCGCCACGTATATACACACATCTTTGTTAAATCCAACTCTTTGTCTATTCCATGCCTACCTATACATGAACTGCTAAATGTAGCTGATAAAACTTACGACTATGCTGACTGGTCTCATGTTATAATTATGGCCACCGAAGCGGGCTCTCAGTGCTACCCAGAAATCTACTGTGTTTATCTAGCCAACCAACACTCTTAGCTCTTATTCTCAAAAGACCATTTCATAGATTATTTTCCCAACTATTCCCTTTTCTTCCTGTTAGCCAAAGACTTTCCTTCTGTTTAACCTAGGAAATCAAGAAGAAGAAGCCAATCAAAAGAAAACAACAGCACTATCTCACCATGCAACTAATATCCTGCTGCATTTGTCTTTGTGCCCTCTGCATTGCCGCCTGTTAGGAAGGATGAAGCACTCAAGTTCCTGGGTAAGAACAACCTCTTTGCTCCTATGATTATCTTCTGTCTCTCCTACATCATCACTTTCTCCCTCTCTATGGAGGCTTTTTTTTTTTTTCCAGACAGAGGCTTGCTCTGTCACCAGGCTGGAGTGCAGTGGCGCAATCTCAGCTCGCTGCAACCTCCGTCTCCCGGGTTCAAGTGATTCTCCTGCCTCAGCCTCCCAAGTAGCTGGGACTACAGGGGTGCACCACCTTGCCCAGCTAATTTTTGTATTTTTAGTAGAGATGGGGTTTCACCATGTTGGCAAGGATGGTCTTGATCTCTTGACCTTGTGATCCACCCGCCTTGGCCTCTAAAAGTGCTAGGATTACAGGCATGAGCCACAGTGCCTGGCCTATGGAGTTATTTTAATCAGTATATCAATATGCTGGAACAGCTCCCATCTTAAAAACAAAAACACACCCTCCCATGACCCCACATCGCTCCCCAGTTATCACTCATTTTTCCATTTGCCTTCATAGCAAAAGGATTATTTCTACTCATATCTGATTCCTCACTTTGCTTCCTTCCTCGAGTTTTCTTCACTTGGCCTTTTGTACTCTTCATGTACTGAACCACTCTTCTCCAGGTTACCAGTGACCTCCATGTCACCAAATTGAAGGTCGAGTCTCAATCTTCACCTTAGTGACTGCTCAACAGCCACAGTTGCCAGTTACTTCTTTTGTGAAAAACATTCTTCACGTGGCTTTGTGAGCCCGCTTTGGTTCTCTTCATACTCTCTGTTCTGTCTCAGTCTTCTTGGTTGGATCCTCTCTTCTTCCCCATTTCTGAATATTAGAGTGCTTCACAACTCAGCCCTAGGGCCACTTTCCTAGTTGCAC
The DNA here is from genome assembly GCF_000001405.40 of Homo sapiens. Taxonomy (NCBI): domain Eukaryota; kingdom Metazoa; phylum Chordata; class Mammalia; order Primates; family Hominidae; genus Homo; species Homo sapiens. The sequence goes on along the minus strand of NC_000001.11, from coordinate 177,261,745 downwards.
TCACTCCTTGAGTGATCTCATTTCATTTTCTCCCATAGTTGTAAATACCCACTACACATGTGTATATATTTGCACACCAAATTTCCATCTTCAATCATGGCCTTTCTCTTGAAATCCTGGTGTTTGTGTCCAACTGACTGTTAGATTTCTCTAGTAAGATGTCTGATAGGAATGTCACATTCAACATGTCTAAAACCAAATTCTTGATTTATTTCTTTCAGATCTGTACCTCCTCCCAGTGTTGTCCTTCTCAGTAAATGGAATCACTGTTCATTTGATTGCTCAGGCCATAAATCTTGCAGTAAATCTTTATTCCTTTCTTCCAATCTATTGTCTGATTGCATAGGCTCTATCATCAAAATATATTCTGAATATGCCAACTTCTCACCACCTCTGTGACACCAGCTTTGTCTAAGCCACAATTATGTCTTACCTTTACCACTGCAATAGCCACTGCACTGGTCTCCAGGATCCCCCTTTCTTTCTACTTCCTAATCAGTAAGGCCTTCATGATATGGCCCCTGCAACCTCTATAAACTCATCTTTCACTTCATTTCTCTCCTGCCTGCATGCCAGCCTCACTGCCTTTCTTGGTGGTCCTGGATCATACAAAGTACACTGCCCTGCCACTTTAGGGCACTTGTACCTGTTCTGTCCTTTGTCTCTGATGTTTGGGGCTTACTCCCTCACTTCATTCAGGTCTCTGCTTAAGTGGCATTCCTTGGACAGGTCTTCCCTAAACTCCACATCCCCATCACCCTTTATCCTCTTACTTGGCTTCATTTCTTCATACCATTCATCCCACCTGGCATTATACAGGTGTACCTCAGAGATATTATGGGTTCAGCTTTAGACCACTGTAATAAAGCAAATATCACAATAAAGCAAGTCATGCACATTTTTTGGTTTCCTAGTGCCATATGAAAGTTATGTTTACACTATACTGTAGTCTATTAAGTGTTCAATAGCATTATGTCTGAACAAACAATGTACATACCTTAATTAAATAATATGTTATTGCTAGAAAATGCTAATGATCATCTGAGCCATCAGTCAGTTGTTGGAATCTTTTTGCTGGTGGAGTGTCCTGCCTTGATGTTGATGGCTGCTGACTGATCAGGGTGGTGGTTGCTGAAGGTTGGGGTGGCTGTGGCAATTCCTTAAACTAAGACAACAATGAAGTTTGCTGCATCAATGGACTCTTCCTTTCATGAGAGATTTCTCTGTAGCATGTGACGCTATTTGATAGCATTTTACCAACAATAGAACTTCTTTCAAAATTGGAGTCAATCCTCTGAATCCCTGCCACTGCTTTATCAACTAAGTTTATGAAATATTCTAAACTCTTTGTTGTCATTTCAACAACATTCATAGTATCATCACCAGGAGTAGATTCCCTCTCAAGAAACCACTTTCTTTGCTCATTCATAAGAAGCAACTCGTCATTTATTCACATTTTATCATAAGATTGCAGCAATTCAGTCACATCTTCAGGCTCTACGTTTTATTTCAGTTCTCTTCCTATTTCCACTACATATACAATTACTTCCTCCACTGAGGAAAGACATCCTCAAAGACATCCATGAGGGTTGGAATCAACTTCTCCAAAGCTCCTGTTAATGATATTTTGACATCCCCCTATGAATTACAAATGTTCATAATGGCATCTAGAATAGTGTTATTTCTAAATGATTTTCAATTTACTTTGCCCAGATTTGTCAGAGGAATCACTATCTATGGCAGCCTTTACCTTATAAAAACGTTTTTAAATAAGACTTGGAAGTCAAAATTACTCCTTGATTCATGGGCTACAGAATGGATGCTGTGTTTGCAGGCATAAAAACAATATTAATCTCCTTTGTACATCTCCATCAGAGCTCTTGGGTGAGCAAGTATATTGTAAATCAGAAGTGATATTTTGAAAGAATTTTTTTTCTGAGTAGTAGGTCTCAACAATGGGCTTAAGATAGTTCATAAACCATGCTGTAAACAAATATGCTGTCATCGAGGCTGGATTGTTCCATTTATAGAGCACTGGCAGAGGAGATTCAGCATAATTCTTAAGGGCCCTAGGATTTTCAGAATGCTAAATGAGTCTTGGCTTCAATTTAAAGTGACCAGCTATATTAGCCTGTAAGAAGAAAGTCAGCTTGTCCTTTGAAGCTTTGAAGCCAGGCATTGACTTACCCTCCTTAGCTATGAAAGTCCTCAATGTCATCTTCTTCCAGGAGAAGGCAGTGTCATCTACACTGAAAATCTGTTGTTTAGTGTAGCCACCCTCATCAATGATCTTCGCTAGATCTGGATAACCTGCTGCAGCTTCTAAATCAGCAGTTACTGCTTCATCTTGTGCTTGTATATCATGGAGACGGGTTCTTTCCTCCAATCTCATGAACCAACCTACGCTAGCTTCAAACATTTTTCTGTAGCTTTTTGACCCCTCTCAGTCTGCAGAGAATTAACCAGAGTCAGGGCCTTACTCTGGATTAGGCTTTGGCTTCGGGGAATGTTGTGGCTGGTTTGATCTTCTATCCAGACCACTCAAACTTCCTTCATATCAGCAAGAAGGCTGTTTGGCTTTTTTATCATTCTTGTATTCACCGGACTAGCACTTTTAATGTCTTTCAAGGACTTTTTCTTTGCATTTGCAACTTGGCTAACTGTTTGTTGCAAGCGGCCTAGGTTTTGGCCTTTCTCAGCTTCTGACATGCCTTCCTCACTATGCCTAATCATTTATTTCTAGCTTTTGATTTCAAGTGAGAGATGTCTGACTCTTTCACTTGAAAACTTAGAAGCCACTAAGGTTAATAATTGGCCTAATTTCAATATTGTTGTGTCTCAGGGAATAGGGAGGCCTGAGAAAAGTGAGAGAGATAGGGGAACAGCCAGTTGGTGGACCAGTCAGAGCACACATCATTTATTGACGAAGTTTGTTATCACATATGGGTGCAATTTGTGACACTCCAAAACAATTATAAAAGTGACATTAAAGGTCACATATCACAGATCACCATAACAGATAAAATAACAATGAAAAAGTTTAAAATACTGTGAGAATTATCAGAGATACGAAGTAAGCACATGCTGTTGGAAAAATAGTGCCAAAAATAGTGCCAGGAAACTTGTTTGACACAGCGTTGCCATAAACTTTCAATTTGTAAAAACAAAAACAAAAACAAAAACAAAACCACAGTATCTGCAAAATGCAATGAAGCAAACCATAACAAAATGAGCTATTGCCTGTATATTTATGAATGATCTCTCTGCTATTAGAATTCAAGCTTTATCAGGGCAGGAACTTTACAGCTTTTGTTCATTCTTGTATTCTCAGGACCCCAAACAGTGCCTGACAAATAATACGTGCTCAGTAAATACTTATTGAATGAATTAATAAATAAACAAAATTTGCTTGTGAGTTTCACATGGGATAAAAGCAGGATATAAGACAACTTTGAAGTATTTTCAGTACCTTAACATTTTGCTTAGAATTTTTAAAAAACTGTATTCTCAAGTACAGTATTTTCACTGGTTTTCCCTAAAACAACATGAACTTTACTAGAAACCTCTTAGGTGTAAGTAGAGAAGATATGATGAAGGTTATAGTTATTAAAGTCACAATAACTATTGATCTCTTAAAAACACTCATGAGATCATGTTACTCCCCTGTTAAATCTTTCCAGTGGTTTTTCACTGCACTTTCACTTATATTAAAATTCCTTCTCATGGCACATAACCTGGCTCCAGCCAAACCTCATCTTCTCTTTGTTATTCACCTCCCCATCATCTCAGCAGTCTTCTCTGTGCCCCAACAAGGCACCAGGCTGGTTCCTGCTAAAAGGCCTTAGTACTTACTTGGAACAAGTACTTAGTACTTTGTTCTGTCTGCCTGAACACTTTCCGCTCACTTCTCCACACAGCTGGTTTCTTATCATTCAGAGCTCAAAGTCTAAACCCCAAAGTGCCCTCCATGATCAATCTAATAATAATCGTATGAGCTGCTCCCTCCCCACGCCCCAGGAAATGTACACCTATGACTCTGTCTTGTCTTTATTTATCATTAGAAATAACTTTGTTGTTTTTCCATCCTCCACCAGAGTGCAACCTCTGTGAGCATGGGGACCTTGACTGCCATTCACAGACGTGCCTCTGCTGTAGCCTGCCTCAGAGTGGGTGCTCTGTGAGTGTCTGCAGTGGAATGAATGACCCCATCGTGTCTGAAGGCTGGCTGTGTCTTCATCAGAAAGCTTCTTTTCCTCTTCCATCAGTCGGCCCAGCTGACCTAGAGATGGTTGAGGCTCTGGCCTCCCCCTGGTTCCTCAGTGCTTCCCCCATCCCCTTCCCTGTACCTCTCAGGTCATTACCTTGATGGCCCCCGTGGCTATCTGGATATGGTGCAGCCGTCGCAGCGTGCTCTCTCTGTCGATGAAGTAGGAGGCGGCCAGCTGGTGCAGGGTCTCCAGGGACACAGCTGTGCTGTTCCCACTGCCCCCGATTATAGAGGCACCTCCTGTTGTCTCTGTCTTTCTTCCCAGTTTCTGCTTGTCCACAAAAATGGTCAGGGACTCTTCTCCTATGGTGAACAACACGAGTGTATTGGTGACGCTCTCTGCTCTCGAATCCCCTACCAATAGGAACATAAAACCCTTGGCCAAGATAGACACAGCTGAGAGAGAGTGCAGCCCCTGCTGCCAAGCTCTTCCCCCAGCCCTTACCATCTTTAGAAGAAGCTCATCAGAGGGAGCCACAGGCCAGCGGCCTCGCTGCCTGAAAGGCCCTCTTCCAAAGCTCAGTCCCCCTGCCCTCAGCTTATCTGTTTAACATCTTCTATTGAACTCTGTCTCAAGCAATCCATCTTCATAGGGGAGACACAATTCTCTCTCTCAAGTTGTTTACGAGGAGTCTTCGTGGCTTTTTCTGCTCCCTCAGGAAGGGCAAAAGCCTTGAAGGGGCATCTCCCTCCTCCCCATCAAACACTCAACACCTGCCGCGTGCCGACAGCTGGCCCGAGCCCTGGGAGAGCTTGTTTTAGTCGATTGGACAGTGAGCTAAATGTTATAATAAATCCTGCTTCCTTCTTCCCAGGGCAGAGGGAGCTCTGCATCTTCAGAGATTTTGATCCTGCCCTGGGTCCTAGCCCACATTGCTCCACCCTACCCCCACTCTCCGCCCCACAAGAGGATGATTCATCAGCCCAGAACTACTGGAGTTGGTTTGGACAGTTTCCAATCGTTATAGAGAGGAAGAGGGGTCAGGGACTCCAGGGACTTCGACTTTTTTGCCTGTGGGTCTGACCATTGTAGCCACAGCAAACATTAGAAAGTGGCGAAGCCTCAGGGGTTGGGTGACTCAGCGGAGCGAAAACTGGGAGTGCCCCCTGCTGGCAAGTGCTTGTTAGGAGCCTGTCCACCTCCAACCGCCATACCCAACTTCCCCTCCTCAGGGAATAATTAAATAGAGATGTTCTGGGGTAAATTGAGATGTCAAGAGACTGCACTGTTTTCAAATGCACCAGAAAGACTTCTCAGGCAATAAAAGGCCCGGAAGAAGATAAGACTGTTGGAGCTACGCTACACGAGTCTTAACGTTATTTCCAATGGTCTGGCAACCAATTAGCTTGGGATTGTGATGTTGCTTACCTCCAAGGGTGGCAGAAAGTAAGAAATGAGTGCCGTACTTTTTAATCAGATTTTCTGTAACCTGTTGCAGATTGGGTCTCCTTCCAAGGAGGCGAATGTTCCGGATAAACTCTGGGGCAAGAGGCAATGGCAAACTGAAGAAGTCCTTCCTTTCCAGAGCCAAGTTGTTCACCTTCCAACGGGCAAACTCCCTGGGGGAAAAGCCAAGGGATAAGGAAAAGCTGACCTCGTTTCAGAGCAAGAGGCATAAAATCTGAAGTAGGTAATGTTCTTCCTCCACTTGCAGCCACTCATCTCCTCTCAGCCCACATCCCCTCAGCTGGAGGTGCCCAGAGCCTGGAAGAGGCCCCTTGGCCTCTCACCTGGCCTGTCATTCACATGCTGTAAGAAAGCTCTGTCTCCACTGATCTACATCAGAGCCTCTCCCAGCCAACTTTCTCATCAGACAGTAGTTGATTAGCTTATTCACATGAAGTCATGGTTTACAGTGTTGAGTAGTAGAAAAAACAAACATTGGAACAGTGGTTTGCAAAGATGTGATCTAATCACAGTTGTCTTACCGTGAATGAGTCACATCCCCTCTCATGGCCTCAGTTACTCACCTGTGAAGTCAGGAAGCTTGCTCTAGAACCACTGCCCTCATATTTTGATCTCTGATCCCCTTCATACTGTTAAAAATTATTGAATCCCCATATTTGTACATGTGGCTTAGAGCTATTGAGATTTACCATTTTAGAAATCAAAACCGAGAAAATCAACATTTGTTATTTCATTTAGAGATAACATTAATAAACCCATTACATATAACATAACATTTTCATGACAACTGTATGTTCTGAAACAAAACAAATTTAGCAAGGAGAGTGGCATGGCTTTGCATGTTTGCAAATCTCTTTAATATCAGGCTTAGCAGAAAAGAGCTGCACTCTCATATTTGCTTCTACATTCAATCTGTTTTCATAATTGTGGATTTTCATCTTTGGTACTACACTAAACTAAACAGATGGTAGTTTCTTAAAGGTTAGTTACAATATGGAATCTGAAATCATATCAGTGAACTTTTCATGCTTTGTTACATTAAATCCAGTGTTCTATATTGTAATTTGAATGGATCTTTTTATCCTGCATAATGTTGTAACATCATGTGTTGGTCATCTGGAAAATATCAGGTCACCAAGTTATGCAGATCTTCCACATTTTGACACTTTTCATTATATAATATTAAAACATCTCACTATTTAATATCATGACCAATCTCTTCAACGTCTTTAAATATTAGGAAAATGTCAAGTTCATGAGGATGAATGCAAGTTTTCTAAACTTTGAATTTTCATTTAAAAGCTTAAATTTTATTATTGGCAACAAATACTGTCAGTTGTTTTCCTTGCAGAGTCTGGCTTAATTCATTTTTTTTTTTTGAGAAACACCTGCTAGACACTCAAGTCTGAATAATCACAATTTGTTGCCTGTGCTTTCAAGAAAAAATGGAGTTCCATGAAAAAAGTGGCTAGTTCAGCTTGCAACTCAACCACAAAAGTATTTTTCCTTGAGATAATTATAGTACTTAAGTAGCCTCAGATTTGCTTTATGTGCACTTCCCATTTCATCTTACAGAATATTAAAAACACATGTACCCAAGGGTCAGGATTTAATAAAAGTAATAAATGTTACTGCTTTAAGGACATTCTTAAGTGAAGATAGTGTGTGTGTGTGTGTGTGTGTGTGTGTGTGCATGTGTGCTTATGTGTTTAGGTGCAAGTGTGTAATGATGAAGAATACATGACTCTTAGTGTTATGTGGTATGACTGCTTTTATTCAAATTAAAGTACCAGCAGTTTTATTTTGTACCTTCAGTGCAAATGTCAACATGAACACTCTGAAATAGACTAAGCGGATCCATATTTTGAGAAGCCTTATTCTAGAAGATTGCAAAGTTGTTCCTTTCTAATCCTGTTGAAGATTTTAATTTTCATGCTTTGCTCCTCACTGGAATGTTTGCATTTTAAAGGGGACAGGTTTATAAATCTTTGTCTTGGGATGAAATTTAAAGAATCATATCCATTAATAAAAAATGAGTTTTCCATTGTCCCCCAAATTATACTGGTAAGAACCAGCTCCACTGCCTTAGGAAGCAACAAAATGTAAAGTGTTTACACCCTCTTCACCCATCCCAAATCTGCTCATCATAACAGTGCCAAATCTTGGTCTAACCTTCCCCAAATGTCCATGAAATGCAAATGATAGAGTTGCATAAAAATAAAATAATTAAAAATAAATAAACGGATTTTTGACAAAGGTGCCAGGAACACACATTGGGGAAAGGAGAATATCTTTAATAAATGGTGCTGAAAAAACATAATACCCACATGCAGAAGAATAAAACTATCTTTCACCATGTACAAAAATCAGCTCAAAATGAATGAAAGACTTAAACATAAGACTCAAAACTATAAAACTAATAGAATAAAGTTTAGGGGAAAAGCTTTATGACATTGATGTGGGCAAGTTTTTTTGGATAAGAACTCAAAAGCACAGGCAACAAAAGCAAAAATAAACAAATGGGATTACATCAAACTGAAAAGCTCCTGCATAGCAAAGGAAACAACAGAGCGAGGAGACAACCTACAGAACTGAAGAAAATATTTGCAAATTATGAGTCCAATAAGGGGTTAATATCCAGAATATGTAAAGAACTCAAATAACTTAATAGCAAAAGAACATTTTTTTTAATGGTCAGAAGACTTGAATAGACATTTTTCAAAAGAATACATAAAAATGGCCAGCAGGTATATGATAAAATGCTCAACATCGCTAATCATCAGGGAAATACAAATCAAATGCACAGTGAAATGTCACCTCACCCTAGTTAGAATGGCTGTTATCAAAAAGACAGAAAATAACAAATGCTGGTCAGGATGCAGAGAAAGGGGAACTCTAATACACTGTTGGTGGGAGTGTAAATTAGTGCAGTCATTATGAAAACAGCATGAAAATTCCTCAGAAAACTAAAAATAGAACTAACATATGATCTAGCAATCTCACTACTAGGTACATATTCAAAGGAACTGAAATTAGTATATCAAAGAGATATCTGCACCCTCATGTTTATTGCAGCACCATTCAAAACAACCAAAATATGGAATCCACCTAAATGTCCATAAACTGATGATATACACAATGAAATACTACTCAGCTGTGAAAAGAATGAAATCCTATCATCTGCAGCAACATGGATGAACCTGGAGGACGTAATGTTAAGTGAAATAAGCCAGGCATAGAAAGACAAATACCACATAACCTCACTCATATGTAGGTCTAAAAAAGTTGATCTCATGGAATTAGAGACTAGAACAGTGGTTACCAGAGGCTAGGAAGGGTAGTGGGAAAGGGAGATGGGGAGAGCTTGGTTGACAGATACAAAGTTATAGTTAGGAAGAATAAGTTATGTGCTCTATTACATAGTAGGGTAACTGTGGCTAATAATAATGTACTGTAGATTTTAAGTAACTAGAAAAAAGCATCTTGAAAGTTATCACCACAAAGAAATGATAGATGTTTGAGGTGATGTATATGCTAACTACCCTGATTTGATCATTATTCGGTGTATGCATGTATTGAAACATCACACCAATACACTGTTGTGCCGGATATGTCAATTATAAACAAAATTTTTAAAATTAAAATTATAAATACATGAATAAATAAAAATCCATGCCACATTTGAGGCATAAATCCCACCATCTAACTGTAGAGACTGAGAGAGGAGCATGTGTCAAATGTTACTAGGGAAACAAAGAAAAGCGGGTGACTAATAATTCATGGTTCCAACAAAGTCTTCAAAATTCCCGCTGTGTAGCTTTATTTATCTAAGCAGGTAAGTTCATAATAATATATTGTCAGTTATTTCCTTTGTGCAGCAAATGCTAAGCTTTAATTAAAGTACAGAGTATTTGTCAAAAGTATTTTCTATCCCAAACCCCACTGCAGGGTAAAGAACAGTTGCCTAATCTCATCTCTAATTGGCTGGATGGAAACTAGAATCCTCTCACTGGTTAGTTGATAATTACATTGATGAATCATAAAATCAGATTACTAAAAGCAAATAAACAAACAAAAAACCTTAGGGTCATCAAACCCAGCCCCCTTGCTTTGGGATAGGGCATGTCTAGACTTCATTAACTAATAATTTCTAATCTATTATTTTTCTACATTGCTAGGGGAAAAAGACATTATTACAATTTCCATAGTTTCTTATAATGGTCGAAGCCCCTCACGGAAAGGAAAGGCCAACTTAGCATAGAGGTGGGCCCCACTTTAATTAAATATAATAAATAAAAATTGGTAGTCTGTTGTCTGGCCCAGTCAGACACTGGGTCTGGATGGGAACTAGTATCCTCTAGTTTCCTTATGTTTCTCATAAAACAGAAAGGGTAAGTGGTTTACCTAAAGCAATAAAGCCAGTTGATAATAGAACCAGAACAAAAAGCTAGTGTCCTGGCCCTCCTTCTATGCTATTAACAGCAACTATGATGGTGGTGACAATAGTCACAACTTGGACCCAGAGAGATTAAGAAAGTAGTGTGGATGAAGTCACACAGTTAGTAAATGACAGAGTTGTGCTTAAAACCCAGGCCAATATCATACTGCTGTTTCTATAGCACTGTTTTCCTTCGAGTAGATAAGGTTAAATGTTAAGTGTATTTCATTGCATTCTAATTTTTTTGTGGTGTTTAGTATCCTTTAACACAAATATTTTTATTACCCAGAACATTCCACTTTTTACATTTTCTACACAAAACATGGATTAATTGTATATTCAAAACATAGCATAACATTTACACCGCAGCAAAATGTTCCTGGATTAAGCCAGTTTTAACCTGCCCATTTGCAGGAGAAGAAATTGAGATGCCTCAAAAAGCCAAGTCCATACAGAGAGTACATGGGAGGAATCACAGATAAAGGCCTAAGTCCAGCTCCTGTGGCTGCTAAATAAATCATAATACAGAATAGTGAATGACCTAGAAAAAGGAATGATACTGTCTAAGGAAGCTTTTTATGAGCAAATAATAAAAAATAATGGCTAACATTTAATGAATTTTTAGTATGTGATAGGCATTCCAAGCATCTTACAAGGATTAGTTAATATTATATTCAAAACACCATATAAGGGGGAAAATATAATTATCTTCATTTTATAGATGATGAAATTGAGGTACAAATAAGTTAATTTGCTCAGTAGTTAAAAGCTAGTAGGTGGCAAGGTCAGGATTTAAACACAGACTGTCTGACTCCAGTACACACAGCCTTTGCCACTAGGCTATACTACCTCCACCTGTGAAACTCTGAGGAACAACTGTGCTATGGAGTAGAAGTGTGTGCATGTGGGGAGAGAGTTTCAATAGTGCCATATAGGGATTATAAGGATAGGGACTATATTTGGAGAATTTCACTGGAGAAAGAATCCATAAGAATGCATACAAGTGGCAGCCGGGCGCCGTGGTTCATGCCTGTAATCCCAGCACTTTGGGAGGCCAAGGCGGGTGGATCACGAGGTCAGGAGTTCGAGACCACCCTGGCCAAGATGGTGAAACCTGTTCTCTACTAAAAATACAAAAATTAGCCGGGCGCAATGGCAGGTGCCTGTAATCCCAGCTACTCAGAAGGCTGAGGCAGGAGAATCATTTGAACCTGGGAGGTGGAGGTTGGAGTGAGCCGAGATTGTGCCACTGCACTCCAGCCTGGGCAACAGGGCAAGACTCCATCTCAAACAAACAAACAAACAAACAAACAAAGAATGCACACAAGTGGCTACATTTGCCAAAGAACAAAAAACAAACAAAAAAACCCAAATCTATTTTCATCACAAATTACAGTGGGCTATCAACTCAGAATTAGACTCAAGTGGGCATGGTGGCTAGTGCCTGTAGTCCCAGTTACTCAGAAGGCTGAGGTGGGAGGATCATTTGAGCCCAGGAGTTTGAGTCCAGCCCAGGCAACATAGCAAGACCCCTGTCTCAAAAATTATGAGGCATAAGGCCTCAGCCACAGGAGTTCGAGTCCAGCCTGGGCAACATAGCAAGACTCCTGTCTCAAAAAAGAAACATTAGGCATAAGTACTAAGCCACAGAAAGGTTCAGACTCTAGGGGCTCCCAGTGGTTTTCTCTTCTACCCCAATAAGTTTCTTCCTTGCCCTCTGGGGCCCTTCATGGAACCAAAATAATAGAGAAACATCTATGAGTGGTGTTTGAGCCAGAAAGTGGTAAAAATGTGCTTACAGAACTTAATAACCTGGTTCTTTCCAGCATCTGCAAACCTCAGAGGCAATACTGGAAGGCAGCCTGAGCTATTCAAAGAAGAAATGTTCATTTCTGATTTTTCATTTAGCAGCTTTTCCCCCCAGTAATAGAATAATCAAGGCTCTTTTTTTTAAACTAAGAAAAGGATGTTTTCTATATATCAATTATATTAACACACACTGCTTCAATTAAGCCATCATCTTTGTTTCAATTAAGATATCAAGTAAATCTCCATTTCAATTTAGCCATTTCTCCTAAAATCTTCTCCCACTGTGTTTGTTACACAGTAAACAGTCTGAGAAAGCAAACATTTCTAACAGCCCTATAGTCCCTATGTAAAGTGTCTTTAGAATAGGAGTGGCCACTGCATTCAGGGCTGACAGGTTGAGCCAAAGGGTAAAGAGAGCCCTTCCCTGTGGACTTTGCCTGTAAAATGCATTCACATTGCACATATAAAGGGTACTTCAGTAAACTGCTATAATTAACAAAAATTCAGTCCATTTTCCATCTTCCTCTAGCATGCTTTAGGTTAGCCTAGAGTGAACAATATGTATTTCCAGGAAAGGGTGAACATACACATAAAATCATTAATAAAAACCAAAACAATGTCCAGGAAAGGGATAACCCAGCCTGGAAGGTATAATCCAATGTGTTAAATCAGCCAAGCATACCGACACTCAGAATATTTTAGATATAATGATATCTAAATAATCAGTGCTGAAGTAATTGTAGTTATCTTTATCCCAAATTGCATAACACTAGTGGTCCAGATTGCCAAAAAATGATGCTTCTGGTTGTACATGAGTTTAGGGATTTCCCTAAAATCCAAAGGGGCCCTGCAATAAGAGAGTTGAACCATAGCCATGCCAGATCTCAGGCACAGGAGCTTCAGCAGGGTTTTGAGACTGGGCCAGCTCTGGGTTTGAAGCAAAAGGGTCTCCGATGAGAATACTAAATGGCTACAAATGTTCCTAATTCAAAAGATGTAAATAAAAAGTGCTGCCTCCGACTCAAGCTACTGATTCTTATGTCAGCAGCCACCTGCAGCACTATGTTACACAAGGTCAACAAGAAATCTCCCAGCAAGAATCCCCCTGCAGGGTCTCGTGCCTGAAGATGAAAGACTCAGAAAGAGCACAGCTGGGGTCTTCCAGCCCAGGTGCTGTTTCCAGCAGCTGCACACAGAAGCACCAGTTTCCAGACTCATAAACTGAGAACATTGACCTGGCCCCTGTGAAGAGTCACTACCTATGAAGCCTCCCTCCCTATGCAGCCTTAAGGGGGAGAGTATTAAAAAAAAATACACACACACACACACGCACGCACACACACACACACACGCACACACACACGCACGCACACACACACACACACACAAACTGTACCTCAGTGAAGCTGAAATCTAGAAGTACAGGTTGAGTGTCCCTGATCTGTAAATCTGAAATCTAAAATGTTCCAAAATCCAAAACTTTTTGAGCATCAACATGATTCTCAAAGGGAACACTCACTGGAGCATTTAGAATTTCATATTTTGAGATTAGAGATGCTGATCCAGTATAATGCAAATATTCTAAAATCTGAAAAAAAATTCAAAATATTTCTGGTCCCCAACATTTTTTGGATAAGTGATACTCAACCTGTAATGAATACTGTAGCCTACAATGTGGGTGGTTGTGCTATAACTTCACACGAACAGCCGGATTATTCTGTTTCCAGTTTTTTAATAGATCTTTCATCTTTCTACCTCTGCGGGGGAAGCATGTTCCGGCCCATTTCCAAGTCCACAGATAGGGCTGTCATTTGGAAAGTCACATCCCTGTATCCTAAGCATGCAGCTCTATCCGCCCCCCTCCACCGTGGCACCCCTGCAGGCTTGGCACCAACCTATCCTGGTGTCAGTGTGCCCCTGCATACTAGGAGACATTTGTTCCTCCTGCATTAGACTCCAGGCTGGGTTTACTGAGGAGGAAATCAATGCTGCTTCCAGCAGAGCCAACCAATCACCGCCTGCTCACTATTCTGCGTTTCTCAGAATTGAGATACTGTGGGGAAGTCTTAAGGCAGCCACGGAACCCATTTTGCAAGCAATGACAGAAGGAGTGGGCTGTCAGGGTAAGGACATTGACCTCTATTCTTTGGCCCTCCTGATCTATTTCCAATGATCTATCTTTTGGGGGCACCCCCTCCAACTTTTAGTGCTCAAAAGGACTGCAGTGCTGAAAGAGACTGGGCTATTATTCTCCAGTTTGAACCAAACTGGTTTTCCCTGAAAAATGAAGATAAACAGAGGACATGTTATTGAATAAAATATTTAAGAACTCTGGAGCAAAAGAGACTGGCCTCAAGCCAAGGACATAGTTTTCTTGTCATTTTTCCTGGGACTTTACTTTGTCTACTTAAACTGTCAACCAATGACCCATGGGAAATTTTCTCACATACCAACCAGTTCTGGGTAAGTTCAACTGTCTTTGTTCTCAGAGCCTTTGTCTTGGAGATTTGCCTTTCCACAATTAGCTTGAGACTTGCCAACTGGACAGAGGAAAATCAATAAGTACCACTGAGTTTCACACTGCTGATTTTCCTAAAGAATTTCAGACACAGGAAGTCTTCTCTTTCTTCATCTTTCTACCAATATACCTCACATCCAGGGCTACTGCTCCCATCACAGAACTCAGTCCACCAAGCGATGACATCACCATTTTGTCTTTTTCATAGGACTCACATTTTTCATCTTGAAAAACTCACATGAACAAGAATAGCCAAAGCCAACATGTACACTGAGTGATGCCAGTTTTTTACCCAGTGACTCAGCTATGATAGTTTCACATTCTCTATCAAGCTGGACATTTTAGGGGCTTAAGGATATATCATACTTTGGCTCCAATACAGAGGCAGTATTTCCAGACACATCACATGACCAGGAGATTTCTATCTCAACAACAGATTACTGTAATGTACTTGGCTATTAGAGACTTTACTGCTATAATGAATAAGACATGATTAATCTGAGCTATAAAACGAAACGATAATAAAAATCATAATCCCATATATTGGCGTAGTGCTTTCCTGAGAGATTGGGGGGAAGTCTTAAAGCAGCAATGGAACCCACTTTGCAAACAATGACAGAAGCAGTCAGCTATCATGGTAGGGACATTGACCTTCTCTATTCTTTGGCCCTCCTGATCTATTTCCAGTAGTCTCTCTTTTGGGGGCACCCCCTCCAACTTTTATTGCTCAAAAGGACTACAGTGCTGAAAGGGACTAGGCTATTATTCTCCGAACAGTTGTCTTGATATCCAAACTGTTTTTTGCACACAATTTTTACACACGCTTATTTTATCTATACAGGGACCTTGGGGGAAAGGGAGAGAAAATATCATTAATCAACTATTAAGCTTTTACATGTTAACACATGAGGAGACAGAGAAACTGAGAGAAATGGTTTGCCCCAAGTCTCAGTTGACTAGTGGTAGAGTTTGACTAGAACCTAGACCACACTACCAATGATTTTCTGCCTTTGTCTGTGACCTGTGTTCAAGCTCAGGGAGTACTGTCCACCTTTGTCATATTTCCCAGGTAATTCTTTTGCCTTGTTTACCACTGTGGCTGGGAGAGATCCCCAGGCAGGAAGGCTTCAGTCCAGGAGTTGTTTGGTTAAGTAATATCTCAGCCCTTGCAATTCTTAGAGACACAAGAACAGAAATGAGGCCATCTCTTCCCTGATGTCCTGGTGCTCTCCATCTTTTCACTGTCTGGGAGAATTCAAGAAGCCTGGCATGGAGGTAATTTAGCAGCCTGCTGTGTTCTCAAACAACGGCCCGTAAACAATGATTGGCCAATTTCATTCTAATCTTCCCAATTTTGCTCTAATTAAAATCAAGCTGCAGCTTTCAAACAGTTTAATTAAGGCTGATTGGGAGAAATGGGGGAGGGGAGAGTCAAGCTTAAAGGAGGAGGAGGAGATCACTGTTTGGCTATTCTCACACTGCCCTGGTGGGGCTTGGGGACATAGGGAGGGCACTGAGAGTGGTGTGTTTATAGAATCAACATGAAAGACAACAGACCCACTGGAATGAGGGCCCAGTGAATCTGTGTGACCAGAAGGATTTGAAGAGGGAGCTGAGACCTGTGTCTTCCCAGGCACAAACTGTCAGATCTTTCCTGACATCCCAAACTGCTCCCCAGCATCTCATCTGCTCAACTGTGGACAGCATAGCTCTGTTCACCACTATCTGCCTCCCATTGTGCTTGTCTTTGCTCAGCAAGTGGCCCATGCAATGCTTCTCCCATCAGATGTCTTCATGAGCTTCCTTTATTTACTTGACTCCCAGAGAATTCCCACAGACTGGTAATTCCTTCCATTATTCTACAAGTTTATTCCTTTTGCAAAGAAATAGCCCCTCTGGTATTTTGGTGCATTTAATTTTTATATAGGCCATTCTTCTTTGGACTAAATAGTTTTAGTTCCTTCAACACAGTTTCCAGATTCCTAGGCCTACATGCTCCACCTTTTCTGCTTGCAATCTAGCTTGTCAACGTTCTTTCTTTTTAAAGATGGAAACCAAAATTGAACACAATCTGGTAGATATATTCTGAGCCACTGAGAGTACATTAGGATACAAGATCTGAATACATCATTATCACCATCACTATGACCATTATCATAGTTTCAGTTATTAGTGAGACCCTCTGTTTCTAGGAATGGAAGTAGATACTTTATATATTTTTAAATTGTCACTATAATCCTACAGATGTCAGTGTGGTTGATTGAATCATCATTCTCGCCAGTATTAGAGTGCCCTTTGACATGTTACTTTGCAATATCACTCACTTGTGAGAGGGGAGCTTATTTCCTTCCCTCAGTGATATTGGGTTTGGCTTTGTGACTTTGCTTTGGACAAAGGAATGAGGGCAGAAGGGACTGTGTGCTGATTTGGGGCCAAGACCTCAATAGATACTGCATATTTCTACTCTCCATCTTGCATTTCTGCCCTTACTATGAGAACTGCTTCCTCCAGGTACTGCAGGTGCTGCTCTTTTAGCCTGGGCCCCAGAATAAACACCACTAGAAGAAACACCTAATGGCCTCCTTGCAGACCAGCAGCGTGATGCAAAGCTAACCCGGCGAACCTGCACATGAATGAGTAAGAATAAATTTCGTTTTTATTTTATTTTTTTGAGATGGAGTCTCACTTTTTCACCCAGGCTGTAGTGTAGTGTAGTGGCATGATCTCGGCTCACTGCAGTCTCTGTCTCCCAGGTTTAAGCAATTCTCCTGCCTTAGCCTCCCGAGTAGCTGGGACGACAGGCACATGCCAACACGCCCAGCTAAGGAAGAAATTATTTTTAAACTACTGAATTTTGCTGTTTTGTATGCATCATTGTAGCAATAGTTAAATGACACACACCACAAGCTTTAGTCCTATTTTATAGCTAAGCTTGTTGAGGCTCAGATAATTTAGGACACACACAAGGACACAAAGATAAGTAAGACGTGAAGGCAGTGTATGCTGTTGCTGCTATATATATTTTCTTTATTAATGTACTTGAATATTACACTCATTTTTTAAAGACAAAAATATTCTTTGCTAACCATAATCATATCATCAGCCAGTATCCCATATTTCTTTCCAGCCCCAGAAA
Source organism: Homo sapiens (assembly GCF_000001405.40). Classification (NCBI taxonomy): domain Eukaryota; kingdom Metazoa; phylum Chordata; class Mammalia; order Primates; family Hominidae; genus Homo; species Homo sapiens. The sequence goes on along the minus strand of NC_000001.11, from coordinate 177,244,169 downwards.
TTTTTTTCACAAGTATCACAGCCAAGTCAGGTCTCTGATATTTGTGACATTGACATTTTTAACTTCAGTTTAGGGCTTTACATTTCGCCCTCTTTTTGCATTCCACTCCTTGTGGCAGAGGCTGGAAAGTTGTTTCCAAAGATGTTTCCATTTTCCTCCTGGGCTCACAGATGGACAATTTCCCACCCCCACCCCCACAGCTTCCTCTGCATTTAAACATAGCCATGTGACTGAATTCTACAGTGGAATATGAGTCCAGGTCTAGTCCTTCAAACCTCTCATGAAATCCTTCATGCTCTTTCTCTTCCCTTGTCTACCAGGATCCAGGACTCTGAGGCCCTAAGGAATGGCAGTGATGAGGTAGGAGTCTTGGTCCTGAATGATTTCATGAAGCAATCTCCTTTTATGTCTCTCATAAATTGTATTGGAGTGTGACATGAGCAAAAACATAAACTTTCATTAAGTCACTCAGATTTGAGGACTGTTTGTTTCAGCAGTTACCCTATTTTGACTAATACTGTCTTGATTGTATCTATCCAATATTCTAGCCTGATGAAACAATCTTGGCTCTTGATCTCTTAACTGTATTGCCTAGCTGGATAAGGGTTCAATTACTGTTTTTATTGTCCCTGTGGTCAAGTAGCCATGCTCCCATTTCTTCTCAGCTCAGCAACAAACCTGTATGTGGTCTCCCTTCTTCTTGCTTGTTGGGTCTAGGGGGAGATGGTTTTGGTCTTGAGGCCTTGTCTTTTATGCTGTGGGATCTTGGTGTGTGAGTCGTGCTCTACAGGGAGAATACCTGTCACTGTTAATGATTTATTTTGAACTATCTACAACTATAAAATCAGTGGCTAGATTAACTCAAGCTACAGTTAAGGAGAGCAGTATGTAGACTATAAGTGATAAATCTGATTAATGTACAGCGTTCTATGCATAAAACGAGTCTGGTAGAGTAAGACTACCTATTCTTTCTTCTTTCTCAATTAATCTCTCTTTATTTTCTCCCTGTACTCTTCTCTAGATTTCTCATTCTTTTTTTTTTCTTATTTACTAATGGGCGACCCCTCACAAAATGAATAAGCATTTAGCTAGAAATAAACCAAATCTTTTTTTTCAGTTATCACCAAATAATCCTATAACGAAAGTACTATTATTCCACCAATATTACTAATGAGAAAAAATGAGGCTCAGAGATGCAAAATAATTTACACAACTAAAAGCAGCAGAACTGCAGTTTAACCCAGTCAGTCTGATTCTGCAATTTAAACTGCAATTTAACCCAGTCAGTCTGATTCTAGAGCCTTGAGTCTCAACCACTTGTTTACGCCTTCATCTAATTTCATCCCAGAACATCCTACTCCTACTGAATGGTTTCATCCTCTTATTATGCCCTTATGTGTGGCAGACATGGTGCTGGGGTCAGGAGATATAAAGGTGAAATACGACATGTTCTTTGCCTGAAGGAGCTCAGAGCCTAGTGAAGAGCAAAGAGAAATAAACAAGTGCACAAAAATAAGTTCGTATGGTAAAAATATGAATAAACTGATGGGGAATCATAGGTAGGAGTAACCAACTCTTGTAGGAGTCAAAGAAGACTTCATATGGCGATGATAATTTAGATGAGTTTGAAAGGTGAGAAGGAGCTCAGAGGAGATAAAGAGCTTTTGGGGTAGAGGGAATGGGTTATGGAAAGACACAGGACATCAAGGGGGCCTTCTGTGGGCAAATCTGGAGGTGTTCATCGGGACTGGAACAGAAGAAAAACAGGAAGAAATGGTGGGGCACAATCAATGGCAGAGGGTCAGTATTCATTGACTATTTGTTGAAATAGTGAATGAATGGATTTGGAAGTGAGTTTTATGCTAAGAAAATGGGTTTGGGTTTTATTTTTGGGGGACAGATGGACCAACAAGGACTTAGGCAGGTTGCATTAGAGAAGTGAGGAAAGTACGAATGGTAGACAATGAAGCCAGGGGAAAAGAAAAGAGGCTGGATTTGAAAGACAGTTCTGCGATAGAATCTACAAAACTCAGATGGGGAGAGAATAGAGAAGAGGCAGGAGTGACAGTAGCCAGGTGGCTGTTCATACCGGCTGTTCATACAGGTGGCAAAGAGTGTAGCAGATACAAGTGTATTAGGACCTCATGAGTTCAACTCTGGCTATGATTTTACCACAAAAACTAAATCTAGGTATACAAAATCAAACTCAGTAACAGCTGGATGTAATCCTTTGAACTTGGATGAGAAACCTGTATTCTCTAGACACAACTCCAGCACATTTCCAACGTTCCTCGAAGCACTGAGATTTCAGCTCCAGAAGAGTCACCCTGTGTCCTGAGGTGTGCCTGTGACCTGGCACCACTGTCGCTAGTCTTCGACAATGGCACAGAAAGCAAGAAGTCAAAGAAGTCTGGGGAGAGGGAAATGCCTGACCTGAGAAACTCTAAAATGAAAAACTGATATTGATCCATGACAAAATTCTTGAGTACTTTGAAATGTGAGCAAGCAAGCAAGCTCCCTAGGAGTCAGAATTGGTTTAGGAAGAAAACCTTATGTCAAAATAAATTTCATGTATTTTCTTCATGAAGAAAGATGGAAAAGGGAGAGTTGGGGAAAAACAAACAAGGACAGCTTGTGGAAGAGAATGCGAGAGGAGGGGAAGGAGGAGGAAAGAACCTCTGGAAGGAAGTTACAAAGCGCTAACGAGTCTAGGAATTGGGGAGAGTAATAACTGTTTTCAAAATCTAGAGCCCTGTTGTGAAGTTAGACTTATTCTAGAGAAATAAAAGAAAGCAAAATCAGGACCAATAAGGGAAGGTTATGGGAAGAAAGACTATGATTCGATTTCCAAAAGATCTTCATAATGTTTTAGGCTGCTGAATAAAAATTGGCTTCAGTGGTCCGGGCGCAATGGCTCACGCCTGTAATCCCAGCATTTTGGGAGGCCGAGGCAGGGGGATCACGAGGTCACGAGATTGAGACCATCCTGGCTAACACGGTGAAACCCGGTCTCTACTAAAAATACAAAAAATTAGCCGGGCATGGTGGTGGATGCCTGTAGTCCCAGCTACTTGGGAGGCTGAGGCAGGAGAATGGCATGAACCCGGGAGGCGGAGTTTACAGTGAGCTGAGATCGCACCACTGTACTCCAGCCTGGGTGACAGAGCGAGACTCCATCTCAAAAAAAAAAAAAATATTGGCTCCAGTGAGCACCTCATGGCTGGAACTGTTCAAGCTAGGACCCACTGACCACCTTCTTGACTGTCTGCAGACTGGTTGTCTTCACTGGCTAGGAAATAAGTGATGTTAAGTTTCCTTCTAACTCACAGATTCTGGCATCACTTAGCCCTGATTGGCCGTCCCACATTGTCAAGCTTCCTTCCACACCCAAACACTGTGTAGCTTTGGCCTCTTGTCCCAGGCTAATAAGCCCTGTGGTTTTCAGATTTCATCTTCTAGCCTGACTGTGATATGTAGGCACCAACATGCACACATCTATCCTAGTGGTTGCAGAAGACAAAATAATGTATTCTCAGCCTCCAGTCACATTTCTTTTACGGAGTCTCACTTGTTCCTGAGTTTCTCAATGAACCAGGCCAACATTCAGGGACTCTCACAGCCTCTTTTCCTCTCGACTCCTCTTTTTTAGTGTTGTTCTTTTTAATTTAGGGATGGTTCATTGAATTTTAAGTTTTAAAATTATTCTTTAATCAACATATAATAATTGTACATTTATAGGGTACAGTGTAATATTCCAATCCATGTATGCAGCATGTAATGATCAAATAAGGGTAATGCCCTCTTTATCAGACTCACAATTTAGAACATACACAGAACCAGCCAAGCAAGAGGCTGGCTTATGATGCTAAAGTTTACCGCTGTTACTAATAAACCAACTACGTAACTCATGTCAAGGGATCATTAGGTGTTTACATGCCTCTGTGGATCCAGGAGAACTCACTCCCCAAAGAGACTTTCTTCCTATCCCTCCTTCGTCACCAGTGTGTCCCCAAGTGAGGCAGAGGCTTTCCTGGGAGACAGAGAAAATGAGAATTCTCTAGGGCACTGGGGCTCATAACAAAGAACTTGGTGAGCAGTGGTTCTGGCTACCTCGTTTTTATCCCATCAGGCCTCCTGCCCAGCCAGTAAGACTTCTTACTCACTCTGATTCACTGTCACATCCAGAGCTTGTTTGCTCTTTGCAGAGGAGGAGGAAAGAGGCACACTTCTGGGCTCAGAGGAGAGCTTGGCAGGGTGGCAGGATCATAGAGCATTAAACAGGTACAATGGAGAAGACATGGCTGGGAACTCCTGCCAGATTCCTGCATCTTCCCCAAAACATATAACAGCCCTAATCTGTGCACAGCTATACCTAGAAATCTTAAAATATACTCAGGGGCCTCAGCCTCTATGTCTCTCTCACTGCTTCACCTGAGTGCCTAGTGTGCTGTGAATGTGAAGGCAAGTGGGACTGTAACAGAGCATACACCAATCTCATCACTGTAAGAAAATTCAAATTTACAAAGTAGACCAATAAGCAGAGATTGCATGCAACACCAAAGGTTTCTTCTGCCTTTATGAAAATACTCCCTGAAATATAAGACATTTCCAAGTGGACATGTGTGTTTACAAATCAGTACCTACCTAATTCTAAAGTCAGGTGGTAGGGATTTACTTAACACTGAATTTTTATAAGCCATGGCCAGGCAAGAAGTAAGATACTGCATCTTGGCAATGGCAGTAAGTGTTCCTCCAGGAGAGGATTCGATTTACAGAAATTCGATTTACATCGCACCCTTGTAGAAACACACCAGCAGTGCACAACCAACACATACAGAATTTGCTGTGGGTGCATTGTTTCAGGAAGATCCATCTGTGGCTTCCTCCCACTCAGGGTTCCCCGGAGCCTAAGCACAGATGGAAAACTCTTGTGGAAAGAGAGAACGAATGACAGGGTCTTTGAGGGAAATGGGTCAGCCTCCAGCCTTCTGAGGCCTGTCTTCTGCATCTCAAAGACCTACCGGGCTGCCTAAAGAAAGAAGGACAAAGAGCCCCAGTGACAACCCGAGACACTGTTTCTCTCAGAGCATTAAGTAGCCCAGGCTCAGTGATTTATTTCATTAAATAATTATCATTAATGGACAGGTTCCCTGTCTTATTGGTTGAGTGCTGGCTCTTCCTCTTATCAGTTATGTGACACCCTCTAAAACTCAGTGTCCTCATCTGTTATATAAGTGTACAAATAGCAGACCCTTGTGGGGTTCTTACTAGGATAATTTTAATTAATGTTAATAAAGTACTTAGTAAAATGTGCATATGATGAGCATTTAATATATATTAGCTACTAGTATTCATTAATGTCATTAATATCTCATAGTACAGAGAGAATGCTTTCTTTCCCTAAGTTAAATAGAAATTTTGACCAACTATTTTTTATTTTTTCAGACCATCTATTTTCTTTGTCACTTTACTCTTTTCTTCCCATGGGAGAATTGGGGAGATTGGCGAGAGCCTGCTGTTATCATCCATATTTCTCAATACTGTGTAGAGTTCATGGATTGAGACCCCAGCTCACAAAAGGCTCTTGTCTCTTGGACATTCAAGCCCTGCAATGGGAAACGCTTCTGATCATCTCCCCCTCCTCACAGTCAGCTCACTTGGCAGAGCTGTCCCTCTGAGGTTTCTGGCTTGTCCCATCCCCACAATCCAGTGATGGCTTCTCTAGTTGCTTCACTTAGGATTAGGCAAACCAATCTGATGGACAAACCCAGCTGACTTTAGTTTGGGGCAAAGGCAGGATTGTAGGACTGGCATTGCCAGCTCTGACTCAGGTCCAAGCTGTCATCTGCAGCCCAACTTATCTTCAGTTCCTTGTGAGCAGACTCACTGTTTCTACTCCCAGAGGGGAAGATGGTAACTGGCATGGGAGCCAAGCTCCTCTCACCCAGACTTTTTACTATACCACAGGCCTCGCCCACTTCTAATCCTTTGCATACGTGGGTCTTCCTGGAAAGCAGAACTCTCTGAGGCCTGGGCTCTGTCTCCTTCAGGGTCTGTCCCCAGCCCTTGTAGAGTGGCCAACACATACAAATCCTGGATAAACATGGGCTGAATGAAGAAACACCCCACCCTGTGCCACTCACTGTTCTAAGCTCCATATACTGAAATGCTTTTCTTGTGGGATATGTGGGAAGCTCTGGGGTGAGAGAAATGTGGCAGAAGCTGAATAAAGAAAAAAATATTGAGAATCCTTGACCTAGAAAAAGCTATTCTCTTAAAGAGAGAGAGAAAAAAAGACCATATGACTCGACAGCGTCCCTGTCGGCCTGCACCTGTGTCGTGACAGTTTCCGGATGAAGTCTACCTCACTCCTTTCTACACACACACACGTCTCTAAGAAGCAATTCATTCATGAATAAAATTAATTATTTCTAGAAGCAAAATTTAATCCTCTTTTCCTTTGCCTGACTGACTCAAGATCTCTTACCAAATCTCATCTGAAAACAAAACTGATCTTCCCTTCCCCCCTTGGCCATCCTGAATGCTCCCTTCATTTCTTCCAAATTTTTATTTTCACATTTTCTCTTCACAAATCAACTTTGCAATCTTATCTCAAGCCAGGGTGGCTAACCTGGGTATAGCCCCCAAAGACATGGGAAAATGTGTGGCAAGAGCCATTGTGTCCTGGGGATGCTTGGGACTGGCATCCTAAGAATTCATTCTGACACAGCATCCATAGACCAAATCTGTCCATCAATCACTGAGAATGTATTAAATGTCTTCTTTCTAGCATTTGAGGTGATGCATCCCAATGTGTTTTCTGATGTGTATGCTGTCACTCAAACTGGACTGCTAATCTCCCAGAAATCAGTAGTATCCTGTTTTGTCTGTCTTTCGTATTCTGCTATAGTGCCTAGAATAATGCATTGCACGAAGGAGATGCTCCATAAATACTTGAGAGAGGATCAAGTGTGCAAAAGTATGGTGTGGTAACCTTACCCTGAATCCAATTGCTCGAGCATAAATCATGTCAATTTTTATTTGAACCAGTAGTCTAACAGGACCTTAAAGTACTATGTACCATCTCCTCACCAGTTGAGAATTCACGCTTCATTTTTCCAAAGCAGAAATGTAAGAAGTTGCTTTTGGTCCTAATTTCTCTACACATGCAGTGATTTTTACTTCATTTTACTTACCCCTAATGCTAGAAAATGACATGCCTCTTCAGGTGGGAGTTTTTTTTTTTTTTTTAGTTGCACCCTGGAAGAAATCAGTGTCTAAGAGACACTTTTGGCATTTCAGAGAGACAAAGTATGGCATAAATAACCAGTGGGGAAGAACAGGGAAAGGAGAGGCATCACCATGCACTTCTTGACATGGGACTGGCTGCTCAGTTCCTAAACCACATCTAGTGCTCCCATGACTTTGGTTACACTGCTCCTGTATCTACACCACCATTCCACAAGCCTCCACCTGGAGTCTCCAGTCATCCATCGGTTTTTGCCTATGTGTTACCTTTTATTCCAGCTTTCCTTGACCTTTCTGTGCAGAGCAATGTAGCACTTGCTTACTTATCTGTAAGTGCCATCAGATCAAGAACCCTGTCAACCTTGTTTATAGTCTATTATCAGAATCTAGTGCAATAATAAGCACCAAGCTGGCCCTCAAAAATGGGTGTTGAATGAATGACTATGTCTCTATATATGTTCTAGAATTATAGTTGTTTGTTTATGTAAAATTTCTCCTTGCTCCAAGACAGCAGAATGCTTTTTTATTCAGTTATTTGTATGCACATAAGAGGGTTCCATATAGGTCTGCTGCACTGATGTGGTATGATGTTTCTATGCCAGAAGTGGAAATAGAATTCTGCCCAAAGATAAGGACATGCTGGGCTCGTCGTCCAGATACTTCTGGGTTAAAATTCCTTGGGCGGAAGGCCTAAGATGCCTTGTGCTGCGTCTGCTATTTAGGTTAGGTATTTATGTTACAGGACCTGTGTGTTTAGGCAGTACTGGTCTCTTCGCTAAAGCAACCTCTAAACATTTTGTTCTGTCCCTCTCCTACCTTCTCACCCCTGTGGACTGAGAAATAGTGCCTGTAACCAGAACTGCAGGCTCACTGTTGCCATATTGCCTCTAATTTTGCTCTAATTTAAATCACAATACCAGTTTGTATACCGTTCCTTCATCTCCTTCCACGTCAAGAAACTCCCTCATGGTCAAAACGCAAACCCAGTGAAAAGTTCAGAGATCAACCATTTTACTTTGGGCCTGGTGGTTTATGCGGAAGAGCTAACCTCCTTCCTTTTTCCCATCCACCTGAGAACTACAACTTCCCTTCTGGAGCCCTGAAGCCGCGTGATAATGTAGCCTTTCTCTACCTCAGTGGCTGTAATGCACACCTTGGAAATCACTGGGATTTACCCAGGCAGACTGAAGTTGTCTTTGGTTGCTGTTTATTTATATGGACTGTGATCTCTTAATTGGAGATGGTGCCTCTCCCAGGGTTCGCTGTTTATCCAAATCAGTATTTGTTAGTCAGAGAGACGTGGTCCGGATGATAAATCAGCTCTGGAGCTCCTCCTGTGATTGCTTCCACAGCTGCTATCTGCCTCCTCACTTCCCCATCTCCCGGGAGGCACCCACAGGCTGCTTCTAGGCCCTCCAGCCTTTTCTGCTGTTCAACTTTTCTCCCAGCTGCGGTACCTACTCTTATGAGTTCATATGTCTTGGCACTAATAACTCCTAGATTTACCCGCTCTGGATTCCTATTTTATTTTATTTGCAATGCCTCCTGTAAATAGTCTCGCTGCTGCAAATGCCTCATGGGGGATGCTGTCTTTCCAGTACACGTTCTGTGCTTCTCCACCCTCTTCATTTTTGCTCCCGTCTCCATCTCCAAATACTTAGTATAGACAAGTGCAGTACTCCTCAAGCTCTGATGCCATCTTGTTCACCTGGGGATCCTGTTAAAATGCAGATTTTCATTCCTTAGGTCTGGGGAGAGGCCTGACGTTCTGGATTTTTAATAAGCTCTCAGGTGATGCTAATGCTGGGGGTCCAAAGACTGCACTTTGAGCATGCTGTGAGGTTGGTCAGCAAAATTTACAAGGTTGCCAAAAATTGGGTGAGCACTTCCTTCACGTCTAAGCTATTGCCAAGTCTTATTGTTTATCCTGATGAATTCCAGATATTCTTTCTTAGGGTTGTTGCTCTGGTGCCTTGTTTACTGCCTCATTCACCAATCACCTGATTCTATCCCTGGTAGCCCTACAGCTTCTTAGTGTTCAGTTTCATTCTACAAATCTGCATACATATCCCACAATATGATAAGACTATGATGTCCCTTTTAGTCAATAAAGATATGTATTTAATTCTATTTTGTTTTGACTTCTAACATGTGGCTTCTAATGTATCCCCAGACCATCCCTTTCCAAAAAGAGGTAGCTAGAAGTAGATGTGATAATGACTAAGGTCAATATTTTGGAATTCCATTCAGCATTGCTTTCCTCCCAACCACTCATCGTTCTATTTGATTTCCAACTTTCTCTCTCAATGTTAATGTATTCTTTCCGAGTTTTAAGTGTTTCATCATAGTGGCTTGGATTTTGTCCAATCCCATGATTATCTCTCTATTAAAATCTTAATACAAAAAAGAAATAAAAAAAAACAGACTGCTCATTACTTTGATTTGTAGCAAAGAGAGAATGGAACATTACCACTAGATTGTTTCAAGAAACCATATTTACATTTGCATCAGCTCAATTTAGGTGCCTGAGTAGGTGCGTGTTATGATGAAGATGCACTTACCAGTCAAAGGGAGGTGGCATGGTCTAGAGTAATGAGCAGGAGACTTCAAGTCAGGAGCCCTGAGTGCTATTTCTGGCTGTGACTGGCTACCTCTCTGACCTTGAACAAGTGCATTTCACATGCCTTAGACCCTAGTAGCCCATCATAAGGCTGCTGTGAAAAGTTGGTCTCTAAGCGTTTATTGCAGTGGGGGCTATGGAATGGAGCAAGGTATGGGGAGCCCGGAAGTCACACATGGAACTGGAAACAGGACCTCTGTTCTTCTAGCTCTTACCATGAGCCTATTAAGAGATGGATCTGAGAAGGAGGCTAATAGATCAGATCTTGTTTTGACAAGGCTCAAAGACATGCTGAGAGGTTGGTCAATGTTCAATTTACAAGATTGTCAAAAATTGGGTGAAATGCCCAAGCCCATCCTGTTATCTAGGAGGGCTTAACCAGAGTGCATATTGTCTCTGTTCTCTTCATGGTGTATCCTAAGACTATGCTTTTCATCCCTGGAACAAAGGAGCCTGCAGTCACCGGCCACTGGAGGACATGCCTAAGAAAGGCCTGCTCAGTGAGCCATCCTTAACTTTAGACACAAGGGCTTGACCTATGGCAACTTTAACATATGCTGGAAACCATCTTGCTCCCTCTGGTAGCCCACAAGGCCAGTAAGAGTGTGCCCCAGAGAAGATCCAATTATTCTTCAGTTGAGTTCCCCTCCCAGCAAAGAGCTGAATTGAAGGGTAAAGGTTAACGTGCTTTAAAAAGGAAAGCAAGAGAACAGTGTTCCCCCTTCTAATATAGGCTGTCGAATGCTAGACCCTCAGCAGACATTAAAGCAAAAAACACCTATGATTCTTATCTCATTATCCTTCCTGCATAGGCTAATTTTTAGAGAACAACCTAATAAAAATCGGCAGTATTTATTAAGCACTATCCTAAGTGCCTACATCAAATACTTCCTTTAATTTTCACCTTAATCCATTAGATAGGCACTATTACTGTCCCCACTTTACAAATAGGAAAATTGAGGAACAAGAAAACTATGTAATTTGCCCGATATTATACAGGTAGAAAGTTGCAGCTCCAGGATTAGAACCCAGGTCACCTGGCTCCAGGACCTTCACTCTTAAGCACCTATGTCTGTATGAATACAAACTTGTAATGAAGAGAAAAACAATCTCTGGAGGTCCGTGATTAGAGAGGCTGCAGCTATTCTAGAATGACTAGTCATCTCAAAGTTAGAGCATACTCCAACATCCTAATAAGAATAGGTATAATTTGTAGTTTAATGTTAGAAACTTGCTGTACAATTGTTTTGATCTGTTCAACAGGTAGAAGAGAAGGAGGGTCTCTTTCCTATGAAATCTTCAAGTGATTCTGCACCAAATATACTGACCCCCTTGAATCATAGGTTTATTATTCTCTACCACAGTGCATCCGCTTATAAATGGAAGACACATGTGGCTACTATCTGATTTCCATGCCCCAAAAGCTTCCTTAAAGGGTGAAACAAAACCTTAATTCTGTTTGAGACCCAGTATTTCCCCTTCAAAGCATTTCTGATATTCTCTGTTGTTTTTTTTTTTCCTCTTTCTACTCTTCTGGATTATAGGAGAGAAATTTGAGGATGACTGTCGATGTATGTTTTACCAGTTTTCTTTGACCTGCTTTAGTCAATCCAGCAAGGTCCTAAATTTGCCAGAGGAAATTGCCACTAGAAACAAAGTGGGAAGGGACAAAAATGAATTCCCACTGGGATAATGTAGAGCCCTACAAGTGCGCATGAGCCACCATTTTGCTTCATCACTAAAGGCAAAACTCGAGGAATGCTCCTGAAGCAGCGGTGTGTGACTATCCTCTCTCTGCCCCACCAAAAGGTCACAAATCAGAATACTACACTCCTGTCAGAATGACTGGTTACTGTTTCCTCAAGTACAGGTTCATGTGCAATAACTGACCCCAGAGAAACAGAATGGCACAGTGTAAGAGCTTGTCACATTAAATGATCAGAAAACCATTACCAACTGATAGAACAGTTGATGGTGCAGAAATGATTACAGACACTCCCCGTGGGCCAACTTGGAGCTGCCGCCCAGGTGCTAAGTGGCTACCAGGCTGTCCGGAAGAAAACTCTCCTGAGGGGATAAGGAAGCTGAGAGTTTGTTCCCTCTAGTTTCTACAGCTCCTTGAAGTGGAGAGTGGTGTTAGGACTCCCAGCCTGACTTCAATTCCAATACACTTTTTAAAAATTATTTTTGGTGATAACAGTGCTTCTGTGAGATTTGGGATAAACTAAAAAGTCTAAGGTAAATTAAATCTTATTTTACTGGACTGGAGGGATTCTCTGCTTAAGCACATTCTAGAGTGGATTTTCTGATTTTTTTGAAAGATTGAAAAAAATTCTTTAATAAAGGGAAGGTCACCCTGAATTTGCCATCTAGAAAGTGTAGGGAGGCATCTTTGAGATTCTTAGGTGTTTACTGACAGCTGAGTTAACCCTCTACTCTGTTCCTCTTCTACTCATCTGCTTTTACCTGAGCAGGTGTAAACTCAGCCCCTCCCAGCCTGAGTTGGTGCTCTCTGCTTCGGTGATGCTATGTGAATTTCTGCTGTGGCCCTTGGAAGATGGCAAGGGCCAGAGTCACCAAAGCAGGGAGTGTGAACTGCAGTCTCTTCCAGGACCAGACTGCATCTAAGCACAGTGGGAGAAAAATGGCCTGAAAGGAGAGCTGGGTAGGTGATTCCTAAGAGTAGGATTTTGTTTCTATGAATCTCTGGGTCCACAAAGTACCAGCCCCTCAAATATCTCTGACCTTGCTCCTTTGTCTGCACCCAAGTGTGGGAATTTTGAAGCAGGTGAATGGCCTCTATAAATGGCCACTGTTTTACCATTTGGGAATCTTCTGACACTGTACTGAATACTCTTAAAACCATACTTCTGCGACCCCTTACTAATCTAAACTGGTTGCCTCGTTACTGCAGATGTTAAAAAAGAACTCCCAGAAAAAAGAAAATGTCTCTAAATATATTTTCAGAACCCAGACTCTGCAATCTGCCTACTTGCGAGCTAATCCTGGCTCCACTATTCACTAGCTTTGTGCCCTTCAGCAAGTTGCTTAACTTCTTTGGGCCTCAATTTCCCCATCTGTAAAATGGGGAAAACAACTGTTTTTCCAACATAGGGTTGGAGTTACTTTATATAAGGCATGCAAGTTGATAAATCTAACAACAGGTCCAAAAACATTAGTGTGTTCATATGACTAGAAATGCATAGCCAATATGTTAACAACAGGAACCTTTAGTTGCCAAAAGAATGGATGGTTTTGTGTTTCTGTTTCCTTTTGTGCTTTTTCATGTTTTTTCTTTTTGCATGAAAAACTAATTTTAATTAGAAAATAAGTATCTTTGAACAAAGAAACAAAATCAGCAAGGCTCCCAGGGTTATCTAAAGATACAAGTAAGGGGAAAAATGGCAAGGGGGCAAGTGGACAGAGGGATCAAAGAGAATTTTGAGTTCACTGGTGCACTGTGGGAGCCCTGGAGGTGAGCACGTGGAGGAGCACTCTATTTTTGAAGTGCAGGTCCAGCAGCCAGGAATATGTGCCTGGCTTATTCCACCTGATGATGGATTAGGCAGGTCTCAGGAGTCTGACTTTCAGCTCTGATGCTTCTGGGGATGGGCCTAAAGGGCCTAACCCCTTTTTCCCACAAGGCCTGCGGAGCCTGGGGTGTTGACAAGGGTAAGGACAGGTTTGTTCCTGACCCTTCAGGGCTCCCCAGACCTCTAAGGCAGGAGCTGGAGCTGCCCTTCCTTTGTTTGTATGTTTAAGTAATTACAACTCATGAAATTAACTAACCCATTAGTTAAAACCTGGCCCCAGCATTTGACTCTGACCTCCTACGGCAGCCTGGGCCACACGCTGACTCCATGCTGCCTGATTTGTCTTCAACTTATAAGCAGCACAACCTATAAATAGAAACCCTTTTGCTAAGTTCCCCAGGAGGTATCAGCAGGTTTTCCAGCTTGTGTGTGTTTTCTTCTTTCTTTTTTTAAAAACTAACATGGTAGGCTTATTTTCCCTGCCTGGTGTTCCTCCAGCTTTCACCTCTAGCTCAGTTTGAGGGCATTCCAGCCTGTTTAGGGGTTTGGGCCAGCACACCAGCAGGGCCTGTGCAGGTTGGGTTCTTAGGGAAGCCCCTGTCTCAGTGGAGGCCCCCACTTACCTATAAATCCTGTACCTGGTGGTGAAACCCTGGCGGTACCGCTCCATGAAGTCAGCATACTCCTGAGCGCGGTGGAAGGGGCCCCGGTCTGTGAGCAGCCAGTCCAGGGGATGCTGGCCAGCTACGGAGGCATGCTGCTCGGGGACCACAGCAGCCGCCGTGGCTGAGACAGCCAACACCCAGCCAGGCAGGCCCAGTGCCAGCAGGGCTGTCCATGGGGCCACCGCCGGCCGAAGCCCTCTAAACCGAGTGCCACACTGCCACCTCATGCTTCTCCCGGGCGATTGGTTTCTTCATTCTCTCGCCACGCTCTCCCGCTCCGTGCTGCTCCTCCAGGGCTCGGAGCTGGAAAAGTACAAAAGGCATTGTCATTTGAGCACCCTGTTACCCCATGGGCCTGTGAGCATCACACATAATTGGGTTGGGCCCATTCCGGAAATCCTTTATGCTAGTAACATAACTTCGTTCTCGGCATTTAGCTAAGTGCTTGAGGTACATCATTTCATTTAATCCTTAAAACCAACCTGTGAGGAAACACTATTGCCATCATTTCACAGATAAGAAGATGAGGCTTAGAGAGAAACTTAAGAAAGTTGCTTAAGTTCACACAGCTATTAAGTGGTAAAACCAGAGTTTGAACTCAGGGGATCTGACTCTTAACCCTTATGTTATGTTGTGTCCATGCATCCTACCTTGACCCACTCGACACCATCCATTTCTGTCTTCCTCTTCCAAAAATGCTCAATCTGTTTCTGCAGTTGCCTCAGACTGTGGGCTGCCTCTCGAAGTTTGATGTAAGGTGAGAAGCAACCCATTTTTCTGGTGGAGAATTGTGAGGTAGAAAAGTACTGAAGTTCCTTCCGTTGCTGCTGTGAAGCTGAGTGACTGTGGGCAATCACTTCCTTCTCTGGGTTTAATGTATATAGACAGCCTTGAAGAGTTAATTTCTAAGACCTCTTCCAGCCTTGAACATCTGATCTACTCTTTTACTGAAGGTCATGTGGGATGGAGTTGGAATGGGGTACTCAGATATTGCATATAGCGTCATCGGAGTGGATCATGCTCTCAAGGATATCCATAATCCTCTCACCTCACCATGCAGCTTGAGAGCACCACGAGGGGCAGGGCTGAGCAATAACTGCTGTATCTTTCTATACCAGCTCCTGAGAGCAGATCTTCACACACCATTCTTGAAGGAATGAATGAGTGCCTGCCCTGCCCTCTCTGAGTTAGACGGAAGATGCCAAGAAAGTAGTAAGATTCTGGCCTTCAAAATTCCTGGCTGCTTTGTGACTCACCACAGGTCTCTGATTTCCAGTGCCTACTCTTTGGTCTGAGAACAGCGAGTCACCTTTTTAAATCTCTGGGCAAATGCACAGGACCGTTCAGTACTGTGGGGCTTCTTGGAATTGTGATCATTTCCTCAATCTTTAATTCCTAGCACATGCTGTCAGAATCTGCCCATCTCCCCTCGTCAGCACCAATTCGGTGTGTGCCAGAATGACCTCCAACCTCCAGCACCTGTATTTCATGGCTTGAGAACATTCTCTGACTGCCAAAGCCCAGAGACAGGCTCCCTGGGGATGAGGCAAGGAGTGTTAATTCCCTGGCAGTTCCAGACTCTGGTAAGGGCAGACAATGTGGACTTCAGTACTTGATTTATGCCCCCTGCCAGAGTCCCCCAGGGCACTCTGGGCTGGCTCCAGTTCAGAAAACCACCTGACTTCCATCGGATCAGTGTGAATCCCAAAGGGGCTGCACAGAGGCTGGAAACAAACATTAATTCTGGAACTCTCCCAGCCTAAAGGTTGGCCTGAGTCTGAGAGATCCGTGCCTCACCATTCATACAGGATGCTTTCAGAAGAGTTGCAACCCCTGCTTAGAAGGATGGAGGACACAGCTTGAGTGGCTGGACGTTCAGCGTCATTCCTTCACTCCAGCTGGTGGATATTGACCACCTCCCATGTGCTGGACAGCTCTTAGAAGTTACCATAGTTCTCACAGAAAGTTTGTTAAATAGCCATTATTAGTATATTTTATTGAGACCCAGAATAGTGGAGCTAAGAGACTGCAGAAGTGGAATACGAGCCTAGGTCTGGCTCCATGACCAGACCTTGATAAAGAATGTAGTACAGCCTAAGGAACTAGAGCAGGCGGTAAGACAGAACCTCGCTTAATGAACTAGAGGTGGGGGCTGAAAGAAGAAAGAATAATGAGGCAGCTCCTGCCCTACCAGATCTTCAAACATGATAAAATTCCAATAATTAAAACAGATGATACTGGCACACAAATTGGACAGCAGATCAATGCAATAGAATAGATAGCTCAGAAATAAACCTTTTTATATATTAGAACTTAGTATATGAAAAAAAGCATCAGACACTAATTGCATGGAGGATGGAATATTTTATACCTAATATTGGAAAATTAGTTCCAGTTGGAATAAAAAGTTAAATATAAAAAATAAAATCATAGAAAGAAGGAAAATCCTCAAATGTTTTATAATAAGCATGCATTACCATGAAAAAAAAAAAACTCTTTTGAAACTAAAAAGAGGAATCGGCTTTGTACATAGAGGGTGTAGGCATTTTTAAATGGATGCAATCTGATGAGGATGCCCAAAATATTTCTCATGTAATCATTCACATATTCATTTATTGAAGAAACATAAATTGAGGGCTCCTAAGTGCCAGACACTCTGCTAAGCATTGACAATACAAAAGCAAGTGCTCATTACATTACCTGAAATTCTAACATTAGCAATTAATTCCTTTTATAAAATATTGTTCTATTTTGTTTAAAGGCATAATGACAAAAGGGATGGGGAAATGTTCATTTCGAAGACTGCAGCTACCTGATACTGGAGGCCAAGGCAGCCAACACAGCAAGGTGGAAATGCGTGGATGCGGGTGGGAAGACACTGGAACACAGAATTCCCAAATGACCAAGATCCCCACACCCTTCTGTGCATGCCCTATATGGTCCCCTCCCCTTGAGTATGGGCAGGACCTGTGAGTATGATGGGATGTCACTCCCATGATCTGGTTGCTAATCAGTTGAATTTGAGTTACGATTCAATGACTGCAGAGTGCATTGAAAGTCCAGATGGCAGATATTTTAGATCATGGTGGTGGCAGTGAGGACAAAGGTTTCTGAATAACCTTGAGCAATACCCGGGGTGGAACTGACCTACTCAGGTGAGCCTTTAGAAGACAGTGAAGCGTCAAGCTTCTGCTGGCCTGGGGAGTAGCAAACAGCCATATGGTGAACTGCTTATGGGGGCCACATGGCTATGAATTATAGATGGGCTCTGGAATCTGAGAGCAATTGCTAGCCAACAGCTAGCAAGAAAATGGGAACCTCAGTCATATGACCTTAAGAAAACAAATTCTGCCAGTAACCATGTGACACTGAAAGAGGATCCAGAGCCTTGGATAAGGACTGCTTCCCTGTCTAGCACCTGGATTTCAGTCTGGTGACACCCTGAGCAGAGGACCCAGTTAACCTGTACCCATGCTCCTGACCCACAGAGACTGAGATAATGCTTTTGTATTGTTTTATGCCATTAAGTTTGTGGTAATTTGTTGCACAGCAATAGAAAAATAATGCAGACACATAAAAGATAACTGTAGGCTCTCCCATTCTGCAAAAGGCCTGGCCTAGTTGGGGTTCTTCATGCTCCCTGAAGACCAGCTGTTATTGTCTGCATGAGAAGAAGCCAGTGTGGCAATTTCTTGAGCAGAATGGGACTGATAATCTTCCCTAACTCAGCTGAGTCACATCACACCCTGCCTGCCTAGTTTATGGACCCCTTAAGGTCAGAGACCATAAGTGGTTTTCAAAAATATTTGATGAATCAATTCCATGCATTTCATTGTGGGGTCATTGTGAGCTACTGAAAACATGTGTCCTTGGCCCAGCTACTTCACCCCTTGGTGCACTGATCTCCTGTGTTGCAATATGGTGGTGTAGTCACCCCCTCACCTAGCAGGAGAAGGTTTCTAAGGACAGGTGAGAGCACACATGTGAAAAACCTGTGTGCTCTTTGAGAGAAGAAAGATATATTAAGTCAACGGGTGCTTCTTGTTATTCTTTGTTTGTAATTATGCTTTTTCAGAACTCACAATGTGCTAGAACCTGCCTGGTTATAGGAGTATCAGCTTTAGAATCAAACAGTTCTGATTGCTGGGCCAAGTCTGCTGAGCACAGCAAGAATGCCTGAATTCAGTGCCGACTGCTCCTCTCAAAAACCTGGCCTTGGAATCATATGGTTTCCGCTTCACTGATTTTTCTCAGTATCTGAAGACATTTTGACTAAGAAATCTCTTTTTAAGAAAGAGAAGTTTTAAACAGGTTTCAAAACTTTCTTTTAAAAACATCCCTAGAACATGTTCCTTTACCTTTTAAAAATGGACAAAATAGTTGCTGCATTGACAGTTGTGTTACAATCAGGCTTTTTAAGGGGAACAGCTTTTGGCCATTTCCTGTTTATGCTCCACAAATAATATCACTAGAAATTTTGCTGCAGCAACCTGTCAAGCAAATTTTAACTGTCTAAATCCTCACAACTTCTGGTGGAACTGCTAATAAGCAGCAAAATAAAATAGTTAGTACCTTCCCCATCGTGCTTCAGTTTTTCCTTCTTGTCCTGAAGCTGACTGCATAAGTAAGCCTCCATGTTATATGCTAGGATATTAAAGTAATGGCTAAGTGAGTTCCTTTATGAAAAGAATTATAAATTTACTAGTGAAAGCCAAATCATTTCACTTACTTAGACCACACTTAAGACGGTTTTACATCTAAAGAAATAATAAATTAGCTTTGCACAAAACGTAAAGGTAAACCAAGTCATGGGTTTTCCTTTGTTAACTGCATCAGCTCAAATCTGTTCTTTAAGCCATGGAGTAAATGGGTCACAGCTTTGTCAATGGAAAAAATCATATATAGATGAAGTCACATGAGAAGTAAGCAGTGCAGTCTTCAAATGGTAGAGCTTATAGGAATCGTGTCTCTACCACTCTCAGATTATTACCCAGCTGAGGACTTCTTGGGAATTTTTTTGCATCCTCCTGTTGTTTTTAATATCCATTTATGCTAGGCATGTCAAAAGACGACACACTCAGGATTTGAGGCATTAGCTGCTGGTGTACCAGATCTTGGCAATTGAGATAGATATTTCTTCATTGAAAATTATTGCCAAGGAGGGGTTATATCTTGGGGAGTTAAGGATATGGCTAAGCTATGGTTATAGGCCTGGAGAAAAGGTAAAATAGGTATGAGAGTAATATTGTAGGTAACAAGGTTGTTAATGTTAATTATCATTAATAAATACCAATATAAGTCATTTCATATTTGTGAGGTAGTTACTGCTTATGAAGCACAAACAATAAAATCACTCTTTTTAACAGATGAGAATGCAGAAGGCAGAAATGGATAATTAAATTGCATGAGGTCACAGATTTCAGTGGTAGATTGAGGTCTACCTATCCTAGATCCCATAGTATTTATACCTCACAGCATCAGTTATATGAATTACAGCTATTAAAAAAAAAAAAAGGAGCCTTTGCCACTTACAAGTTGGCTCCCTCAGGCAAGTCACTTCCCTCTGGGACCTTCACTGTATCATCGGTTAAATGATTTATGAGGTCAGGTGATCCCACCTGCTGCTGATATTCCATAATTCTATGCAAATATAAGGGGCACATATGTAAGGGGAGAGGCATTATGATTTTAGTCTTCTTTGGAAGGAAGCTCTGTTTTTCAGAAAGGGACTGAAACATAAAAGAAGCAGGGTATAAAGCAGGAATTTTTGCCTGCTGGAGCAGTGACATTTCATAAAGTGATTGGGCAGTGACATTAAATAAGTTTTCAAGCCATATAAGTGGTTAATTGGCCAACTCTGTTGAGGAGATGTTTTCTTGAATAAATCTGAGGGTGTCAGTTGTTAAAAAAAAAATCACAGAAATTGTTATTTGTTCTTGTCATCCGCAATATCTTGATGCAAAACCTCCTGTTTTTACAAGAAAGGGAGGGTAGATAGGAGAGATGACAGGACATTCTTAAGAGCAAGGGTGGATGTGGGGGTGCTATCAGCTCAGATCTGTGGCTTTTATTCTTCCCTCTTGTTGCAATAAGCTGTCAACTTCAACAGAGACTAACCATGGTGCTTTTGCCTTGACGATGTGCTCCTGGTTTCATTTTGTAGAGCCTCATCAGGTCCCATAATTCTTCCATTTGAACCTGAGCAGGGGTGACACATTTTGTCACTGCCCTCCCCAGGCTCCAGGATTCGACCTTCAGTGTCACCCTCAGGACTGGCATGGAACTGGCAAGCAATAGGTGATGCATTTCCCCACTGCTGGTCAGGAATGACTTAAAATCAGTGAGGGTATAGATATCCTCACTGTATAGAATCAGGTTAATAATATTAATAATTATGCAATGGTAAGAGCTAATCATAATTACTGTTTACTAAATATTCTTACATTAATTTAAGAACTTTAACAGAGGAGGCCAAGAGAGCCAAAGAGACCCTCTGGAGATCACTCCACAATAAAACAGAAGTGAAACTCGCATATTCTGACTCTGAGACCTATAACTCAGCTCTCCTTAACCTCACTTGCCTCTGTTCATCAAACAGTCAATCAGTTATTAAGTAATGTCTATGCACAAGGACTGTCCCAAGGGATGGGAGTAAATCTCATGAACAAGACGGACCCAGCCTTTGCTTTCATAGGGCAGGAACAAAACATAGGACTTAGGATCCTGTAATGAGCTTAAAAGGTACACAGACACAAAAACACACAGCACTCACACACATGTACAGCTTTAGTGACATTAGACCTAGTAGGATCCCTCCTCTGAGGCCCCAAATTTATAGGTCTCTCTGTGTGATAACCAGCCCTTCACTTAACAAGGGCAGATTCATCTGTCAGTTGCTGAGGCTTCATACTTGCCTGCCGGGTGTCCTTGGTGCTTTCCTTGGTGAGACAAACTAACTGACAGGCTTGCCCAGAGCCCTGAGCGATAAAGCCAGGGGCCGAATGTGCAGACCAGGGAGACCCTTCTACTCCGGAGCCTCCCTTCCAGTCAGGGGGATCACTAGCAAATAGAAAGATGGCACTGCTGATCAAATAGTACTTCTAAATAAAAAGTCGCTCATCCCAAAGCCTTTACAACTTCATCTCCTTGCAGATCAACCTTCCTCAAAACCATTTCCATCCTCCTCCATCATTAAGAAACCCCAGCCACTCCTTGCGGCCCTGAGAACCAATCTGCCTTCCACTTCCAGTCACTGAGCTCCCCTGATCGGCTGTTCCAAAGTGGAGTGGTTTTGAGAACAGACTGCAGAACCTGGCTGCCTGCCTTCCTTGGTTGGTTCCAACACTTTTGCCTCAGGTTCCTCATCTGTTTTTTTGTTTGTTTTTTTCTTTTTCTTTTTTTTTTTTTAAGATAACAATAATAGTGCTACTCCATAGGATTGTGAGGATTAAAAGAGTTAATATTTGTAAAGCCTTTAAAAGGTGTCTGGCCTGACCGGCCACAGTGGCTCACGCCTGTAATCCCAGCACCTTGGGAGGTTGAGGTGGGTGGATCACCTGAGGCCAGGAGTTTGAGACCAGCCTGGCCAACCTGGTGAAACCCTGTCTCTTCTAAAAATATAAAAATTAGCTGGGCATGATGGCAGGTGCCTGTAATCCTAGCCACTCGGGAGGCTGAGGCAGGAGGATCACTTGAACCTGAGAGGTGGAGGTTGCAGTGAGCCCAGATCGTGCCATTGCACTCCAGCCTGGGCAATAGAGTGAGACGCCATCTCGAAAAGAAAAGAAAAAGAAAAAAAGGTGTCTGGCCCATGGTGAGTGCTGTGTGTTCACCATTATTTTTTCCATTGCTCCAACAGGGGTTATTAGCACTAAAAAGAGTCCAAAAACAGTTCATAGACTCATCCAATCTTAGTTTTTGTTTGTTTGTTTTGTTGTTGTTTACAGGTGAGAAAACTGAAGCTTAAAAAGGTAAGATTTCTGTTAAAAGGCGTTTCCTCATTTTAGCCTTTTAGAGGTTTCTCCAGGTCACTCTGAATAACCTCACCAGTCCCCCATCCCTAGTCCTCTGCAGCTGATGACTGTAGTGATGGGTTCAACCCAGGGCCCTTTCACCTTCATCCTGTGGTCACTTGATTCCCCAGTTGTCTGGCTATGAGCCCTGCCATTGTACTCACTCCTGCCTTTCCTCTCTGTGAGTCTACTGTGGTCTCTCACATCTTTTAGCCTCATTTTCTCCAAGAAGCCTTTCAAAGCTCTGTGCATTGATTATGCGGTTGCTTTGGCTTCCTACAGCCTCTGTTCCCTGGTTAATTTCCACCTGATCGTGTCCTGGAACTGGGGAGAAGGGATGGGATCCTGGAGATTACCTGACCCAGTGGTTCTCAGCAGCCTGGAGCACATGTGGTAGTGTGTGTATGTGGGGAAGGTAGGGAGTGGAATGGAAATAGGGAAGGGAGGAAAGAGGGAAATAACTGAGATATGGGGCTGGGGTATATTTTTATAATTTTGAATATTTTTTAAAAACCTCCCAGGAGATTTTGATGCAACATTCTGATGGGATCCAGTGATAAAATTCATGTCACATTGTATCATAAGTGAGAAAACTTTCAGTCACAGAAGTGCAATACGTTATTTAAAGACCCACCACTGGTTTGGGGAAAAGTGAGGACTTGAACTTGGGTCTCTTAACACTAAGCCTAGAGCTTGTCTGTCTCCGTTTTATGTGTGTCAATGGTAAAATTTTCAAAATTCAAAACCCATGAGTCCCAGAGTTGCCATTATAATCACCTCTAATTATGTTTACATATTAGTTACTGTGTACCAAACATCAATCTAAACACTTTCCATGCGTTATTTACTATGCACAAACCCCTGTAAGGTTGATGCTGTTATTATGCCCATTGTACAGAGAAGAAAACTCAGGAACAGAGAAGCCAATAATGTTCTCCCAAGGGGAGTCCTTAATACTATTTACATGACCTATAAATCTAACAGCTACAGACTTGAATAAGATAGCTGTATTCACATGAGGTTATCCTAGATTCCTCTGGGTCATTTTCATTTTAAAAATTGCAAGATTGAAGAAAAGTCTAAAATCTTAAAGTACACAAGCAGGATTCACCTACAATCACTTTTCCAGCTTAGATAAGCATGCTGCTTTTTTGGAAGCTGTGTGGCTCCTGTTTAGATGGCCTGTCAGCATGGCCTCATAAGAACCCAGTGGTATTTCACCTGTGCTGTCTCAAAAACCACAGGTTAGGCGTACTCCTCCACCATGGGCCAATCCACAACTCCTGGTTTCTTGCATGCCCTTGAGTTACAGTGCTCTTCCCTCATATCCCCAAACCCAACTGAGCCTGTGCCCAGATTCCTCATCCCCTTCCTTTCTGCCCAGTCTCCGCATGTCCATCTAAGGTGTAAGAGGCTTGTACCCTGCATTAGGCCGTTATTGCATTGCTACAAAGAAACACCCAAGACTGGGTAATTGATTAAAGAAAAGGGTTTGATTGGCTCATGGTTCCAGAGGCTTTAGAGGAAGTGTGGTGCTCCCATCTGCTCTACTTCTAGAGAGGCCTCAGAAAACTTATAATCATGGCAGAAGGTGAAGGGGGTACAGGCACATCACATGGCAAAAGCAGGAGCAAGAGAGAGAGAGAGAGGTGGGGGAGGTACTGCACACTTTGAAACCACAGATAGGCGTGAACTCAGAGTGAGAGCTCACTTATCACCAAAGGAATGACCCAAGCCATTCATGAGGGATCTGCCCCTATGATCCAAATACCTCCCACCACACCCTACCTACAATGGGGATTTCAACATGAGATTTGGGTGGGAACAAATATCCAAATTACACCACACCCTTTTTGGCTTCTGTGCCTCCTGCTCTCCACTCCCCCATTTCCTGCTGTAGATAGATAGGCCCCCAGGAATTTCCTGCCCTTTTACCTGCTTCTGGACTGCACCCTCTCTTAGAGTTCCTCTTTATATATTCTAGCCATTGGACCTCCTGTTACCAAGATTGCCTGAATCAAACCATTTGGCCCTGCCCCTGGGCATGGCCTGCCCATCTCCCTGGATCTAGCTACTGAAGCTGGCTTAGTCATCTACTTCAATCCCTTGTTGACAGCTGCTTTCGTACTCCAGAGAGAGACCCTTCTCTGTCCCTGCCTCCTCCCAGCAGACTGGCTTCTGTTGCTTAAGCCCCAGCTCACTTCCCAGCTGAGTCTCTGTATATACATAGGGTGGTTTAAGGCCCGGGAAGCCAAAATAAACCCAAGCCAATCACAGAGAAATTGCTCATAACTATGTAGGCTGAAAAATTGAGGTGGGGCTGATAAGCAACTCTCCATTATGACCTGCAGCCCTCAATGTTACTCTTGCTCTTGGCTTTCTGCCAGGCCTGTCATTGAATCTGAACTTTTAGCCCAAGCTCTGCCCTATTTGGACCTTGGCACAAACCAGAATGTAAAATGATAATGCCCTGAGCTGTGCTAAACAGCACAGAGCTCCTGAGATGTTACAGATGCAGCTGTGACCAGCAATCACATTGTTTCCAGGATTGTGTTTGTAAATATATGAGTTGCCTGACAGCTTGTGGAATTAAATATAGATGCTACATCACAAACTCTAGCTAAAATAAACTATATGCCGCTCAATGAATGTCAATAAGTACACAGAGAAAGAATCATTGTACCTTTTTGTAGCATAGTCCAAGACACCCACCACTAAGTGCTTTGTTTGTTTGATAAAGGGCTCTCTCTTTAGGCCCCCATAGGCTTTTGACTGGTATTAGTGGAAAGCTAGGGGGATAGCAGAAGTAAGGAGACAACGGGGTGCAATCAATAAAGCTGCTGCATTGAGGAAATGATGTGTGGTGGCAGGAGCTAGCTTGGAAGTTCCACAAGTAGACTGGAATATCATAATTAACCTTTTGGAATTGCTGACCACAAAGCATCATTTCTAAAAGTATGGTCCAAGGCTCACTGGCAGTTTGCAAGGGACTACTGATGGGGAGCAAGCTGTTCTATCACTGCAAGCTCTCTCTTCAGTTATTAAGCCAAATAACTCTCCTTCCTTTAGATTGATTTTTACAGACAACCAAAGCTTATATATTAGCAATCTATTTAATAATAGATTAGATAGTGGCAAGAATAGAATAGATAATGGCAAGTTGAAGTGACATCAGCAAGATGGTGGAAGAAGGGGTCCCAGGCTTCACTCCTCCCAGAGAAACATCAACTATCCAGTCAAAAACACCTTGGTGAAAATGTGGGAATAAGCCTGAGTCACCTGTGTATTCCATGGAACTGAATCAAACTCCACATGGAAGGGGTAAGAGAAATGGTTTTGCTTTGACCACGTTGCCCTTCCTCTCTCCCCTAAGTCAGCACAGTGCCACACAGAGGAAATTCCCTAGGGCCCATGGTTTCTACAGCGGGAAAGCAAATATCCAACTTTCCCAGCATTTTGAGGTGCTTCCCAGGCAACTCACCCCATTCTCACCTCATTGGAAATGGGGAATGGAGGAGAAAACCACATGACTAGACTATCTGGGGTCAGGTAAAAACAAAGTCAGGAGGTGGAGCCCACAGAGAACAGTAAAATAAATTGTCAAGTGAAACATATTAAAAAATTATGCAAATTTAGACATCACAGATTTTGGTAAAAGCTCAGTGCACCTGCCACTAGTCGTGCTCAATCAGAGGTATCTGTGGGTGTGTAGCTCACCCACAGAGCTGAGCTGGTCACTCCCAGAAGAGGTGGGAAGGGTTACATGGCTTGAGTCTCTAGATGGCCAGCCTCAGACCCTACCCTAGGGTCCTGCCTAGGTAAGAGAAGACCCCCTGCAGCAAATTTCCACAACAAGCAGGCACTAGATCTGCTACAGTCAGGAGCTTAATCTACACTCCCTGTAGCCTTAAAGCTTACCCCTAGACTCTGCCCAAGGAGACTGCTGATCACTGTAGCAAATACTGACAAAAAGCAGGCACTAGTTCTGCCACACCTGGGAGTTTAATCAGTTCTTCTCTTGGCCTCAAAGCCCATCCCCACACCTCACCCATGGAGGAAGGCAAATCTCAGTCATGCATTTCTACTGACCATAGCAGTTAGTCCATTCATCCCAACCTACTTAACTTTGGGGCCTCTTCTGCAACCTTGGTCAACTCCTGAACTCAAATAGCAGTACCTGGCCAGGGAATTACACCCTGTGGCCCTGCCAGACAAGATGTGATTGCAGCATCCATATGGCAGCTCAGCCTAGTAGTAGAGCTCAGCCAGTGATCTTGCCAAACAGCAAAGCCTAGTCAGCTGCCCCACACAAATTCCAGGTAAAAGCAGTAGCCCAGCCATCTAGAGAACTTAAAAGCAAGCCTGCCTTTCCAGGATCATTACTCATCCAGAATGACCCATCCAGAATCATAGGGGTAGATTAACTAGTGAATTTCTATCCCTGCCAAAAAAACAAACTTGTAAAAGCCAGAAAAGTTGTCTGTCTCCACAAATGCATAAACACCGATACAAGGATACAAGGATTATAAAGACTCATAACACCTCCAAAAGAAAGTGACAAAGCTCTAACAATAGACTCTTAGGACAAAGATATCGATAAAAGGACAGAAAAAAAAATTCAGAATAATCCTCTTAAAAATGTTTAGTAAACTTCAAGAAGATACAGATTAAACATTAAATAAAATCTCGAAGATAATACACAAACAGGAGAAGTTTGACAAAGAAATAGAAACTTTTTTTTTAAATGGAGATTTTTAAAATGAAGATTACAGTGACTGAACTGAAAAATGCAATAGAAAGCTTCAACAGCTGACTTTATCAAGCTGAGAAATCAGTAAACATGAAGACAGAAAATTTGAAATTACCCAATCAGAGGAGTAAATAATAATAATAAAGAATGAAGAACATCTATGGGAATAATGGGACATCATCAAACAAGAAACCTAACCTATGCATCATAGGCATTCCAGGAGGAAAGAAAGAAAGAAAGAAAAAGGCCATAAAACATATTTAAAGAAATAATGGATGAAAACGTCTCTAATCAAGAAAAGAAGCCAACACCTAGGTATACAAAATGTGGAGGTCAGCAATAAAACTCTAACCAAAAAAGAATTCACCAAGACATTTAATAATCAAATTATCAAAAATTAAATACAAAGAACAAATTCTGAGAGCAGCAAGAGATAAGAAATACATCACATACAAAGGAGTCCCAATAAAACTATCAGCAAACTTCTCAGCAGAAACACCGCGGGCCAGGAGAGAATTGGATGATATATTCAAAGTGGTGAAGTGAAAAAAAAAAAAAAAAACTACCAACCAAGAATACTTCACTCAGAAAATCTGTCTTTCAGAAATGAGGGAGAAATAAAAACTTTCCCAGACAAACAAAAGTTAAATAAGTTTATCATCACTAGGCCTGCTTGCAGGAATTGCAAAAGAGAGTTCTTTTAACTGAAACTAAAAGATGCTAATTATTAACATAAAATTTATGAAAGTACAAAACCTAATAGTATAAGTTTTATGTAGCAAAATGTGGAATAGCCTAGGACTGTGATAGTAGTATGCAAAGTAATTTTATCCCTAGTACAAGCATTAAAGGATGAAATTGTTAATAACAACAGTTACTGAAATAAATTGTCAAGTAAAACATATTTAAAAAAGATACAATTCAGACATCAAAAACATAAAATACTGGAATGGGGGAGAACTGGAGAGTTATTGTATGCAATCAAAGCTAAACTGTTAGCCTCAAATAAACTATTATAAGTGTAACATGTTCTATGTAAGCCTCATGGCAACCAAAAATCAAAAATCTATAGGAGATGCACAAAACAAAAGAAAACAAAATACATACCCTACGGAAAACCATCAAACTACAAAGACAGAAATGGAGGAAGAAAGAAAATATCCACAAAACAACCAGAAAACAATTAACAAAATGGCAATAGTAAGTTTTTACCTATTAATAATTACCTTGAAAATAAATGAATTAAATTCTCCAATCAAAAGACATAGAGTGAATTTATAGATAAAAATCCAAGGTCCAAGTATATGCTGTACATAAGAGATTCACTTCTCCTTAAGGACACACACATACTAAAAATGAAAGAATAAAAAAAAGATATTCTTTGCAATTGGACAGAAGGGGCAGTGATACTTAGACAAAATAAACTTTAAGTAAAAAACTGTAAAAGGAGACAAAAAAGGACATTATATAATCAATTCATTAAGAGGATATAACAATTGTAAATTCATATGACCCCACAGTGGAGCCACTAAATATGTAAAGCAAAATTGAAACTCTTCCCTCTAAATTCTGGAACAAGTCAAGGATGCCCACTCTTGCCAGGTCTATTCATCATGGTTTTGGAATTCCTTATTACACCAATAAGGGAAGAGAAATATGTAAAAGGCATAAACATTTTAAAAAAAGAAAAAGTGAAATTGTCACTGTTTGCTAATGATATGATTATCTATATAGAAAACCCAAAATAATCTACAACAAGATGTTAGAATTGATGAACAAATTCAGTGAAGTTTCAGGACACAAATCAACATGCAAAAATCAGTAATGTATCTCTACACTAACAACAGAATTTCTAAAAAAGGAATCAAGAGAACAATCTCATTTACAATGGCTATAAAAAAATTAGGAGTAAATTTAATCAATGAAGTGAACTCAGATAAATAAGAGATAGCCCATGTTCATGAATTAAAAGAATAAATGTTGTGAAAATGTCCATACTACTCAAAGCAACATATGAATTCAGTAAAATTTCTATCAGAATCCCAATGTCATTTTTCATAGATATAGAAAAAACAATGGAATATGATTGAGCCTTAAAAAGGGAAGAGATTCTCTCATTTGTGACAACACAAATGGAATTGAAGAACAATATGCTAAGTGACATAGACCAAATACAGAAAGACAAATACTGCATATTCTCAACTAACTATGGAATCTAAAACAATTGAACTCATAGAAGCAGAGTGTAGAATGGAAGTTACCAGAGGCTGAAGACTGGGGAGACTGGGGAGATGATAGTCCAAGTGTACAAAGCCTCAGATAGAAGAAATAAGTTTGATTTTTTTTGATCTATTGCACAGTGTGCTAAATATAGCTAATAATTGAGTACTATACATTTCAATATTACTAAGAGAGTAAATCTCAAGTATTCTGATCACAAAAATGTCAAATATTTGAGGTTATGGACAGGTTAATTAGCTTGATTTAATCATTCCACCTTGTATTCAAAAATCATAGCATCACTTTTTGCCCCATAAATATATACAGCTATATTTTGTCAATAAGTAATTTTTAAAATCCTAAAAAATAATGAAAAGTTGGTATTCATACACTAAAATCAGCCCCATGTAAGAGTTTGCTGATGATTCTCATTTAGCCTTCAACCAAAGTTTGTTGCCATGTAATCCTGGTCACTGATGCAAAACTCCCATCATACTGCCTAAATCACGGAAATCCCCACTCCTGGTGTTGGTGCCAAATGAAGGGTACTTGGCATTCAGGAAAACTTCAATGTTGTCCTAAGGGTTAAGGTTTTACTTGTGTTCATCATTTGGAATTTATTGCAACTGCTATGTTGTTTCCAATTTTATTTATTTGTTTGTTGTATTCCTCTTTAACTTTTTTTTTCCAAGATGGAATTTCGCTCTTATGCTCAGGCTGGAATGCAGTGGTGCGATCTCGGCTCACTGCAACCTCCGCCTCCCAGGTTCAAGTGATTCTCCTGCCTTGGCCTCCCGAGTAGCTGGGATTACAGGCTCCGGCCACCAGGCCCGGCTAATTTTTGTATTTTTAGCAGAGATGGGGGTTTCACCATGTCAGACAGGCTGGTCTCGAACTCCTAACCTCAGATGATCCACCCACCTCGGCCTCCCAAAGTGCTGGGATTACAGGCATGAGCTACCGCACCCGGCCTTTAATTCTTTAACATCAAGTTTTTTCTCCATTAGAAAGTGAGACTGTAGACTTAGACTGAAGCAATTTGGACACTGTTTGAAGGTCCTTGTGCAAAATTAAGAGCCCCCCCATAGAAGAACTTGAGTAATTCTAAAGAAACCTGACTTAATTTTGGCTCAGACTGCTGCTGACTTCCTAAACTATTCTTGACAAATGAAACCTTTTGTAAAATGTGGTAATAATTTTCCCATTTCTTTCCTTTTAAGAAAGTTAAAAAAATATCTACTCATTCATCCAATTAATGTTTATTAGACAAAGAACATTCCATTTAGCTAGGACATAAAATAGAAGAAAGGGAAGATGGGAGAAAAGGCTGAAATGTAATGATTTAGTTTTTTTGAAAGAAAGCTGTGTGAAAATCCTTGTTATAATGCTCCTGCAGCAAGCCCTATTAACCAAAGTCACATCAAGAAGACCATGCTGACCAGGACTTGCACACGTCCACGACTCAGTGATAATAGAGGTTCAAATCAGTCACTTCTGAATCAAAACAGATTAATTATTTTCAGCCTAATTTTGAATTGCATCAGTGGTTTTCAGTCAATTCTTTAGAAAATAGTATAAAGTAACTTTATTATTCAGTATTTTAAAAATCAAATTATTTTATTTCTTGAACATGGTGAATAATAGAAAATTTACTTAAGACAGAGCCAACCATTTATTCCTGTGGTTCTCAATTAGGGAAGGAGAAGGGGTGATTTTGCCCCCAGGAGACCTTTAGCAATATCTAGAGACGCTTCTGGTTGCAATAAATGAGGGCTGGGTGCTCCAACTAGTGAGGTAAGGCCAGGCGTGTTTCTCAATAGCCTATAATGCACAGGACAACTCTCCACCATAAATAATTCCGTGACCCCAAATGTCAGTAGTGCTAAGATCGAGAAACGCTGATTTATGCCAACAAATTTTAATGAATCAAGACTCATAAAATGTCTCTGAAAAATGTAAGACCAACTCTTTAGAGAAGTTTTTCATTTTGTCTAGTTTGCCAACACACATCATGGAACAAATGATCAAAGATTACACATCTCCACATCTTTTCCTTTTAGGCCTCTGGGTTCATGCTTAATAGGACCTTCATAACAATAACAACAATAAAACCAATAGAAAATATCTATTTATTAAGCACATATTTTCTTTTGGGAACTATGCTAAGCACTTTATTTCCACCAAGGTAGGTATTATACCCAGTAGTGCCCAGTGGCGCTCACCTAGCTTCAAGATCTTGGTTCCAAAGTGCTATTCTCCACTAAAAGGAATTAGTGCTCCTTGGAGAAATGGATGATTATAGAACTGTGGCAATTAAAGCATAATATGAGCCTGGAACATTTTTTTGTGTGTGACAAACAGTAGTGTGCTGGTGAATTTTTAACACCCAGAGCTGGGGGAAAAAGCTCTGATTGTAACATGTGCAGACTTCTGTGATGTAAATACCTTTACCATACTAGGTTCCAAGCTACTGACTTGATAGGATTAGCTCACAAATATCCTGAAAATTTTACAATGGGCTCTTCTAAGCTAGTGTGAAACCAACTCCAGCACACCAATAAATTTTTTTTTTTTTTTGAGACAGAGTCTTGCTCTGTCGCCCAGGCTGGAGTGCAGGGGCACAATCTCAGCTCACTGCAAGCTCCGCCTCCTGGGTTCACACCATTCTCCTACCTCAGCCTCCCAAGTAGCTGGGACTACAGGTGCCCGCCACCATGGCTGGCTAATTTTTTGTATTTTCAGTAGAGATGGGGTTTCACTGTGTTAGCTGGGATGGTCTCGATCTCCTGACCTTGTGATCCGCCCACCTCAGCCTCCCAAAGTGCTGGGATTACAGGCGTGAGCCACCGCGCCTGGCCTAAATGTTTTAAATACCCTAAAAATAATGGGTGTATGTCAAAAGGACACAGAGCCACCTTGAAAGGGCTCCCCTCATGAACTCCAGGACAATGGCAAATAGATTACATTTCAGTGAGTAAAATACTAATCTATGAGGCCACATTTTATCTATCATCTATCTATCTATCTATCTATCTATCTATCTATCTATCTATCTGTGTCTATAGAGATATGTAGACAGATGGCACATAGGTAGGTAGGTAGATTGATTGATATACTCAAACAGAGAAAGAAAAGAAACCTTTTATTTATAATATAATGTCAACTAATACATGCACAAAAATTATGGAATTAGAGAATTATTATTTAGCAATCATCACAGTGATAATCCATTGAGGTAAGAAACATAAATCACTGCCAAACGATGGGATAAAAGTTGATGTAGAATGAGATATTTCACAGTTTTAAAGTATTTCTTCAAAACACTTATACAGAGAAAAAAAATAACTTTACTGTGGACAAACATGACAGCTACCATCTTACTCAAGTGGTCAGTTAATACCACCAGTAATAACCCAAATAAAAATCATGTGCCAGCTGATAGGATCCAGTGAGATCATAGAATCACTTCTGTGATAGTCCTGCCAAAAAGCCATAACTTGAATCATAATGAACAACACAGGGCTGGACAGAACGAGGAAATCACAGACAAATCTAAATTAAGGAACATCCTACAAAATAACAAGCCTGTAATCTTCAAAAATATTAAGGTCATGAAGGTCAAAGTAGGACGGAGGAACAAATTGTTCCAGATTGAAGGACACTGAAGAGGCATGACAAGTACGTGCAATGTACAATCCTGAACTAGATCTTTTGTCATACAGGCTGTTACTGGGTCAGCTGTAAACCTTGAAAGGGTCACTGGGTGAAGGGCCCATGAGAGTTATTTATAGTCTTGCATAACTTCCCTGTAGAGCTGAAATTACTACGAAGCACACAGGAGAAAAATGAAAAAAATAAAGTTATATATATTTACACAGTTGATGGGGCCAACATTGACATCTTGGTTCTAATTTTGACATCTATGCTATTTACCAATCTACAATTTTAAAATATATGCTCTTTTATTGAAACACATGAGGAATACCTTAGACGTTGTAAGACAGATCCTCATAATTTAAAGCTTTATGGACATAACTGGAGACTTGTTATCTGGTTGTATCCAGGGTGGTGCAATAGAAATATAATGCAAACCATATATATACATGTACATAATATATATATACATAATATATATATTAAATTTACTAATAGCTATATTAAAAATATAAAAAGAAATAAATGCACCTAATTTTAATAATATTTTATTTAACCTAATCCAAAATATTGTCATCTGAACATGTAATCAGTATAAGAAAATTATGACTGAGTTTTTTTTTTCACACTGAGTCTGAGATCTGGTATGTATTTCACATTTACTGCACATCTCAGTTTAGATAATAATTTTTCATCGGAAAGTTTTGATTCTCTATTTAGATGTCAAATAATTTATAGTTAAAAAATAGATTCACCTATATGAGTTACTCCAAGAATACTTAAACTTTTTCTAACATCTGAACTGAGTATGTTTTTAACTTAAAAAAATAAAAACTTAAAATTTAGTTAATTAGTTGCACAAGCTATATATTAAATGCTCAATGGCCACATGTGGCTGGTGGCTATCATAATGAACACAGGGCTGGACAGGTCTATATTTCATCCATTCCTATATATTTCTATGTATTTATTGTTGTGCATGTACATTGCTCACTCCATTCCTATATACAAATATGTACTGTAACTTTATGAAGAGCAGTGTACTCTTTTCATTTTGTTGCCTCAAGCAGAAAGATTTTGAGTGAAGCATGGTTCTAGACAAGTGAAGGAATCAGAGGGCCTGGCTCCTGATTTTCCACCTCCAACTGCTTGGTTAAACTCTCTTGAACCATGGCTGTCTCTGCTCTGGAACTTAGGTGAGTAAATATAGAAAGCACACAGCAGAATGGCACCACAAGGGAAAGATTATATGACTGAAAAGCACTAGATAAATATTAACTTGTTAGGCTGTTTTTATTTTTAGAGACCAGAAGCAGAGGACAGAAGATATTGCCATCACAAATTTCTCTGACTTTGGAGAAGTCAGTGAATTTGCTATTTTGACTTCTCTCCTGTAATGATAATAAAAGTACGCACTGTTCTATTCCAACAACCCTCACACATCTACACCACAGAATGAATTAGAAAATGTCAGCAAAATGCTATGCTCTCAAGAAAGAAAAGTATTGCAAATGAATTTATATTAATAATTGTTGCCAGGTGCTGAAATTATGGATGCTCTTTACCTTCTTTGTTAGGATTTTATGTATTTCCAAATTTTCTATAAAGCGATGAATTATTTTTATAATCATAAAAGCTCTTTTTCTAACTAAAAAATTAGAACAAGGTATTATGAATACTCTTTTATCTCCATTTTTTTTCTTTTTTTTTGTTATCTATAAGACTCTGAGTGAGACCTGAGTGTTAGCTGTTCTTACCGGAGAGCTTCAGCCACCAATTTGAACAGCTGGTCAGACAATCCTTTCATTTCCAGGATCTCAGTGTCTCACACTTGGTTGCTCCACTTGCGTGAGGCGGAGCTGGGGTTTAGTCTAAACAAACAGAAACAATTCATCACACTCATTCACAAATGTCACTCCTTTAGCTATTGCCCAGCCCCACCATTCTTGACTCTCTGCCAGTTCTACAGCCTTGTGCTTAGTCAGTCCTTGGCCAAGCAGCCTGTGAGGATGGCCCAGGCAGATCTTGGAACTGGTGCTGGTGATTCAGCAGGAAGAGGCTTTCTGTCTCACTCCATCCATCCTCACTCTCTGCCCTAATGAGCTGCCCAAAGGCTGCAGCTGCCCTCCTGACATCTCAGCTGGTGTGGAGGGCCTAGGGAGAAATTACCCATATGCTTTCTGTGCTTGTCGATCCCTGAAGTTTCAATTAAAGATGGTTTCAGATCTTTTTTTCTTTTTCTTTTTTTTTTTTAAATATCCTAACTTAGAACCCCTTGCTTCCCCTACAGGGCCACCACATACTGTGATGCAGATTGTCCTTGCACAACACCAAGAGGCACCATTCACACTGTAGCCTAAGTGAATGGCACCCTGTGTTGTTGAGCGGAACACAACCCATGCGGTCACACACAGGGCCCTGCCACTTCTGTGTTTTACCTCTTAAACTCCAGAATGACAAGCCTCACTCTTGGTGATGCAGCACAGTTGTAAAGGTGCAGGGAATAAAGGCAAGAGACGACCCAAGAGGCAAACAAAAGAAGAAAAGTACATTTGCCTGATCACGTACATTTCTGGGTACCATCAACACACCCCTGGAGTACAGTACCCTGAGGTGGCTTGCCAGGGTTCAAATATGTAATGCGTTTTGATAAACTCCAATTGTGTTATTTGTGCCTTCAAAGGATTCTTATTGAGGCTGGGACCCAAACACGTCAGTGTCACTCCTAGACACCTTCCTTTTCAGCACTTACTGTGATAACTGTGTTAAAATCAAATCTTACCTGTTCATTAAGGAAATAACAGTTAAAGGACAACAGCTGAAAAAAGAAGAAGATGAAGAAAAAAAAAATCTGTGGCTATGATGCAAATGTAGAATGTAGTGGAGAAGGGGCCAGAGAATAATGCACACTCTCTACAGATTCAGCACCTGGGATGCATTTCTCTGAAGGGCAGTTACCAGCAGTTAGTGGGTTACAGCCGTCACCACACCAGGGGATAAGGAGAGTGGGGAAATGGTTAAGTACACTTTTTTAAAAGACAGTACTTATCTACTTATTCTCATTTGTTGGATATTTGTTTCAAACACAAAACTATCCTTCCCAAATTTGCCTCTCAACACTGTTCTTTAACCTACTTACATACAGTGCCTGCCTGTCTTTCCACAAACATCTTTAAGCTTGACTTCTGCAAAACCTGCGGCAACTTTCCAGTCTCCAAGCCTGGGAGGCATCTTAGTACCTGTGGCTAGTACTTACTGAGCGATGACTGGGTGTCAGACATTGCTCTTACTGCTTTTCATACATTGTCTCATTTGATCCACAGGACAATAAAAAGCTTTGTGTTCTACTGTTAGATTCTTTTTATGGATGAGGAAATTAGGAGCTAAAGAGATTAATTTCTAAAGCAGCATTTCATGGCCAGAGTGGGTTGTCTGGGTCCAGAGTGCAGGTTGTAACCACCAGGTTCTACACCCCTCAATCCACTTCTCCCCCATTACCCTAACTTGTCTGCGGCGTTTGGCACTGCTGGCCACTCTGGCCTGACTTTTCTCTTTCCTGGTTTCTGTCTTTCTGTCTTTATTTTGCTTTTCCTGCCTCCTGTCTAGATTTAGCTTCTTGGTTCACTTTCCTCACTTCACCTCCTTCCACCTCCAGGGCCTATTCTAACTCTCAGCCCCAGGAACCAGCCTTTTTTGAGGGAGCAGGGAAAGGGAAGCAACCAGAGAGAAACTGTAACCAATGTAGCCAGAGAAATATTCCAGGAAAACGGCCACCATGTCGGCAACTGACATCTGGAATTCTAGACTCATCACAAAGGCCCTTTGTTTCATAGAGAAAGATGCAGAATCCAGATTCTGAGGTTTAGACTTACATATGCGACTAATGGTACAGCTGGGACCAGATTCGAGGCATGTATTTGCCACTCAGCCCAGAGACCCTTGGTTGCACCCCACTCCTCTGACAAATCTCTGGTTCCAACAAATGCCTGCAGGACTCTGTTATCCACACAGGACTTCCACATGCCCGCCCTTACATGGCTGCATCCTATGACAACACTTGTTTTCAGCAACCCTACTCTTCCCCCTTAAATGCCTCCTTCCCACCCTGCATGATTCCTCCCTTTGCCTCAGGTTCAAAGTTTTCTCAAAGTTTGCCTTCTATCTGTCTACCTGTGAGCTTGGTTTTTCCAAGCTGTTAGCCACTCAGGCTCTAGGTAACATCTTTCTTCTTCTATAGGATTTATTTGCAGCAGGATACAAAGGCCATTAGTAAATCAATAACCCTTTACTTAGAAAAGGAGGGGAGGTAGAGACCTGGAGTTTTTAATTCAGATCTAGCAACTCCTGAGGCATTATCAGGAGCATTCTAAAAATAGGCCTTTGAAAGGCCTGATGTGCTAGTGTTGCAGCTTTATAGCTTCCTGCCCATAAACAGAAGCAGCTTGCTATGTGTGGAATCATTAGCTGAAATCTCCCTCTCCTGTGGTTGTTATGTTTTCCTCTAACTCTAACACCATATGTATTATCTATTGCTCTGGGGCTGTATGTTTCTTTCACTCTTGCCCCTAATCTCTTCTATCCACATATGTCTTAGATGTGGATGTCTTAGATAGATGGACTAACTTTCCATCTATCAGTGTGTTTCCATCTCACCCACAAAATACTTCTGTCACTCTCTGAAGCCTCATTTGCCAACGTAGCCACGTTGAGTATCCATAAGTCAGCACATGTCCTAGTGCCTTTCATGCTTCCTACTAACATCTGGGGACTCCTATCACTGGCTGTCCTTATCCCTCTTCTTGTCCCACTGTCTCCACACAGTTCTTCAGGCATGTGTGTGAGTGGGGCAAGAGTAGTGGTGACATGACCACGTGCTTTAAGGCCAATGCTGTGATATCTAAAATAATACACGTAAGATTTAGCTATAAAACATCAGAGTTCTGCATCTCCTTTCACCTAGCAAGTCTACATCTGGACAATTATTTTGAAGATGTACACAAAGATTCAGCTACAAGGATGTTAGTTGGGAGAGGGAAAGCACCATTTACCTGGCCTTTTGTTTCTAAAGAATATACTAACAATCTATTACTATGTAACAAATGTGTAACAAATTATTTTCTTACCTTATAACAAAATTTAGTGATTGGAAATGATAATAAATATTTACTATCTCACCTAATCTCTGTGGGTCAGAAATTTGGGTGGCTCTAACTCTGGGTCTCTTATGAGGTTGTAGCCATAATGCCTGCCAAGGCTTCAGTCATCTGAAGTTTGACTGGGGAAAGAGGATTCAGGTCTAGGGTGGTTCATTGTCAAGGCTGGTGGGTTGATGCTGGCTGTCGGTAGGAGGTCTCCATTTCTCTTCATGTGGCCCGCTCCACAGGGCAGCTTAAGTATTCTCACAACATCTCACGTCTCACAGAATCTGGCCTCCCCAGAGAGAGTGAGCCAAGAGATAGCAATGCAGAAGCTGTTATGACTTTCATGACCTAGCCTTGAAAATCACACATCATCATTTCTGCTGTATCTTTTGGTCACATAGACCAGCACTGATACGCTATGGGAGGGGCCTATGCAAGGGTGCGAATACCAGGAACTAACGAGTATTGAAGGCCATCTTGAAGCCTAGCTGTCACATAGGAGAAGACTTCACCATGAAATATACTCCTGGTCTCTCTCCTCACCAAGAACTATTGGTATTGTGAGTTTGAGAGAAGCACAGAGCTCACACTGACCTGTTAGTTCTAGACTTCTTTCTCT
This sequence comes from Homo sapiens, assembly GCF_000001405.40. Lineage (NCBI taxonomy): Eukaryota > Metazoa > Chordata > Mammalia > Primates > Hominidae > Homo > Homo sapiens. The sequence goes on along the minus strand of NC_000001.11, from coordinate 177,205,707 downwards.
TTTCCAGCTAGACAGCCTGCAGTGGATGGGCATTCTGCCTGTTTTCTGTTACCCAATAAACTTAGCATAGCAGGCCCTGCCTGTGTGGTCAGCCTGCTAAATCCACACATTTAGGGAAGTAGCAATGGGAAGGCTTGTGTTGTCTGGCCTGATTTGGTTCCAGATCAAGGTTATCCTAGGATCTGTACTCATTCTTCTCAGGAATGAAGCTGATCTTTACTTGCGTCTTATTCCTCAACTGAAATTCTGTTGAAGAAAAATGGAGGCCAGGCACAGTGGCTCACGGCTGTAATCCCAGCACTTTGGGACACTGAAAGAGATCACTTGAGGTCAGAGGTCAGGAGTTCGAAACCAGCCTGGCCAATGTGGCGAAACTCTGTCTCTACTAAAAATACAAAATTTAGCCAGACATAGTGGTGGGTGCCTGTAATCCCAACTCCTTAGGAGGCTGAGGCAGTAGAATTGCTTGAACCCAGGAGGTGGAGATTGTGAGCCGAGATCATGCCACTGCACTCCAGCCTGGAAGACAAGAGTGAAACTCCATCTCAAAAAAACACAAACAAAAAAAGTATAGGTGAAGAAAGAAGTGCTATTTGTTGACACTTCCCCCACACGTTCCTAAACACATTTTATATTATATAATATGATATTTACAATAGTGGAAAATCCAAAGTAACCTAAATATCAAATAATAGATTGCTTGAGCAAGTTATGACATATACATATGATACAGTATAATACAATCATTTAAAAGTATGCCATACAAGAACACTTAGTGGTATGAAAAATTATTTAGGATGTATTAAGTGAAAAATTCAGGTTATAAAATAGAATGCAAGTTTTTATTCCATTAAACATAATGTATATCTGCTTAGAAAAAGACTCTATATACACACACAAAAACATCATTTGTAATTATCACTGGTTGGTAGGTTTATGGGTAGTTAAAATTTGCTTCATTTTGGCTAATCTGTTTTTCCTAAATTTCCTATATTTTACATTCATTACCTTTGTAATGAGACAAGAAAAGAGAAAGAGTTTCAGATGGTAGTTCAGGGGTTCAATTAAAAGTAATCAGAAATTTTTAACCTTCTTTATTAGAGAGAGAGCCGGGCATTGGTGTTACCAGCCCACTTGCATAAGCCCATTTGACACCATTGATCATTGCCTCTTTCTTAAACATATTTTCTTAGCTTTCTTGGCCCCACTCTCTTTTTTTTTCTGCTTGTTCTGTGGCCACTCCTTATAAACTCATCCTTCTACATCAAGTCATTCAATTGGAGTTTCTCAAAGCTCAGCTCTAGGCCTTTTCTCTCTCTTGCTGTATACTTTACCCCCTGGTGACCTCACCTCCATCCATGGCTTCACAAGGCAGTTAGCCACAGAGCATATGAGATTCACACCTCCACCCTAGGCCCTCTCCTGAACTCACATGATTTGTGTTCTACCTAACTGACTACTTCAACTAGGTGTCTCAAAACGGCCTCAAATTCAATATACCCAACCAGCTTCATAATCTCGAGTGGTTTCTATCACAGTGAAGGGCAAAATAATACATCTATTCTTGTGGTTCTTATAACGTAGGATGCATCTTGGAATTATCTGGAAAGCCATAAAACACACCAATGTCTGTATCCCCAAATGTTCTGGTTTAAAAAGCTAGGGATCTGGTGCCTTCAACCACAGGGCACTTGCTCCTGATATTGGCACTCCTATGCGGGGTCTGTCCCCTTATCTCTTAGCCCACAATTCTGAGTTCCAGCATCAGGGCTTTAAGGACGCCTTCCTTGAATCTCTCTGTCAGGGTCAAATTCCTGATTATAGCCTCTTGAAACATCACCTCTCTTTTACTCATAGCACGTTTCAATTATGATTGTACATATTTGTTTGGATCATTGTTTGGTCAAACTCTGTTTCCCCTGCTAGTCAGTAAGTTCCAAAAAGGCTGCATATTATTTCTTTTGGTCCGTTTTATCCCTAGCATCTTTTATATTAAATAACACATAAGCGGCACTCAAAAATGTTCCTTAAATCAATAAAAAGTGAATTGGTTATGGTTTATTGGTCCCCACTTCATACCAGTGCATTCAGATGACAGCATGAATCTTGCCTTATCCCAGTGGGTCTTTTTTTTTAAATTTTTATTTTCATTCCTTTATTTCATATTGTTTTCTTTAGGATTACTTTTTGTTTGTCCTAAATGTTTTCTTTTTTTATTTTTTTATCGTTATTATACTTTAAGTTTTAGGATACATGTGCACAACATGCAGCTTTGTTATATATGTATACATGTGCCATGTTGGTGTGCTGCACCCATTAACTCATCATTTAGCATTAGGTATATCTCCTAATGCTATCCCTCCCCACTAACCCCACCCCACAACAGTCCCTGGTGTGTGATGTTCCCCTTCCTGTGTCCATGTGTTCTCATTGTTCAATTCCCACCTATGAGTGAGACCATGCTGTGTTTGGTTTTTTTGTCCTTGCGATAGTTTGCTGAGAATGATGGTTTCCAGCTTCATCCACGTCCCTACAAAGGACATGAACTCATCATTTTTTATGGCTGCATAGTATTCCATGGTGTATATGTGCCACATTTTCTTAATCCAGTCTATCATTGTTGGACATTTGGGTTGGTTCCAAGTCTTTGCTATTGTGAATAGTGCCACAATAAACATACGTGTGCATGTGTCTTTATAGCAGCATGATTTATAATCCTTTGGGTATATACCCAGTAATGGGATGGCTGGGTCAAATGGTATTTCTAGTTCTAGATCCCTGAGGAATTGCCACACCGACTTCCACAATGGTTGAACTAGTTTACAGTCCCACCAACAGTGTACAAGTGTTCCTATTTGTCCACATCCTCTCCAGCACCTGTTGTTTCCTGACTTTTTAATGATCGCCATTCTAACTGGTGTGAGATGGTATCTCACTGCGGTTTCGATTTGCATTTCTCTGATGACCAGTGATGATGAGCATTTTTTCATGTGTTTTTTGGCCGCATAAATGTCTCCACCCCAAATCAACAGAATATACATTCTTTTCAGCACCACACCACACCTATTCCAAAATTGACCACATAGTTGGAAGTAAAACACTCTTCAGCAAATGTAAAAGAACAGAAATTATAACAAACTGTCTCTCAGACCACAGTGCAATCAAACTAGAACTCAGGATTAAGAAACTCACTCAAAACCACTCAACTACATGGAAACTGAACAACCTGCTCCTAAATGACTATTGGGTACATAATGAAATGAAGGCAGAAATAAAGATGTTCTTTGAAACCAACAAGAACAAAGACACAACATACCAGAATCTCTGGGACACATTCAAAGCAGTGTGTAGAGGGAAATTTATAGCACTAAATGCCCACAAGAGAAAGCAGGAAAGATCTAAAATTGACACCGTAACATCACAATTAAAAGAACTAGAGAAGCAAGAGCAAACACATTCAAAAGCTAGCAGAAGGCAAGAAATAACTAAGATCAGAGCAGAACTGAAGGAAATAGAGACACAAAAAACCCTTCAAAAAATCAATGAATCCAGGAGCTGGCTTTTTGAAAAGATCAACAAAATTGATAGACCGCTAGCAAGACTAATAAAGAAGAAAAGAGAGAAGAATCAAATAGATGCAATAAAAAAATGACAAAGGGGATATCACCACCGATCCCACAGAAATACAAACTACCATCAGAGAATACTATGAGCACCTCTACGCAAATAAACTAGAAAATCTAGAAGAAATGGATAAATTCCTCGACACATACACTCTCCCAAGACTAAACCAGGAAGAAGTTGAATCTCTGAATAGACCAATAACAGGCTCTGAAATTGAGGCAATAATTAATAGCTTACCAACCAAAAAAAGTCCAGGACCAGATGGATTCACAGCCGAATTCTACCAGAGGTACAAGGAGGAGCTGGTACCATTCCTTCTGAAACTATTCCAGTCAATAGAAAAAGAGGGAATCCTCCCTAACTCATTTTAAGAGGCCAGCATCATCCTGATACCCAGTGGGTCTTGATGAGATCAAGGTGTATCAATCCAGATCCTCAGTCCAGATTCAACCACAGGGAGCTCCATTCATGACATAGGCTTTGAGACAGGCAAACTTCAGCCAGCTAAATATCCAACAAATTTTAATTCTTCAAGCAAAAAATTTTCAGTGTTAACTAACTATATCTAAGCAAAGTGTTTGTTACTATGAAGGCTGACAAAAAGTACAAGGCAAAATCTTTGACTTCCAGTGACAGGCAAGGACTCATTTTTGGGCCTCAAGAGAAAACTGAAGAAATAGTGTACCTTCTCTCTTATTAAAGAAATAGTCCTTTATGACACAATAGATGAAGCCAAAATTGCCTGAAGCGTCCTGTCCAAGCCAATTAAAAGAGAAACATGTTAGAAGAAATTAAACTAAAGGCATAGCTGTGCCATCATCAGTTTAGACCTCTGAAACTCTTAGATGTCCAGTTCTATTCAATACCTGTTTTGTTTATTTATTTTTTCTTTTTTTTATTTCAATAGTTTTGGGGGAAACAGGTGGTGTTTGGGTATATGGATAAGTTCTTCATTGGTGATTTCTGAGATTTTGGTGCACCCATCACTTGAGCAGCATACACTGTACCCAATGTGTAGTCTTTTATCCCTCACCAACTCCCACCCTTGCCCCTGAGTCCCCAAAGTCCATTGTATCATTCTTTTGCATCCTTATAGCTTAGCTCTCACTTATAAGTGAGAACATACGGTATTTGGTTTTCCATTCCTGAGTTACTTCACTTACAATACCTGTTTTATAAATAATGAAGCACTATAAATATTATTTTTATCTCATATTTATTTCAAAAAATATTGAGTAACTGCTACATGTTAAGCAGTAATCAATTATTTAATCTTATGATGCTTACTTTCTGGTGGGTAGGTGTGTATACACAGTAAACATACAAATAAATACATACACAAAGTATTAAGTGATCATAAATGCCAGGAAGAAGAAGAAAGCAGGGCAAGGAGAGACGGGGTGTGCTGCTTTATATAGAGTACTCAAGAAATAGGTGTATTAGAGCAAAGACTTGAAGCAAATGAGATAGAAACCAAACACGGCATTTGGAAGAAAAAAGTATGACAAGCCGAGGGAGGAATGAGTACAGGTAGGAGGAGCCTGCTTTACTTGTTAGAGGAATGGCCAGGAGGCTGGAGTGGTGATGAAGCAGTGAGTGGGAGAGCAGGAGGAATGGGGTCAGATGGGCAGCGATGAGCAGATTTTGCAAGACTCTGTAAGGACTTGAGATTTTCATCTGAGTGTGACATTGTGCTGTAGAAGGTTCACTGTGGCTGCTATGTTGCTCTGGCTGCTATGTTGATAATGCATTAATGCATTCTTTTTTTTTTTTTTTTTTTTTTTTTTTTTGAGACAGAGTTTCCGCTCCTGTTGCCCAGGCTGGAGAGCAAGGGCGCAATCTCAGCTCACTGCAACCTCTGCCTCCTGGGTTCAAGCGATTCTCCTGCCTCAGCATCCCAAGTAGCTGGGATCACAGGCATGTACCACCACATGTGGCTCATTTTGTATTTTTTAATAGAGATGGGGTTTCAGCATGTTGCCCAGGCTGGTCTCGAACTCCTGACCACAGATGATCCCCCTGCCTCAGACTCCCAAAGTGCTGGGATTACAGGTGTGTCCCACACCTGGCGCCTGGCCTGAGAATACATTCTAGGATACCATGGGTAAAAGTAGAGACCAGTTCAGAGGTCAGAATAATGGACCAAGTAAATGATGATGGTGGCTTAGACTAGGACAGTAGCTGTGAAGATGGTGCAAAGTGGTCAGATTCTCTACATATTTTGCACATAGAGCCATGAATATCTGCAGATGCATTGCTTGAGAAGAATAAGGAAAAGAAAGGAGTTTGGCTATATTCTATAACTGAGTGCATTTTTTAAAAAGTCTTCTACTTTTTTCCTGTCCTGCTTTTGTACATCAACAAAACAATCTTGGGACGTGCTTGAATCTCAAATTTCTCAACCTAAATAAAATTTTAAAATTAGAATGCTGAGAAGTTCTTTTCACCCTGAAAATGCTGTCTGCCTTTTCTGAATCTTCACTAAAGAAAGGAAAAGAAAGGACTTCAGCTGTAGCCTGACGGACTCCTCTTGAATACAAAGGAAATCTAGATCAGATGCTGTGAGTTACTAAATATGGGAATGAATCCTTAAAATAGTTCTCAATTCCAGTCTGCCTGGGACATTTGGGGAAGGGTTGGTGGCCTCTCCATTCTCCTTTCATCTCTGTGACTTGGGCCTCAGAAGGAACTGATGACCAAATGTTATCAGATAATCATCCTCTCTGCTGGACTCATGTGGGGCAAAGTTGTCCTTAAAAAGTCAAACAAAAGTGCTCTAGTGTATGCGGCCAAAGTTGGAAACCAAAACCACCACCCTACTGAAAATAGGTCATTGATTTTCCTCAAATTTGGCCTACAATTCCTCTCTCTAAGACAATTATCATGCTGCCAAGTTTAAAGGTTTAAGACTGCAACCATTTGGGGGCAATAAGGTGAAATATCTTAAAATAGGTCAAAGATCTTTACATATGCTTCCCCTGACTCCTACTCCCATCTTGCAATGAATGAAAATCTTGAAGGGTGGCTTTTTTTCCTTACCTAAAATATTACCTCAGGAACAAAAATAGAATGCAGTGTCTACATGAAGCTTATGTGTATGGTGTGTGTGTTCATGTATCTGTGAGTATAATTTCTTTTCAGGGTTAGGAAGGGAGACATCAGATATGAGAAATGACTGAGACAGGTGTAAAAAGTAAAAGTGGCTCTTCTCTCTTTTGACTCTCAGAAACCTCCTAATTGCCAAATTCAAAAGGTGTTTGCAGAGCTAACCTGACTTTTCTAGCAGCATGTAACATTGGAGTCACTGCTCTTCCTGAAATGCATTCTTTCATCCAAGAACTGTGGAATGACTGAGTGAGCATTTATTATATGTCAAGAACTGGGAATACAATGAGGGATGAAGAAACAGCTTCCTCAGGATAATGGACTCTTTTCTGACATCTCTTCTCTGGCTAGTTCTTCTATGCTCATCTGTTTTCCTTTGCCCATTTTTTAAAAAAGGTGGACCCCAGCCTGCCATATTTGGAGGACTTCCTAAGGGTTCTGAACTCCCACATGATTCATTAGTACCCATACAGCACTGTCGCCCAATTTTACATCTCAAGCCAAGGTCTCACATCTGACCTCCAGAACTGGGTGTGTGTGTGCATATACAATCATCGTTGAATTTGCTGAAAAATTAAATAGGCACCACATGCTCATTGCAATAAGTGAAACAATACAAGGGCATAAGGGAACAGTAATTATTTCTTCCTTTCCTCTCCAGTTCTGCTTCTTTGAAGAAGAAATGTTAACAGCTTAATACATGTCTAAAGACATGCAACTTTCTCCATCCATACTCATACAAATCTATACCTTTGTCTGTTTAGATGTAATATATATGTGAACATTTCTACATACATTTTCCATAGGCTTTTTAATCCCAATGCATCTTATATTCATATTTTAGACTCAAACTTTTATGACCTTAGTTCACATTTTCTTTGCTTTGAACCTGGGATCATGCAACAGCTTCCTAGCTTATCAATTTACCACTGTCGCACTCCCCCCTCAGCAAATCACCATATTCATATCCATCTTTTTCTCTCTAATAGTTATTGTTCTAAAATGCAAATTTGATCTGCTTAAAATCCTTGAGTTGCTCCTCATCACTCATATTTTAAAAAGTGGAAACACCTTTCTCTTGATTTCAAGGCCTTTAGGACCTACCTTCACTCTCTCTAACTTTCATTCTTGTCACATCCTCATACCCGATCACCTGCTCTTCATCCAACACACCTTATTCCCCATCCAATTCATTCAAGGCTTCAGGTAAATTCCATGGTCTCTCCTTTCTCTGGCCCTTTTGCATATGATCTTTCTTCCTTTTTGGTGGGTATGCATCTTGGTCGGCTTGGGTGCCATAACACAATACCAAAGTCTGGGTGGTTTAAACAACTGAAATTTATTTTCTCACAGTTGTAGAGGCTGGAAAGTTCAAGATCAAGGCCTACCACAGTTTGTTTCCTGGCAAAGTCTCCCTTCCTGGCTTGCAGACAGCCACCATCTCACTATGTCCTCACATGGCTTCTCTCTCTCTTTTTTTATAAAGTCACACCCTATCAGATTAGGATCTGATATGATTTGGGTCTGTGCCCCACCCATATCTCATGTTTAACTGTAATCCCCAATCTTGGAGGTGGGGCCTGGTTGGGAGGTGATTGGATCATACAGGCGGCTCCTTCATCAATGGTTTAACTCCCTTTGGTGCTGTTCTCATGATAGTGAGTGAGTTCTTGCAAGATTTGGTTGTTTAAAAGTGTGTAGCACCTCCTACTTTGCTCTCTCTGGCTCCTGCTCCTGCCATGTGAGACACCTTGCTCCCCCTTTGCCTTCCATGATTGGAAGCTTCCTAAGGCCTCCCCAGAAGCAGAAGCCGCTGTGCTTCCTATCCAGCCTGCAAAACTGTGAGCCAATTTTTTTTAAACTTCTTTTCTTTATAAATTACCCAGTCTCAGGTATTTCTTTATGTCAATGTGAGAATGGACTAATACGGGGCCCAACCTTCTCACCTCATTCAACCTTAATTACCTCCTAAAGACTCTATCTCTAGACACAGTCACGTTTGAGATGTGGGGATCCAACATATGAACTGGGGGGACTGGGGTGGGGGAGCAATTCAGTTCATAGCAGGATGGAAGGATTTTTTTCTTCTTTTCAGCACAGACGTTAAGAGTGAGTTCTCTGAGCCAGATTGCCTGGGTTTGAATCCTTCTGCTATTTAGTCTCTAAATGACTTTGAGCAAGTTACTTAACCTCTGATTCAGTTTCCCTACTGCAAAGATTCTCAAGCATCTGTGTACATCAGAATCAACCAAAGGGCATATTAAAACAGGTAACTACAGCACACTCAAAGAGCTTCTGAGTCAATAGGTCTGAGGTGGGAACTAAGAATTTGCATTTCTTTTTCTTTCTTTTTTTTTTTTGAGATGGAGTTTCATTCTTGTTGCCCAGGCTGGAGTGCAGTGGCGCAATCTCAGCTCACTGCAACCTCTGACTCCCGGGTTCAAGTGATTCTCCTGCCTCAGCCTCCCAAGTAGCTGGGATTACAGGCATGCACCACCACATTCAGCAAATTTTTGTATTTGTAGTAGAGATGGGGTTTCACCATGTTGGCCAGGCTGGTCTCAAACTCCCGACCTCAGGTGATCCACCCACTTTGGCCTCCCAAAGTGCTGGGATTACAGGCGTGAGCCACCGCACCTAGAATCACCTTTTAAGCCACATGGATAGCTGGACCCCTCCTTAAACGAGTCAGTGCAGAATCTCTGGAACTAGGGCCTGAGCACTGGTAAGCATCCAAGGTTCATTAGGTGATTCTAAGGTATATCTGGGTTGAACCAACTGAGTTAGGAAAATGCAATCCGTTAAAATGCACACTTCATTCAACATTATCAGTCATTGTCCTGACCATGAATTTGTTTCTCTTATCCTACTATAAATTGCCAGCTTTGAGCAGTTTTGAAAAGGGGTAAATAGAGAAATTAGCATTTGTAGAGCACTTTACAGTTTTCAAAGCACTTTCATATTCAGCGTGTCATCAAAATCTTAAAATAACCCAGGGAGGAAGGTATCATTATTCTTTACAAATGCTTTGAGGCAACAGCCCAGAGAGGGGAGTACACCAAACCCTTTTAAAAGAAGCAACAAATCAGCAAAATGCCATGTGCCAGGTTTTTTTGCTCTTGGCCTATCTGTTATCAACAATGCTACCTACAGGGCATTTTTGCCATTCATCCATGACTTGGGCCCCACACGTTTTTCTCCACTTGGCTTTTGGTGTGTTTTGTTCTCCGGCTGCTCAATGATGTCTGCTTTGCCCCTTGACATCCCAAGATTGGCTTGGCTGTCTGTCAGCTGCTTTTCAGGGATTGATTCCCCCCCCACTTGCCAGCGTTGGTGTTGGTTTGACTTTGCTTGAGCCAGAGGGGTTAAATAACTTGCCTAAAGCCATAAAATCAGTGAGTGACAGTTGAAGATTCAAACTCAGTTGAAGTAAGAAACGGCATAGGAGGACTTGGTGATTTGAGGTTGAGAGCGGTCACAGAAGAGGGAGAAAAATGCTGAAAGGAAAGGCAGGGCGCTGGACTCGTGCTTTGTCCTTAGCGTGTCTGCCTTGGGCTGCTCCTGAGTATGTGAGCGTAAGATTAGGCTATAAAATAGTAACAGTCTTTGCAAAATATGCTAGAACTGAAACATCCAAAAGGAGAAGTTTGCTTATCACAAAAGTCCCTTAGGTACACTGTTTTATTACAGGGATATGGCAATGGCCCAATAATATTTTTGGAAGTGCCTCCAAAACTTGAAGCACATTCCTGTAAATACAATTAATGGTGGCAAATATTTGTCCTTTGAGAGAATAATTTATATTTAGATAAAATGTCATTTAGAACCAAATACAATGAATAAGAAACAGGACAGTGAAGAAAAGTGGGCTTTGTTTAGAAAAAACTCTGGGCTGTGAGCTTTCTAAGAGTGGTGAGCATATCATTTTTTTAAATTTTATACCCACAGGTTCTGCCATCTTCCTGGCCATACAATAGATGATCGAGAGGTATTTGGTGAAACAATGAGAAAATTAATGAATGGGTAGAAGTTATTTTGTTATGAGGCCCGGAAGGTGATGTCTTAACAAGAAAATCCAAAAATGTTCCAACTAGTAGAATACCACTGGAGAAAGTACAGAGCGTCTTAAGGGGACCAGAGACTACTGGGCCATGCAGGTCCTGATGAGTATGCTTCACACTCATGTGCACACACACACACACATACACACACACAGCCTCGCCACTTAAGAGTCCTACATTTTCTATCCATATGCAAATGTGTATGAGACACCCATAAATGTACGGAAAGAGAGTTAAATCTTCTTAGTCATGGGAAGCTGTTCAGGAGAGGGAAAAAATGAAGGCTTATTAAAATCAAAAGGGGATAGAAGGAGATTTGATACACTAAATGGTTAGACACAAGGTTTTGCCTGCAAATTAAGAATGCATCTCATTCCCATTCCTGATACCAGGCAAATGAACATTTCTCATCTTTGTGATTCTGTCCATTTAAAACATGGATGTCCTTTTCAGGCAGAGTCCAAGATAGAGCACAGTGTCCTCGTCTGGACCCAGGTTCTCAGAAACATTTGCTTGGCAGAAAGAACTCCATTATCTATCCTCCTTGGATGGTGGATAACAAACAATGGCAAAGTGAAATATCCTATTCATAGAAGGAACCAGGACTAAGATTCTGTCATGTAAAAAGATTTTTAAGGTGTTGGGAGGAATAGAAAATTTGTTTTCCTACAAGTTGCTTTAAAAATGTTAGTGAGAAAAACAGAAAACAAAAAGCCTCCCATAGTCTCTCCTATATGGAGAATAATTAAGGGAGAAGAATTTCACTGTTTCCTTTCTACATGATACAAACAATAATAAATACAGCCAAACATCTCATAGATATATTAGCATCTTTGTATGTCAGTGTCTGTTTAGGGCTAATACCAACATTTCCATTGCAACAATACTATGTAAAAGTTCAGGGCCATGGATTAGAAAGAATGGGAACTGGGTTCCAATTCTACTTGTCAATTTTCTTGATAACTATTTCAGTGACCTTGAGCAAGTCCGTCTCCTAAATGAGTTATTCCCCTGAAGTTTTGTTTCCTCTTGAATAAAATGAGAAGATTGAAACAGATCATAGCTGGGTCTCCTCCTAACACCAATAGCCTTTTTAAACACAGTTTCACCATGTGATGGGAAAAATAAGCACAGAACCATACGAGTCTATAAATGCCCCAACAGTGTCTGCTGTAAAGACCTCAGCCTGCAGTAAGGGCATGTGCGGGACAAGGCAGGGTTTTCTCTGTTAAATTCTACCTGAGGAACGCTTTAGTGGCATGGCTCAAATTCAAGAAAGGGCATTCTTTTATTTCCTTCTCCATGCTAAGAGAGACAGGTACAAATTTTGTCAAATCACTCAACAAGGGGGAAACTAAAATTTCGTTCAATTATATGGTTCCTGAAAGTTCTTCTAATTGAATTACCACAGGTGCCTGTTGGGCATTCCTGGCCACATCCCCTATAATTCCATTAGTATTACCTCTTTAGATCCTATAAATGCCATTAACATAAGGCAGACATTTGCTTTCAATAAGATAACACAGATGATTTTTGTCTAATTGTCTCTCTAATCCCTCCCCCTCACAGCCTGAGAAATAGCTTGCAATTGCTCAAATGCAGGCATTTATTATTGCTGATCAAAACTGTTTGGAAACATGACAGTGCTATTGGGAAATTTTGATTCTTCCCTTCACCCATCACATGCTCGTGGCTTCTGACTGTAGGGTAGGTGAAATAAATAGTTTGTAATGAGATCCTCATCATTAAAACAGATAGAAAGGGAGAAGAAAGAACCTGCCCCAGTTTTTACCACACTGCCTGTAGACACAAAACTGGATCCATAAGCAGTTTACGCTTCACAACCCAGGTGGGTTTCCTCCTCTGAAGTTCCTCTACCCCTCATGGGTAGTGGTTTGCTATTGTGAGGTTGTTATGTTCAGTGTAATGGATTCACCATACGGTCTTTGCAGGCTGGCTCCTACTTCAGTCAAATCTTAGTTATTCTTGTGTTATTCAATCTTAGATAGCTCCTAAATCTAGTCTGTGTTTTAGTTATTTGAGATATTGGCTTCTCTACTTTATGTTTTCAACTACCTGACTGCGTATTCATTTCTGCATATTGGCAGAGCAGGATAAAACCTGATCTATTTTGCCTTTGTTCATTACTCATAATTAGATATTTGTAGAAAGGGTTGGGTAAAATAAGTTTTAAATGTTCTGAGAGTTACATTTCTTCATTTTCTCACTCACACTGTAAATAATCCAAAATTAAGCTTAAGGTGTAGCCATTGGTCATTGGTAGTAATAAAAGTTGAAACTCATCTATACCAGGGAGATGAGTGATGTTCTTAATAAGACTAGAGCTAGGATGGGCTCATTTCCTCCCACAAACCAACATGTATGCACAGATCCAGGCAGTAGTAAGGGGAAAAAAATAAGTTAGACAGAGTTGGAAACCAAACAGCTTTCACAGTGGGTTTCCCTAATCTCACACCTATATTTCTGTAAATAATTTCCTTCTTAGACTAATCCTTTGATAATTACCAGACCCATTCACCTACAGCAGAAGTGTGCATGACCTGGTACACTGAGAGACATGATGAGATATGCAGTGGGCCATCAACTAAAAAACCCGGGTCTCTTGTCTCTACCACAAAAAGTCAACCCTTTCCATTTAAAGGAGATTCAAATCAGAACACTCTTAACTTTAGGAGATTGATGAAGATTCCCACCAAAGATGAAAAGTAACGAGAGGAAATTAGGTTTACAGGAGACCCCTATTATGTCTGCTCATAGCAGAGCAATTATTGGAATAATCGCTCCACTGTGAACATGAATCCCACACTTAAAGATGTTTCCCATTATTTTCATTATTCCAACTGATTGATGCCACCTTTAAACCTATTTGAAAGAAATATGGTCTTTCATTGTATTCTTTTATTTTTAATTTGAGGTTAAATCAAGATATGTATTAAAGAAAACACAAGAAGAAATACATGTTTTATATAACAAAGAAAATAGATCTTCTCTTTGTAAAGGTGATTCATTGTAAATTTCTAGCTTAAAAATTTGTTGTTGGAGAACTGCACATTATTGGTGTTTTCAGTCTGGGTCCCTTCTGCACACATTCGAGGTGAAAGACACATGAATCAAATGAACCAGATTTAGAAAGGGACTGCCAGAGCTGGGCGTGGTGGCTCACGCCTGTAATCCCAGCACTTTGTGAGGCCGAGGCAGGTGGATCACAAGGTCAGGAGTTTGAGACCAGCCTGGCCAACAAGATGAAATCCCATCTCTACTAAAGATACAAAAAATTAGCCAGGTGTGGTGGCACACACCTGTAATCCTAGCTACTCAGGAGGCTGAGGCAGGAGAATCGCTTGATCCCAGGAAGCAGAGGTTGCAGTGAGCTGAGATCTTGCCATTGCACTCCAGCCTGGGTGACAGAGCTAGACTCCATCTCAAAACAAAAAAAGAGCGAAAGAGTGAAAGAAAAAAGAGGAGGGAGGGAGGGACTGCCAGGCCATTAAGTCCTCTTTCCCCAAGGGCTACTACAGTTTGTTCTCATCCTCATCCTCATGTTCTCCAGAGTTTTATTCAGTTTAGCTTGAGATGTCTTAAGCGATGGATTTCCCAGAGGAAGAGCACTGGATTACAGAGCTTGCCATTAGAAAGCACTCCCAAACCAAGACTTAGCTGTCCTTTGAAATTTAGCCTCAGAAATGCTCTATGTGCAAATCACCACTTATTCAGTTAGAACACAAGTTTCGAGAGGGCTTTTTAGCATTGAGATCCTGGATTTGTAAACTAGTGCTCTGCAGTTGAGAAGCTAATAAAGACATCATACTTCCTGGAAGGACAACGCTCTCTGGAGAGTTGATGACACAGCCAGGGCCCTTTGCAATATGAATGTGTTGGGGTATTTCTCTTGACTATTGAGGGAAATATTGGGCTTTATGCTATTGGTTAAGGATGATGTAATAATAAGGACTCACATTTATAGACCAGGCAACTGTGATAAACCCTAAATTGTATTATTAGTCCTCACCATAACCCTATGAGGAAGATACACAAAGATCATCTGCATTTTCTAAATGAAGAGGCTTAGATCTGTTAATATGACTCACCCACGATCACACAACTAATGAAGCCCAGAACTGAAACCAGGCAATCTGACCCTGGAGTCTGTTGTCTTAACCATACCCAACTGTGTATCACTTTGCCTGAATCAAAGCAGACAGACTGGGACCCAATGCTCACTTCCTGTCCTGTGAAACTAAGGTCCATTAGTGAAGAACTATCAGCAGGGTCCAGTTTGCCTATAGCTGCTCCAAAGAGGGATCTAACTCCCCCTTTACTTACTCCCACCAGGGGAACAAGGAGAGGAGAGAACGGGAGACTGCCAACCTCAACAGATGGTATGTGGGCTGTTTTGGAGAAGGGAAGAAGGAGATTTTTGCTGGCTGACAAAGAACAAGAGAAAGAGATTGCAGAGAAGTGCGACATAAGCAGAAAGAGCTAAACTTGAAATATATGTGGAAGAGAGAAAGATTGAGGGATAGGGACTGCTCTAGGGGACAGATGGGTAAATAGTCTTGAAAGGACATGTTTTAAATGCCACATAACTCCAGCCTAGTGAGGAAAAGTGAGTGAGGAGAGAGACAGGTTCAGAAACAAGAGGAGCAAGTTCCTCTCCATAGAGTTTTTGCAGCCTTTCCGCTGAAAGTCTGGAGAGACTTATGGAGGGTTGCCCCGTATGAGTTAGGGACTCATATTTACTTCTGAAGGCAACGTGCCTATCATTCTAGTCTGGAGTCAGCCTAGCAGAAAAGAAAAGATGAGGGTATTCTGAGGAAGCTTGAATTTTATCAGGCCCTGTCCATTGTTAACTGAGTTCCAGAAAGGAGGACAATGAGATGTAAGGGAATTTCCGTTCAGTTGAAACTTACAGATTCACCACCTGTTACCAAGCTCCATGGACCCTCCTCAGTCTTGGCTGAGAGCACACTGATGATGTGATCAGTGTCCCACATACACCCCTTTCCTTTTTGCTTGCAAGCCAATTTTAAATTATTTATGCACATGACTTAACGTTAAGATGGTTTATTCATAAGGTTGCCTTAGGAGACAGGAGATAGACAACCTGCTTTAGTGACAGTCTCTCTGGAGAGTGGCAGCTGCACAATGTCTTACTCCATCAGGCTCTATGAGGACAAAACATCTCAATGTGGAGGCCTCTGTTTAAAGTAATTATCAATGTTACCTAGTTTCTAAGTTGAGAAGTATTTATATTGACACAGTTGCTGGAGGTAAAAGATCAAAACATGTCTTACCTCCAGACAGGGTAAGTCTGTGTTAAGAAGAACAGATTAGTACTCTGATTGTTTGGATCTGTAACAAGTCTAAGGGTAAATGGCCACCCCAGAGGTAATTTGCCATCGTTGGCTATGGTCCTTTTCTGGAAGAGAGTGGCAGCGACCAAATGAATCATTCTGTCACCTCTCTACAACATTCACTGTGGACAGGGGCTTGGCAGAGGCAGGACTGTCCTGAACCCTATTCTGGGAGGTTTGGTCACTGAAGGTCTCAGTTACCAAATGGACCTTGTTGACAAACAAGTCTCACCTATCAAGTGACTCAATGGCAGAAAATCTTATAGACTGCATCATAAGAAAATCCAAAGTACCTTTTTTTTTTCAGCTTCCTTACTTACAGTTTTTGGTCTTTGGAGTTTTCAGAATCAAGTCTAACTTGAACTATTGCTTTCAATTAAGATCATACAATGTATAATCATAAGTCCTAATTGCATTAAGATCTTTAAAATGTTTTATCATAGTTATGACTGCATTAAAGACATTACGTGTGTCTCTCCCTCATCTTCCTGTAGCCTGGCCTTCTTTACCTCTCCAAGAACCCTCTTGAGCTACCGATTTCTCTACTATTAGTGTGTACCTTGTCCTGAGTTAACTTGAAAATATCAAGCTAATGAAACTTAGAAAATATGAGTGTTTTACAAAGGTATGGGTGAATAGGGTGAGTTTTACTGTAAACATACACTGCAGTTTCTGCTTCTTTAAAAAAACCTCTCAGGAAAGATAGGTGTGGGTTTTTTTCTATAAACAATTACTGAATTCTTAACCTACGCATAATACTGAGTAGGGAGCTCTGTGAATGAACATAAATGTCAAGTGTAATACATGTTCTCAGCTCTCAAGAAGCCTACTGTGGGAAAAAACACGTGTACCTCAGAAGCTGAAGTAATATAAGAGTTAAATAGATATCAAAGAGTGTCATGGGGCAGTTACTAGAAAAAAAGTATTAATTTTCCACTCCATGGAAATTCTCCAGTTATCCACATGGCTCATCCTCCCAACTTCTTCTTCTAGTCTTTGCTTAAATGTCACCTCTTCCTTGAGGTCTACCCTGACCATCCCATTTAATCCTTCAACCCTTCTCCAGGGCTCCAATTTTCTTTGCTATATTTTTTTCCATTGAACTTATTACCTTCTAACAACAAATACAACTCATTAATTATGTTTTTTTTCTTGTTGTTGTTTATTGCTTGTCTTCCACAACTAAAACATAGGCTTCACAAGGGCACGGGTTCTATTTTTTTGTCTGCTTTATTACTGCTACTTTCCTAGCTCCTAGAAAATGCCTGGCACCTCGAAAGAGCTCAATAAATATTTGTTATTTTTGTTATATGAGCTTGAAATTGAACTAGATGGAATAAATATGAAGCTGAGTAAGTTACAGTACCTGCTGTAAAGAAGTCACAAAATGATGCTAACTAGAAAGATAACAATAATAACAGCAAGAATGATAGTTGTTATTTATCAAGCAATTATGAGCCAGTCACTGTGCATAGCTTGTTTCACTATTTCATTTAATTTTCACAATAATACTTTGAGATAGATATTATCTCTATTGATAAGAAAATAGAGGCTCAGAAAATTTAAATCTTTGGCCCTAGGTAACACAGCAAGAGAACAGGTGTGCTGGAATTTTAGATCAAGACTCTCTCACTCCAGAATCCATGGATTATTTTTTAATCTTTTAAATTACAGAACATTTCCAAACATATACAAAAATAGAAAAAAATCATATGGTTAACTCCTCTATACCTATCACTTAGCTTCAAACAACAAATGATAAATCCATGGCCTACCTGGTTTTGAGAGCTCATAGTCCTAACTACTTGCTATATCATTAAATAAGTGGAATACAACATTCACTGTTCAAGAGCAGAACAAGAGCGGAAGTCGACATACCGACATACATGAGTGGTTGAGCGGCCTTCATGAGGCCTGCTTTGGCTAAACTCCACCTTCTCTTCCTCCTTGCAAGCTGATCCTCCAGGCTTCATATGAAGCCCCAGAAGCTGCAAGGCTCCATCCTCACTCCATGCCTGACCCTGTGCACAGGATGTGTGAGGTCTGATCCAAAGGAAAATGGCATAAGAAGGACCCATTTTGGTAAGTGAATGTGCTTAGTTTGGGAAGAAAAAAACTTGTGCTCTTCTTCATCATTGCCAAAAGGTCTGGGTCTAGAGCAACAAGTTCATAAAGTAGCCAAGGATGAAGACCAAGGACCAAGACCAGATAGTTCAATCTGGGCTTCTGGAACTGGTGACTGATGATAGGCCAGCCAGCCTGGATGTGCCGTAAGCATTTTCTGTTAGGTGTGGCAGGGTGAGGGTTAGGGGGGCACAATATGCTAGGGCAGGAAACAGTTGAGTTAGAGAAGCCACAAAATTTGGGGTAGAAGGGGAAAAGGCACTGGGAAGGCTGATTTTCCAAAGATCTTGATAGGTTTTGAAATGGTTCTTTCTAAAACTCCGTCACTGGAGAGCCAGACCTCATTTGTCCCTCCTGTCACTTCCCCTCCTCATACCTTTTCTAAGTGGTTGAGAGGAAAAATTGGCAGTTTGGGTCAGACAGATCTGACTTAGGTTTGGACTTTGCCTCTCCCACTTGTGTAACCTCAGGCCAAGAACTAACTTGCCTAAATTGCCATTAAAAGGCGCATATTGTTTAGTTCACATTTGTGGAGTGTCTAAAATGATGCCTGGAATGTGTTGGCTCTTTGAGAAATGCCTGCTTAGTGTGATGTGATACTTCTTAAGCATTTGTTAATGAACAAGATGCAAAGTTCCCAGTGGGATACGCCTACAACTAGCATTATTCATATTTTTACAAAGGAGAAAATTAAAGTAACCAGGAATCCTGGTTGTATTATAAGGCCCAGTGACCCAAATCCCACATGCATTTTGGAAGAGATCCAGGATCTGGAAGCCAAGAGTTTTCTTCCTCAATTCCCTCTCACTTCCCAGGGTCCTAACTTTGACCTCCATTACCTCTACATAAGTATCTTTGAAGGCACAGACAAGGAGCGATCTCACCCTCAGGACCTAAGAGCACAAGAGACCAAACACTGCTCCTGTGGCAAACATTGGAATAAACCATATGTATATATATGGCTTACAACGTTTTAGGTTGGTGCAAAAGTAATTGCAGTTTTTGCCGTTACTTTCAGTAGCAAAAAATTGCAATTACTTTTGCACTAACCTAACAGTTATCATTAGTCTATCCTCCTTTTTTTCTTTTTTGTATTATGATTAGGAAACTCAGGGCCATAGAAGTGAAGCAACTTGCCAGAGGCCAAAATTGGAATTGGAATTGTGTCATCCATAGAGCTTGCCCCTTCAGGGATACCTCCCATGCCCAGGAGCAATGAGAGGGTTGAGAGTGGGGTGGACTGACAAGGGCCAGCCTACTGTATTCCATATCAAGTTGTCAGCGGGATGGCCAGATCTTCAACCCAATTTAGGATTTGGTAGGCACAGGATTCTGCACTTAATTGCTATCCATGAATCATCCTTGTCAGGTTGTTTTGCTAAGCATATTTTGTGTTTAAGTACAGCAAAATCTTTCAGAGGTTCAGGCAGTCATTATAATAAATTATCTGATGAATAAAGGGCAATGATCACAGGCCTTCATGTATAAAGGAGTATCCTGCGGCATTGGGACAGCATAGCTCCTGAACAGGTTATGTCTGATGGGAGCTCATTCCTCACTGGCAGTAATTTCCAGAACACTGCTACTAGAGGAGAGGCTGTCTGATAGAGCTGTGAACAGGGTAGGCTCTCAAGGCACACTGCTTGGGTTCAAATTCCACTGTGTCACTTCCTACCTTTGTAATCTCTAGGGAATTATGAGCCTTTCAGTGTCTCAGTTTCCTCTTCAGTAAAATGGGAATAATACAAGTGTCTGACTTATAGGATTGTTCTGAGAATTAAATGAGTTAATACATATTAAAAACATAGACTAGTGCCTGATAAATATTAAATGCTCAATAAAGAATGATTACGTTTGTTTATAAATACTTCTCCAGGCTGTAAGATATCCCACATGGTTAGTGATTTTCCCCTAACTCCGCATGCACTTTGTTCATTCTCTCCTTTGGAAATTTAATAGGGATAATATGGCTGGGCTGCAATATCACCCTCCTCCTGTAGGTGGTTCCTTCTCCCTTACGGCAGTACTTTCCATAGAAAATTTATTTAAACACATATTTAATAGGTGTTTGGTAATAAGATCAAAAAAAGTTTCAAGGTCAAGATATATTGGAAATACTTGGCTAAACAAAGATAAAACATGTTTCTTTATTGTAGACCTTTCCAGACCGGTCTAATGTGATAAGTGCATTGTGAACCTCCGAGTGCCTATGAGGGGATGGGTGGAAAGGAGGGCACGTTCTCCAACTTTTCTAATCGCAGAACCTTTTTTTTTTTCCAACATGACAACCATTAACCACTTAGGCGACGTTAATATTCTACCAAACCGAGTATGGGTAACATTTCATTTGGATTGCCTTAAAATGGTATTTCTCAAAATGCGGTCTGTATATCATCTGCTTGTTAAAATTCAGTTTTCTGAATCTCATGCAAGACCTACAGAATCAGATTCTCTGGAGGAGGGGCTGGGGATTCTGCATTTTAATAAGCTCCCCAGGTGCACATTGCATTTTGAGAACCACTGCCTTAAAGGAAACACATCCCTAATTTTGTAACATATACATTTGAAATCCTGAACACTAAATATTCTTAATAGGAAAGATTCTTGTTAACTTTCTAGTAACCCATATTTTAATGGAAATGGGTGTGGTGGGGTAGACGATGAGGTATTGGGGTTTTTGTTATTTTATTTTTAACTGCATAAACATAAAAGTCTTCCCTGTGCTCAGTATTGAGCCAGGGATCTGGGGAAAAAAATGATTAAAAAAAAAAAAGACTCAGGCTCTACCTTCAAAATGTTTATAGTTTATAATTAAAAAGGGAAGTAGACATACTACTTGGCCTCTTCGCATCATTGTAGGACCTTGGCTGCAGTCATCTTAGAAGTCAAGTTCACATGAGAGATAGATGGCACATTCTAGGAATTAAAGTAGGGAGAGAAAGAATTTATCTTCTAGATGGCTCAGTCATGAATGAGCCACCAAGATATCAGTTTTGTTTGTTTGTTTGTTGCTATCCTGAGAGTTGGGGTGGGGTTGGGGAGAACCATGTAGTAGAGGACTGCATACACAAAAAGTTAGATGAAACAAAGGATGAGGGTGAAAAGTAAGGGGAGGGGAGACCTAATAACTGGATGAATTATGGGGAAAAAACCCTGCTGACTCTGTTCAGTTTAAGGTGAGAAATGACAGGATTAGAATGTCAAATTGCTGAGTCCTACAAACCTAACCATAAACCTCCTCTAAGCTGTTCAGCTTTTTTTCTCTGCAGTCACTAATTAAATCTTGCCTTGAAAGAAATAAAGTAAAATAAAAGCCAAATGCTTTTATGAGTCAAGTAGATTGCATACCATCGGCCTATAAGGAGCTGGGTATCTGGTCGATGTGTATGGGGAACTGAAAGTGGAAGGAAATCAAGATAATAGAGCACTTATCTCTCTCTTTAAAAAAGTTTTCATAATTATTTCTCATTGAATGTCCCATCTTTGTAGCATCTTACTTTCATATGCAGTCTCTTTTCCCTATCTAGCAGTAATGGAAAACATGTGGGATTCCCTTTTCAGTGTGATTTATGCAGAACTGTAAACCAGAGGAACCCAAAGCACATTATAAACAGTATTTGAAGTTCAAAAATCATTCATGTCTCCAACAGGAAGAATGACCAGGGTAAGTTTAATATGATGGTTCACCACGTCAGTATCCTTTGCACCATCCACACCTTTTATCCAGAAAATATCTTCATAAACTGTTTACTTTCTTGAATATAAGCTTGCTACATTGGTACATTCCCAAGTCTCTTCTCACTGATTTAATGAAAACACAGTGTCTGTGTCCTAAGCTTAGTATCTTTATGATCAAATATCTGACTCCATTACCTGAGGCCATGATGAGTCCATTTTTCCTGTCACTCTCCTCTCCTACGTGGGGCAGATCTGCCCATCAAATAAGAATTTAAGCAACTAAAGCCCTAACAAAGATATTGCTGGCCCTGTGTTCTTCTGTTGTTTGCCTGAGCAAAATCCATCATTACTCTATATGCATATGGCATGTGTCAACTGTTTTAAAATTAGCCAATTTTCCTAAGCATAAAAATGGATTTTTGTCATATCACATGAACCATATATCACAAAAACAAACCAGTTTTTGTTGTGGCTTTTTTTTTTCTTTCCAAAATACATGAAGTCTTTTTAAGTCACTGCCAAATCCATTTTGCTCACTGCATTTGTGAGATACATCTAAAGAAACGAAGCAGAAAAAGAAAAAAAAAAAAAAAAAAAAAAAAAGCTCACACACTGCCATCACCTGGAAAGAAATCTAGTTCATTACCAAACCAACCATGCCTAGGAGGCTGGATTGCTTCATCCTGCTTTTAAATAATAAATAAATACAGCATTTGCATGCTGCCCTGCACTGAGAGTTTGAGACAGGGCAAAAAAAGAAAAAAAAGAAAAGAAAAAAAAAGAAAAACAACAACAACAACAACAAAACCCCTAAGTTTAAGAAAAAGAACTGTCATTTATGGAGCATTCTACATATCAGACTTGATGAGTACTAATTCTGCATTATTTCATTTCATACTCTAACCCTGTGAGTTGTACCACATCCATTTCACAGATGTGCATCCTGAGGCTAATGTAGTAAAGTAACTTGGCAAGATCAAATACATGGTACGTAGCAGAGCCTGCCAAAGACTTGAACCCAAGTTCACCATGCCTGAGCCTCTTCTCTCAATGACCATGTCGTCACATACGAGAGCAAAAAAAAACCATCGAAACTTCTAAAGACATGATATTGCGGCACCAGGTTTCTTTTCTTCATTAAGCCTGTACTGGTGCGTTCTTTAAGGGTTGTAGCTCAGAGCAGCCCTCTTTGGGAAATTCTGCTTGAGCCTTTGCATAAAGCCTCCAAACATTGCTAAGCTCAGGAGTGATGCAGCGTATGTAAAGAATCAGCAGCTGTCTGTATGGTTCGTTTTGAAGGGCCTACAATTCCTCTCAACAAGGAAAAGCACCATGTCTCACTTGGGTTAAAATCTGTGAATTTCTCTTTTGAAATGTTCTAGTGTTAATTGGGAGGGCAGCACATTAAATCATTATTAGTCATTAATACCTTAACACAAATTAGTTGATCAGGTTACTGAGAGGTGTGAAGGGCCCTGAGGGAAGGATATTATCTTGATGGAGGTGGTGGGGAGTTGCCAAAGAGGGCAGTCTCTGGATTGCTGCAGGGGCTGAGTGAGGCTGAGTGAGGGAGCTAAGGGAGGATGGGAGGGGTGGGGCAGGGAGGATGGGAGGGGTGGGGCAGGGAGGGAGGGACGGCACCAGGACTAATCAGCTTAGTTCCAGACAGGATTGCTTCTGCAAATGCAACTGTCCCTCCCCATTCCTTCTCCGCACACGCGCACGCACACATGGCTCCCCTGCTGTCCCTTTCGAGCTTGCCGGAGTGTACTTACAGATAAGGGTTTTAGGAAAGGTACCGGCCACTCCTCGGCAACCTCCGGGGCAAGAATCCCGCCTGCGCCTCTGCGGCCGGGGGCTTGTAACACAGCTTTTCGCCTCTAGGGGTCTCTAGTGACCCGAGGCTTCCGGAGGAGGCTGCCCTTGCTCCGCGGTCCCTCGCGGCTCAAATCCGAAAGGTCGGAGATTTCAGAAAGAAGAGGCGTGTGCAGGGCGCCTCCCAAGACCCCGCCAGCCGCCGGCACACCCGTCAGCCACCTGCCCCTGCTCCTGCCTAACGACGTATTGATGATAAATGGCTGAACACCGAGTGAGGGGGTGGCAGACATTAGCTGCCCCCACAGTCCTCACTGCGTGCTTAGTTATTTCTATGTCTCAAGGGGATTTCAAGGACCTCCCTCTGCATCCCCACCTCACACTCTTCCAGTAAACCCAGTCCCCCGGCCTGCCAGACTACAGCCTAGCAGGAGTCTCCGCGCTCTCAGCCCGGCAGCCTCGTGGTGGGGATGGGGCATGAACCGGAGTGAGGGACAGGCAGGCCCCAGTCACCAGCTACCCGCTGCCGCTGGGCCTGATGTTCTGCCCTCCCTGAGCTGGGGCTCCCCGCGAGGGAGGACCGCTGCCTTCGTTCTGGGAGACCTGGGTACCCTAATGAAAACAGAAGAAAAAAAATCACAACTGAGGAGTATTGGGAAAAAGCACGAAACTTTGAGCAAGGCACTTGTTCCTCCCAGTCCACTGTTGAAGAGGCTGCAGGAGTTAATGGCAAAATTCTGGCTTTCTAATTCATCCTGCAACACTTGTTTGAATCCCAACTCCACTATTCACTAGATGTGAGATCTTGGGTAATTGACTTAACCTCTCTGTACCCATTTTATTTTTTCATCTTCAAAACGAGAATAATAGTATCTACTTCATAGAGAGTTGTTAGACTTGAAAGAGATCTTACAGTGCATACTCTCAGCATCTAGTATAGTGCCTGGCACACAGCAGGCGCTCATTCATAGACATTGAACTCCTTGCATTTTCAATTACTGAGAACGAGGGAGAACAACAATGATTGGTCCTAGTCTCACAGAACTTCGCAGATGTGTCTGGGTGAGTGAAAGTCTTATATTTTAAAATCAATTTTAATATATCACCTGTGATTTTAAATGAATCACAAGTTTTGCTTTTTAAAGAACTTCTGCAGTGGTCTTCAATGTGTTTTGAATACTTTTAGGTTCCAAGGAGTTGCCCTAGGGAACACTTGTGGGTGAGGAAAGAGAAGAAACAGGTGGCGGAGCTCCAGACCCCCTAGGCCTGCTCCAACGAGAGAGCTCCCCTTTTATCTGCTTTATATATTGGGGTTTTAGGTAAGGGTTTATTGATGAAAGTCTTCCACTGCTTTTTTGAGAGATGAAAACCACTGTGAATATGTCCTTGTATAATTCAGGGAAACCTTTTCCTCCAGGCTTAAGGATGCTCAACTCTGCTATTTGTCAATCATTGTCTTTAATCTTTACAATTTTTGTGCAACATAAGGTGTAATATCCATTTTACTAGGTGGGGGTACTGAGGCTGATACAAGCCACACATAGCAGAGGTCACACAGTGGGTAAGTGACTATGACCAGATTGATGCCCAGGTTTGTCTTACCCAAAAGTCACCCACCCCATTGAACCTCAGAGCCACCCAGGGTGGAAGGCAGAGGGCATGGTGCAGGGGCAAGAGCCCAGAGTCTGAATGTTGGTTGCTCCTCTATGCTTTGCCTTCCTCAGTTTCCATATGCAAAACAGGAATGACACTTACTTCATAAGGTTGTAATAAAAATTAAATGAGATAATATAAGTAAAAATGAACCTAGTACAATTTTTATCATAAAATAGGCATTGGGAGTATATTAAATATGTATGAACTTGTCCCACCCATTTCATCTGCTCGCCAAATCATTTCTTTAACCTTTTATTATAAGAGATATTCATTCAGAAGGTATAGATGCATGCATGTGTATATACGGGGTGTGCGTGTGTGTGAATACATACGTACATATGTGTGTATAGATGTGTGTGTATATACATAAAATTGTAGAGCAAACTTGCCCTCGGGTCAAGAAACAGAACACTGCCAGCATCTCAGAATCAACCCCCTCTGCATACCCCTCCTTGATCAAATTCCCATTTCTCCCTCCAGTCCAATTCACTTCTCATCTTGTTAAAAAATAATTTTCTTTTCCCCTTTTACTCATGCCTCTGGGTTGTCCCCAGCCCTTTTGCTATGCCTCTGTCTGTCACTTTGCTAAGGTTCTGAGTGACACGTTGTTCACAGGAGAGAAGTGAAATAAAGTGGTTCAGCAAAACAGGTGTGTGTGTGTGAGAGAAAGAGTGTGTGTGTGAGAGAAAGAGTGTGTGTGTGCCATGCTTCCTACCCTTGTAGGATGCAGCATACTGGACACCTTCTGAGATATGTCTTAACCCAAAAGAACAGGAGGGACAAATAGATTGATAGGGGATAGGTTTGGGAACATTTGGGCTATTTGCTGTACCCCAAGGCCACCCAGGCTTGAGTGTGGTACCTCCAGCAGTGACAAGTGAACATCACAGCAGCTAGTGTCTTGGTTACATAGAAGAAACAATTTTTCTCCTCTTTAGATTCCCAGATCCAACTCTAGAATTTCTACTTTTCTCAATTGACAAATTACACCTCAATTTGAATGTTACTTTCTCTAAGAGACTTTCCCTGACCGATGCCTCAGTCACTCTGTCTGACAATACTCTATTTTATCTTCTTCATTATCAGCACTTGAAATTATTTATTTGTTTATATTGTTATTTTTCTGGATACCATAGTAATAAAGAATGTGGACTCGGGGTCTAAACTTGATTAGAATGCCAGCTCCCCTAGTTACTAGCTGTGTGGTCTTGGGCAAGTTACTTAGCCTCTCTGGGCTTTCAACTCAGCGTCTATAAAATAACAAACCTACTTACCTTATAGGATCAAATGAGTTTATTTGTGTAAAACTTCAGTACAGTGTCTGCCTGACACTTAAGTACTATTAAGGTGTTAGCTATTATCGGCAATGTCCATAATAACCATGATTATCATGATTATAATCATACCTTCTGTCTAGAATGGAAGCAACTTGAGGGCAGACCTTTTATCTGTGTTGCTGTTTGCTGAATCCTCAGTGCCTAGGAATATGACCCAGCACTACACACTCTTAATAATATACTCAATAAGTATTTTCAGAGAAGTATGTCTTCGAGCCTCGATCCCAGCCCTGCTGCTTGGTGCAGGAGATGGCCATATCAACAAGTCAGAATGGTGTGGTGAGTACAGAGCAAAAACAGAATTTGAACAAGATGTGTAGGAGTCTAGAGGGGGAGGCAATTAATTCTGTCCCAGAGTTTCAGAGAAGACTTCATAGAGGGATACTATTTACAGAGTCTTAAAGCTCAGTAACCCTTCAAGAAGCAGAGAATAGGACAGGGGAAGATTCTGCATGAAAACAACTCAAGACCTCTAAGGCTCCAGAGTGCTGAGGGAGCTGCCTGGTGTTTGAAGTGGCTGCTGTGAGAAGCGGGATGTAGGAAAGATGCACAGAGAGGTTATTGGACCAGCTCATGAAGGAGCTCCTGTTTGTTATGCTAAGCAATTGTTATTTTGACAATAGTGGGGAGTCACTGGAGAATTACAGTAAGAGGAAAAGCATGGTCAAATTTACTATTTTGAAAGATCATCCTGGCTGCAGGGAAGAGACTGGACTGGCTAGCCTTCAAGGGAAGAGATACAGAGATCAAGTCCTGGGAAGATGCTGGAGAGAAGGGTGAGAGCCTGGCATCAGACAGTAGCACGAGGGGTGAGGAGGAGAGGATGGCTTTGAGAAATCATTAGGAGGTAGACCCTGTCAAGCCTGGAGGGGCATGTAGGGGCAGTGTGAGAGAAAGCAGAGCCCAGGACAATTTACATTTCTTCATTATTCGTTTGGAAGTCGGGTGGATTTTGGTACCTTTAACCAAAGCAGGAATTTGGGGAAAGGAATAGCTTGGGATGTGAATTGGTGCACACTGATTTTAGTTTTGAATTTTAATCTTGGTGATGTCAAAGTGAAGACCTTTAGTAAGAAAGAGTGTTAACATTTGTTGAGCATCTACAATGTGCCTGAAACTATGTTTGGCACCTTACTTATTTTATCTTATTTAACATTTAGCATAACCCTTTGAGAGATCTAGCATTACTATTTTTTACTTCTATAGATGATAAAACTGAAAATACAAGAGGTAATAATCCCCCTTTTACGTGGTTAACATGTACGAACAGTAAGTAGAGTAGTTTGATTAAGCAAGATTGAATGAAGTAAATAGAAAGAGAAGGATTAGAAAATACAGTAATAAAGGTAATTTGGGGCAGGTTATGAAAAACCTTGAATGGAGTTAATAACCATCCCACAGGGTTGTGAGAATCAAGTGAGAGAAAGCTTGTGAAAACCTTTTGTGAACTATAGAATGATAAGCAAATATGAGTTCAAGTTGTGGCCAAACTTATTGCAGTGAATGACAATAATGACAATGAATGAGTTATAATATTCCAATCTGTAATTTTTAAAAATTCAATTATTGTGTCTTCTCCCCATTCTTCTTCTTGGTAGGTCCACAAATTTTGTTGTTGTTGTTGTTGTTGTTGTTGTTTGTTTGTTTGTTTTTATAAAGAGTCTCGCTCTGTTGCCCAGGCTGGAGTGCAGTGGCGCAATCTTGGCTCACTGCAACCTCCACCTCCTGAGTTCAAGCGATTCTCCTGCCTCAGTCTCCCAAGCAGCTGGAATTACAGACTTGCACCACCACGCCCAGCTAATTATTTCACAAAATAATCTTTAATACATGGCCATGCCTTTCTTTCTCCCCACCACACTATCAACATATTGATAAGAAAACAGAAAGCTCTCACAAGGAATGATCATAATGTGGTAGAGATAAAAAGAAAGGAGGAAATTTGAAAGACAAACATACCCAGCTGATCCCACTATTGTGTCCTCACCCTTTGGAGTAAGACCCTAAAGATTAGTTACTCGGTTATTTCTACTGTCATTCAAAAACTCGAAAATATTAGGATAAAATTACCAAGCCACCCACCGGCTCACTCTTTGTATGTGAGCTGAGAGCTGTAATGCTTCCCAAAGGCTTTGGGTGGGCTTAATTACAGTTAACAAGGTCCCTCTTCAAATAAATATAGGTTGGTGTATGCTATTTGTGCCCTTCTTGAATTGAAATTTTAGAAATACATGCCTTAAGGCTCACTCTGGGCTGCTCCTGACCCCTCCCTCCATGTTCTTTCTCTTTTTATGTCACCAACTCCTCCTATTTCATGCCTCTGCACCTTTTCCCCATTAACCTGTCACTACTTTGCAGGGCCTTTGTTAACACTATCCAAAAATAATAATAATAATAATAATAATAATAATAATAATAATAATGCCAGCCACTTACATAATTTTAACTTTTCTAGTAGCCACATTAAAAAATAAAAAAGAAATGGGTGAAACTAATCTTAATATATTTGATTTAACTCAATGTATTCAGAATATTATCTTTTTAACATGTAATGAAGATTAAAAATATTGATGAGATATTTTACATTGCTTTTCTTTTCAAACCAAGTCTTCAAAACCCAATGCATATTTTACATTTACAGCATACATTTCAAGTGCTCAAGACCCACATGATGCCAATATGCTATCATATTGGCAACTGCCTAGAGCTTAGTCCTGTGAGGTATCAAATTGTCTTCTCCCTTTGCCCAATCCAGAATTCCAGAAAAGTTTGCATTTCATGTGAGCCTCAGTAAGAGGAATAATGGGACTGGCTGTTGATGATTCCATGCTGTGTTGATGCTACTCAACTTTACTTCTCTGTCTATGGCAGAGTGACAATTTAAAGAGGGGCTGACCTGCATCCTAATTGGTCAGACGAGATTGGTTCACCATAGTCCCCAGTTTGAAGCATAACTCGGCTGTCTGTCTCTTCCTTTCTAGATAGAAGAGACTTTAATTCACAACCCTTAACCACATGCCCTTGGGCCCAGATCTCTACCTCAGCCCCCAAACATAGCAGTGGATGCTTCTGAATAGTAAAGAGAAAAGGAGTCATGCTCACAGTCCAGCTGCACAGTCATTTAAGACAGGAAACAAGGGTGACAGCAAGGTCCAGGGAAGGATTTTCAAGGGAAAGTAATGTCCTTTGAGACCTGTTCCCCGAATAAACTCCTAGGGCTAAGCAAACAAACAGACTGGGTTCTTGGGGGTTTTACTTTTGACCTGGAAGCAATTATGGAGTGACTTTAGGTAAGCCATTCCACTTTCATGTTCAATGGGAACTTCCTCTATGTTGGAATGGGGCCACCCAAGCCACCGGTGACTTGCAGCATGAAAAACATCCCAAACCACGTGAAGACCAGTGACTAGGGTTGTTGTGTTACCAGTCCTCTCACAGGCCCTGCGCTTTGCCTTGACCTTTCCTCTGGGAGAGATGCCCACTGTGGGAGCAAATGTGTGTAGCTGGCTGGTCACAGCTCTCTCCTGGTGGGCCCTTCCTTGGCATTGCCCAGGCTGGCAGGCTGCCTCTCCCCTCTCCTGCCCAGCTGAGCAAGCACAGTGCCCTGTGGTACAGCTTCAGGCAACACCGCATCCTGCCCCCCCCACCCCGCTTTTCCATGGTCTCCTCCTTAGTGGCTGCTACAGTGTATGTTTTATTAAAAGGGAGAGAGAAGGGGAGACAAGAGGTTATGTACATGGGCATGCTCAAGAATCTTAAGATTGAAAATCTCCTGCTCGCTGCTAAATGCCTAAGGGCTTTGGCATTTTGCCAGCTCTAAGAAAACCCCAGGAGGAACATTTGGGTGGAGAAATAAGAAATGAAGGAAAATCAAGGCTCTCTCTTAGGAGATTCTGATTGTAAAATATGAGAAGTTGTGTGTGTGTTCTCTTAAAATTTGCTTGCTTACCCCCAATATCCTCATTCAGATTTTTTGATATCATGTTGATAAGCTCTCTGAGGTTGAGCAATACTTTTCCCACAATATATAGATTAGACTTGAGGATGGGTGGAAGGCCAGATAATTTTCAATGTCTAATGAGATGCCCAGCATAATACAGAGCCCCCTGCCTAGGTTCTAGGGCAACTTCCTGTAGACCAATATATGTTTAAAATAATTTAACCAGGTGTATGGTATTTCCAGAATGCAGAAAAGAAAGGTAGCCCAGGGTAAACCCCAAGGAATCAAGCAAGCCTCGAAGTTTCCAAACTTCCCAACAGTGCTGCAGTTATTATTTCTGTCAGCTAGAACCCTTTCCCTCATTCTTTCTATCCAAACAAATCCCACCGCATCCCTCATGGCTCAACTCAAATTCTCCTTCCTTTGAATACTGATAGTTCTCATTATCTGTACGAATCAATCGCAGATGAACTAGGTCAGCCTTGTGAATTCTCTGGTATTGAATTGCTGTTTAGAACCTACATCATCATTTCCCTTTTGTCAGATGGGAGCCTAGTTTCCTAACTAGACTGCAAGATCACTGAAGGCAAGGGCAAAGGCCTATGAGACTTTTATTCTTCACTGCTTTTAAGTTAGTCCCGGAGGAGAAACCTTGTGTCATTGTAACATCTCCATCCTTACAAAGTACAGAACAACTAAATCAGATTATAATTACTAAAATCAAACCATTCCTTAGAAGAAGCCCATGGAGTCTGGGGTTGGTTCAGGAGCAGTGAGACCCAGATCCAATTCCACAGTGTCCCTTAAGTGCTGTGTGACCCTGCATAAAGCAGTTCCTCTTTCTGAGGTTCTCTGCCCTCCCTTTTCCAAGAAGGGGGCTAAAATCATTTTAGCTTTACTTCTTAGGGTAATCAAAGATAAATGAGACAATAAGCCGTGTGAGGATTAATTAGATGAGCTCTGGAAAGTGCTGTCAGCCCTTTGGAAGAGGATGCCATTATAAAATGTATACAAGGTCTTATTATTTAAGAGAAAGAGTTGAATCACCAAAAATACACTGCGCAGTGGGGAAAACAAAACACTAACCAGGAAACCTCAACTAAGCATCCCAGTCAGCAGAAAGTGCCCACGCAGATGTCTCAAGTCCCTCCAGATTACCTCTTGTTTGTGAGTTGGGGAGGGATTTCAGAGCAGTGCCTCAAGGGAGTGTATCATTTTTCTGTGATGCTCTCCAGTGGCCAGCCTGTGTCTTGGGAAAGGGGATCAGGAGAAGGTGATGACACAGGGTTGTTCTTTGCCCTTTGGCCTTGTTCAGTAAACAACCTGTCAGGAGGCCAGAAAGGAGCACGTAGAAGATAATTTTGAGGGCCAAAAAGGGAAGATGCTCCCCATCTTTGAGACCAGCCCCATGCTGACAGAGCAGGAACCTTCCTCCTTCCCCAGCCCTTTTCTCCTCACCTCCTTTCTTGTGCCCACACTGCAGCACACATCACTCCATTCTGGGAGACAAAGCCAGCTCCATTTTTGGTGAAGAGGGGAAGTAAGAGTCAAGAATGCTCCTGTCTTCTCCATGGCTGCAGCCCAGCTGTCAAACACTTTGGCGCCAGCTGACCTCCAGAAGGGGAGACTATGGTGTGACATTTGCTTCCTTTATCTCAAATATTTCACAATATACATGCTCTGTGCCTTTTCAAATTATATCCTCCTCAAAGAAGCAAGGCATGCATCTTTTCCTAGAGTAGGCAGCAGCTCTGATATTGATAAGACAGGATCATTGTGGCAGCATGTCTCGGTCATGCCCTCAGTGCTGCAAAGCAACTTATTCTGGGTGAAGGGGGACTCCAGAGGGTCATGCCTTAAACAAATAACATACACACAACTGTGTGAGTCAGGAGGGAAAGCACACAAACTCCAGCATCACTTTGCTGTTGCCTGATGTCATCAGACTGCCCCCCGGGGGATTTGGTATACTTTAGTTGCTTGGTTAATACTGGCATTGCATGTATTTTAGCGAGCATGGTCAGAGAGAGTCACTTCAACATGCACATGTCTGGAGAAGGACAGAAGCAGAAATACTTGACTTATAATATACCTTTTATCCCTCTGATTGGTCTATGCTGACATAACAATGTCCCTGCTGAATAAGGCCTAGATTACCCAACTATAAGCTTGACCTTTTATAATTGTTATCCTTTTAACAAAACATTTGTTTCTGCTCATAGCACCCTGCTCCTAGGGCTGCAAAGAGCACACACACAATTCTTTACAGAGGGGTCTGTTCAATCACATTACAGTGCATTAGCTTGAACATTGGTTAACATTTGGCTTAGGTCTATATACCCTGGATAAATATGTACCATGCAGAGGGACTGCTTGGTGAGGAGAAGAGTCCTCTGGGCTGGAACAACAGCTCACAAGTTCGTGTTCCTACTAGGCAGGAACACTCCAGGCATCCGTGATTTGGACAGGGTGCTGGACATGCTTGGTTCTTCTGTGGGCAGCCTGTTTCCTGCATACAGCTGTGAGCACAAGCACACATACATACACACACCACAGGCAGCATTCGACAGTGTACCCAGATGATCACAAAAACAGAGACAGAGATCTGCTAGATGATACCAGCACATCCCACCTTTCAGCACAGCAATGTTCTTCCCTAGTGTCTCCAGTGCTCTGCCAGGCTCAAGTCAATCAATGGGGCTTCTGCCACCACCCTGGGGAGACTATTTGCAACCTACAGGGTTCACTGTTTGGAATTTTATTTTCCTGACTGCATGTGCATGGGAAACATGCCATAGGGCTCTATGAGCACGATAATATAGATATCGTGCATTGTAACCTCAGCTCTTTGGGCTCCTTCCCAAACATAATGAACCTCCCAGCGTCAGCTGGGCAGGCAAAAGTCCTCGTCATCTTCTGCAATTATGCAGCCCTATTGAATTTTCTGAAGCTAATAGGAGTTGCACTAACTTTGAGGACTTAAACCAGGCAAAAGCAATATAGGTCAGGCAGGGAGCCCAAACCCTCTGACAGCCATGCAACACCAGGAGGCAATACCAGAGCAATCTCTAGCTCAACCCCAAAGTCCATTGCTCAACTCCACAAGACAGAAACTAGGAGAGGTGGCATCATTCCCTCTGCCTGCCACTGCCAGGCACCAGGGCAAGAGGGTTGTATGAGAGCAAAATGGTCCCTTTACCAACGGACACACCAAAAAGGACAATGAAAAGGGGAGAAAAATCACCGAAACCCTGCACTGTTACCTTGAATCCTTGCAAGAGCCCTCCTTGCTGTATCAGCTGCTCCCCAAACCTTCAACGACTGGGAGGAGACTCCTAAAAGATTCCAGGTTTTTGTGCAACATCTCCAGTGGCAGCTTTCCAAAGTTTTTACTTCATGATTTCTTGTGGTTCTTTCTCATTTGGGGAAACGCGAATGCCTCCCCCTCAGCGTGTGAGAGGGAGCGGATGTCTCTTTTCAAATTCTCTTGCTCCCCGCTTTACTGTCGGTGCCGCCGCCGCCGCCACCGCCACCGCCGCCAACGTTAGACCACTTGCCTGCTGCCTTCCCGCTGAGCAGCCAGGATCCCGGTCTCCCAGAGCATCTTTGAAGTGGGGCTTCGGCACTGGGCCGGGGCGCACGCGGGGTGGGAGAGGTAAGGGAAGTGCAAGACCCAACTGGGGGAGTCCCCTGTCCCTCCGCCGAGGAGAAACCCAAGATTTTGCCTTCTTTCCAACTCTAAAGAGACTCACCCACCCGCTCTCTCACCCGAAATCACTGCCTTGCACATGGGCAGAGACAGGTCTTCCGGCTTCACCGCTCCCTCGGCTGCCTGCAGACCTGCCACTGACCTCGGAGCGCACGGCAGGTGCACATCCCCGGGCAAGTCCTAATGGGATCCTCCGAGCTCAGCGTAAGCGCTGCCAGCGCAGCGGCGAGCAGCTTGCGAGGCAGGCGGATTGCATCCCAGAGCTGCAGCCCGGCGCGTCCCCGCTCCGACTCCGCGCTCCGTACCTAAGCAGTGTCACCTGCAGACTCAGACACCAGATGAGTGTCTTAAGATAACAATGCTGCCCTGCCTGCCTCTCTCTTTCTTTCTTATGCATGTAGGTTGGCAGCCAATGGGACACAGCGCCACACTCCCCACAGGTGCCCATTGGCTGGGCGGCTTGGCAGGGGGCGGGCTCTGAGCCTCACCGCTCTCTCCTTTGGTGAGCTGGCAGGCTGGGGTACCAGCTCTGTTAACCCTCCCAGCGTTGCAGTGGGGACTTTTTGGTGTGTATAAGGAAGCCTTGGGTACATTCACGGGTGGGGCGTTGGACACTCTTAAAAAGGCTGGGGAACAAGAAGTAGCTGGGGAGCTAATTACATTTTCTTCTAATCTTCCTGAGTTACAATAATCATTTATCCCAGCCCATTTTGTTTGCTTGCTTAACTAGAACTCCCAGAGATTGGGACCCATCTGAGCCATTTTCCATCTAATTTGAGGTTTCATTTGGTTGTTTTGTGCATTTTTTAGCCTCTTGGATTACTTAATTAGAAATGAGCCCCCAAGTGAGAAATAGTACACACACACACACACACACACACACACACACACACCCCAGAGACCCAAGAGGAGAGAGAGGCAAAAGAGAGCAAGAACCCAGTAAGATGGCTAGAGAGTGAAACAGATTTAGAGGCCAGGACAGCTAAATCAGGAAACATTCTGCCCCCACACCAGGACTGTAAGGACAAAGGCAAAGAGGAGAACTTCAGGTTTCTGGGGAGAGATTAAGTTTCAAAAATGTCCCTCCAAAAAAGGGAATTGTTTTGCCTGTGGTGTTTTCCCTCTGTGTGTCTCCTTTCACTTCTGTGTGTGTCAGGAAGAGGGACTGTGCATCTCCGTTTAGTTTTTAAAGGAAGACTAGAGAAATCAGAACAGGACCAGCCTTGTTTCTGTGAAGCAGGTGCTGTTGCTGGGCCTGTGAATTGAAAGAGAGGGAGGGAGGAAAAAAGGGAGGGAGGTGGAGGGAAAAGGGAGGAAAGGAGAAGGGAAGAAAATATTAACTTTACATTGAAGTGTGAAGTATATATTTTTGATATCCTAATGAGGGTACAAAACTGAAACATGTCCCGCTAACTAGCATACTAAACTAGATTTTGGCAGGAGCATAGGAAAAAGAGTAATAGTTGAAGAAAAATCCAATTCAAGGGAAGAGCTGGGGGCTGGAGCTGGGGAAGGAACTTGGGAGATCCATGCTAAGTCATGTGGTGGGGGAAGTATGAAGAAGATAAATATATAGTCAGAAAGCGAGAGGAGTCTTTCAATTTAGTTTCCTTAAATGGAGAGCAACATCGGAGATTATTTTGTAAAGAACTAGAAAAAAAAAGTATGTAGAGATTTAATGAATGTGTAAGAAGTACACATGGAGATTAGCTAAACTGCATCAAGTAGCCGTAAGTTCTGAATGAATAAAGAAAAATTAGAAATTTTCTTCATTCATCCCCTCAGACTCACACATCTATCACTTTCACCTATATTTTCTTCTCTGTATCTTATACAACGTTGAACTTCCTTCTGCATACTGCAAGTATCTGTTTGCCTAAGCTACAAAACATGTCAGAGAATGGTGGTCCCACAGGGTCCTGAGCTCTCTTTCTAGAATAAAATAACCAAGAGAACCACTGAGAGCCTAAATCTATTGCTACCCAACTGCTGAGTTATTTACTTTTGTGATTTCTAGAGGCAGAGACCCACTGAACTTGTCCCAAGTGACAACATACTGAAATGTTAAAATAGCATAAGGGAGTGGGTAAATAGAGGGAGAGGTTGAACAAAGGATTGCTAATTTCAATGGAAAGAAAGTTAAAATTTCCAAAATCTGTAAAAGAGAGAGGAAAGAGGTGATGGCAGATAAGAAGACAACTTGAAAAAGAAAACTTGCTTGTACTTTCTTCTCCTATAAAGTCTGAAGCCGTGTAAAAAATTTTAAAGAGGCAGAATATACATTAAGAATTGCCACAAGTGTATAGTTTAATTCTTGCCTATATATGCATCAATGTAACCATTACTCACTTTATTTCCAGCACTGCAGGAAGCATGTTCGTGAACGTTCTCAGTCAAAACCCTCCACTCCCCAGAGATAATTATATTCTGACTTCCATCACCAAAGATTAATGTTACTTGCTCTTGAACTTTGTAAATATAGGATCTTAGAGTATACACTCTTTTGTGTCTTGATCCTTTCACTCATCATTTTGTCTCTGAGATTTATCCATGTAGTTGTATGTTTTATTGCGGTGCACCACTCTATTACATGACTACATGGCATTTATTCATTCTGTTCTTGATAGATATTTGGGATGTTTCTGGGGTTTTTTGGCTATTATAAGTAAACTTGTTATAAATGTTTTTGTGCTTGTCTTTTGGTGGATGTATGCAATCATTTCCTCTGGGAAAACACCAAGGACTATACATTACTTAATTTGCTTTGACTACTACACTGGAGAAAATCTCATGAAGATGACTCTGAAGCCTATTATCTTGCCAAAATAATTGAATAAGGTGATAGTGGCAAAGGCTATCGCTACTGAGTGCCAACTAAATGCCTAAAATGTGTCACATTGTTTACATACATAATCTCATTTCCTCCTCACAACCACCCCCAAAACTATGTATTATTCCTGTTTTGCAAATAAGAATATTGAATTTAAGACTTTGTATTAGGAAATAGCTCTTGCTTTCCTGAGTGTATGTGTATGTATATGTGTAGATGTTGGGGGAGATGTAAATAAATGCCCAGGGAATGGAGCTAAAAGAAGGGAAGTGATGGAAGTTCTCACTGCATAGGTGCAGCTGCAGATTAGCTTGGAGAGATGGGACAATCTGAAGAATAAAGAGTGTTGCACTTCAGGTGGACAGAATGTTATGGGAGGAGTGAAAATAGGAAATAGATTTTAATTTGATTGAGAGATGTGTGTGTCTGTGTGCACATGTGTGGTGGGAGGATAGAGATATAGTGCAGTGAGCAAACTATCTAAAAAACAGTGTGAGATTAGAAGAGTTTTAAAATTTCTAAACCATGGGTTTTCAGCTTTATCATGTAGAAAAAGAAAAACTAGAATGACATAATGAAAGTTAGATTTCATGAAGATCAACCTGGTAGTTGTGTACAGAATGCGTTGCTAGGAGGAAAAGGAATCAAAATCTATTTTAATAGTCAAGGAAAGAGGCCATTGGTGCTTAAATACAGGAAGGTGTATCTCAGGAGAAAAGTGAAGATTGGAGATAACAGCGCTTGCTGTTTTACAGTGTTTTAAAGAATAGAAATTTTCTGAGAATGAATAAATGCCATGTAGTCATGTAATGGACTAGTACACAGCAATACAATATTGAACTACATGGATAAATCTCACAGACATAATGATGAGTGAAAATATTAAGACACAAAAAAGCATATACTCTAAGATTCTATATTTATAAAATTCAAGAGCAAGTAACATTACTCTTTGGTGATGAAAGTCAGAAACATTTTCTGTGACCAGCAGGGGTGAGCGGAGATGATTGGCCCCTTTTGTTGATGGGGAACTAAAGACAAGAATGGTCCAAGCTTATCTCCAAATAAGAATATTATGAAGTTAAGTCTTGAATCCAGTTCTATTATTTCACTATATCATTATGCCTCTACACAAAGGTGATGATTGAGATGCATAACATTTTCCCCCATCTCCTCTAAATGTAAAACATCATGCATTAGAGATGGCCTGGTTTCCATGTACTTCAACCTTTACCCACATCTCTAGGTATTTAATTCCCTAAGAAAGGGCCATGTGACATTATTTCCATTTTTACAGGAATCAAGTACTCTGGAATAATATATTCTCTTTTAAAAAATTCTACTGTTTCTTTTGTTTGGTTTTGTTTAGAGAGGTCTAGAAAGACTTGAGATACCAACTACCAACTATGCCCAACTCAATATACATTTTAAGAAGACTAGATATTGACTTATTGGAAAATCAACCCTAAATGGTTTACTTGGGCTTTCTAACATGACTCAAGAATCTTCAGAAAATTAGAAAGAAAGATTTCAAAGTGACAGTAGATTATATGCTACTCAAAAGCAGGAGTAGTATTTTTCTGGCTGTGCTTAGCCTAATGCTTATGATACAGTAGGTACACAAACATTTGCTGAATTAATTACTGTGGTCCATAAAGCCCAGTGATTATCCATGGGTGCACCCTAGTGTACCATAACCATATAGTGGAAAGAGCAGTGGGCAAAGAAATCTTGTTCATGGTCTTAGCTCCATAGAAGATAGATCACTCTTTAATGGGTCTCAATTTCCTTATCTGTTAAGTGAGAGATTGGATGAATACATGATCAGGTACTTACATGCCATTTCTCACATTCTAGTATCAAGGGTGTGTTCCTGACATCCACTATAATTATTCAATGGCAAATAACCTTGCATAAGTAAGTTTAATACTAGATTTTTGTTTATGCTAGGGATAACAGAATGAAAGAGATATCATGGGGTTTTTGTCTCACTCAGTATCTCTTAGGGGAGCAATGACGATCAGGATGAGTTTTCAAAAGTCGTTAGCTGGTACATCTTTTTTACAGTAGTTTACAGTAGTTTGCAATGCTGCATGGTAAGATAACTTGGGGTTAATTCCCAGATAAGTTACATATAAAAACTCAACTAATAAAGTGTCTTTGTTCTTCTTTTCTTTGCATATGTGGTAAATGATCTTTCACTACTTAAACATTACCTTAAATATGGCTTATTTTCTCTATTCAATTAGATAAACTTTGTAAAATATATGGCAAAAGCTTTTTTGTCTTTTAAAGAACATATTTTCACATATGCCAATAAACTGACACCAGGTAGAATGAAAATGTAATTGTTTCTTAAGTAGGGGTCCTCTTTTAGAACAGTAGTGCATTAAATTTCTAGAGTGAGAACTACAAATAACACAGTCTTCACAGCACCTAGTATTGAAGTTAGCATTGACCCAATAACAATGGAGGGACACACTTTTGAAATAAGTTATTGGTTATCATGTGAGAGAAAGTTCAGTTAAATGTCAGATTTCAGAATACACAATGTCACTTTTCTACCACTGTTTATTGCATATTGTCATCATTTTTAAAAGGCAACATTGTTGAGCACTACTGGGAACAGATCTTACATGGGTTTTGGTGGTGGTGGTGGTGGTGTTATTCTTCAGAATACTTACGCAGGGTGCTGAACATCTTCCCTGTTGTACTCTTGACTGGATTGGGATTGACTTAGCTCATACCCAAGGATATTCTTTTATTACTTTTCCATCTGTTAAGAATGCTTAGGAACTTTGGTTTTTCTCACAATTTCTTTCCAGCTTTGTCCTATTTACTAGATTGTCTAAAATTAAAGTTTCAAGATTTATTTGAGCTAACCCTACTTTTTTTCTATCAGCTATAATATTCCCCAAATCATCTTTTTATTGGTTACTACAGATAAAATTTGTGATAGAAATGAAATGAAGCAGAGAGAAGTTGCGAGTAAAAGTTTCGATCTCCTGCTTAACTGTGCACCTTACTCTGTTGTGCATATCTATCCATCCATCTAAACCAGTATAACAAATATTTTCTTTAAATATTTTGCAAAGTTAGTGCTAAGTAAAAATATGCACATGTGCATTCCCAGCTCCCGTTTATCCTATGTACAAATCCAACTAGTGGGGGACGGGGCGGGGTGGAAGCAAGATTCGGACAAGCTATAATACATCCACAAAACCACTGGGGGAATTTTCATCTCCCCTCACCGCGCAGCTTTGCAGAAGCGCCCTTTAAGGTGTATGTCTGTGTGTGCCTCTCTCAAGCCTTCTGGATGATGATGCGAGAGGGAAGATTTTACATTGCAAAGATCAATGTATTAAAAATGCCGTGCAGGTAGTTCATAGCCAAGAGCCTTGCTCGTGTTGGAGGATGCAACGGAGGAGAGAGGCAGGAGCACCGGCAGCCAGCTGGGGGCTGACCTGATTCCCTAGAATCCTCAGCTCCCTTCCTCTTTCCTTTCGACGTCCTTCCTTCCCTTTTTCTCCTCTCCCCCCTCCCCCGCTTTCCCTTCTCCAGATAAGCAGCTCCGGGAAACAAAGAATCCGGGGCTCTCCAGACATCAGAGCTTAAACCCAGGACTCTGCAAGCGGCATCTCATTCCGGGGTCCAGGGCTCTCCCGGCTCTCCATCCCCTCCCTAACCTCCCCCGCCTCCCGCGCTCGCTCCCTCGCTCCCTCCCCGCTCGCTTCCTCCCCCACCATCGCAGCGCTAGGAGGAAGGCGGCCGGGGCTCAAGATGGCTTTAGCCGGGCTCTGCGCCCTGCTCGCCTGCTGCTGGGGGCCGGCGGCGGTGCTGGCCACGGCCGCCGGCGACGTGGATCCATCCAAGGAGCTGGAGTGCAAGCTCAAAAGCATCACGGTGTCGGCACTGCCCTTCCTGCGCGAGAACGACCTGAGCATCATGCACAGCCCCTCGGCCTCGGAGCCCAAGCTCCTCTTCTCGGTGCGCAACGACTTCCCGGGAGAAATGGTCGTGGTGGACGACCTGGAGAACACGGAGCTGCCCTACTTCGTGCTGGGTGAGTCCCGGGGGAGGTCGAGGCGGCCGGAGGCGCTGGACCGGCGCCCCCACCCCCCACTCCAGCTCGCTCTACACACCCACTCGCCGACGACCTCCCCTCCCCCACTCCTACCTCCCGGATCCGCCCCACTCCCGGACCATTCTCCACACCCACTTGCATACTAGCGCCTCTGTGCACCTGACTTCTCCCCAAATCCGACCTGGATGCTGAGCCTCCTCTCAGCTGCCCTGCCTCAAAGAAACAGGTTGCATGAGTCTCTCTGAAACCTCTCCCAGCCTTGACCTCCCAGCTTTGATTCAGGAGCACATCCACACAGCACTTTTTGTCTGCTACCAGTTCAACTCCCATAATCCCTTCTCCCCACTCCCTAGCCACATGCTCAGCTCTTTGCTTCACTCACTCTGGATACCCACACCCACCTACAGCACTTCCTGGGGGCTTTAGAAACAGGTATCCTGTCATCACCTTGCCAGCTATGTGCAAGCCAGATTCTAGTCTTCATTCATGGAGAGCCCTTTATCTGTCACCAGGCTACTGACACCCTCCCTTCCAAACACTCAAGTTTCTTATCCCCCAGCTGTTCATTCTGGGAAGTCCTACCTCCATGCTTAGATGTCACAACCCCCTAATTCAACCACATCCACACATCCATGTCACGTCACAGTTGGTTAAAGATATTATACAACTGTAGTCTGTTAGTATTGGTCTCTTCTTTGTTCCCAGGGCCACCTTAGATAGGCGTAGGCATTCCTGCACACAGAATGACCTTTCTAGGCAAGGGGCTCTTCCTTCCTTTGTTTGTTTACATCTCTCTCTTTTTGGTACTCCCACTGTAATTTTCTTAGGTCACCTTCAGGTAGTGGAACTCCTGTCACTTCAGGTACTGGAACCCATACATTACTTCAAATCATCCCTGTTTTCCACTACTAAGCTGCAAAGGTTTTGTGGTCCTGCTCTAGTATCTTGCAAAGCACCACAAGTTCATGTTACTTTGCCAAATTCCCCTCACTTCTCCATGTGTAGATGGAGCTCTCACCTTGCTGTGCATGCCTACCATGCAATCCATTTCTTTAGTGAT
Organism: Homo sapiens; assembly: GCF_000001405.40. Lineage (NCBI taxonomy): Eukaryota > Metazoa > Chordata > Mammalia > Primates > Hominidae > Homo > Homo sapiens. The sequence goes on along the minus strand of NC_000001.11, from coordinate 177,163,312 downwards.
GTTGCCAATTATTCTTATTTTGCCCAGGAGAAATTCAAAGAAAACCACACTTCAGTCTCTAGATCCAAGTAGAGAAAAAAAGAAAATGTCTAGGAGGCTGTTCCATTTACTTGATACCCTACCAACTACAGTTCCATTTGCAGAAACATGGTTTCCTGATGGCCACATGTAGGCTAGAGCCACATGTGGAATTCTAACACATCCCTCTTGCTCTTCCTTCATAGGAGATGTCTTCACACTGAAAACACTAGGAAGTGAGTGAATAAACCCCTACTCCCCAACCCTTAGGGAAAAGCAATTTCAAAAATTGCCTGGCCCTTTGAAAAGTTGCTTTATAGTTCCCGGAGTGCAGCTCAGTTGAACCCATTAAACCCAACCTATGCTCTTGATAGGATTATTTATTTTTGCTTTCAAAAATACCAATAACATAATAAAAACTGGGGACTAGCTGGAAATGGGAGCATTGTGGATATGCCGCTCATCAAAATGTACAATTACTGGGTTATTTGGAGGATGGAAAGTTCACGTTGAAGTCATGCTGATATGCAAAGTACAATCTGTTCATCATAGTATATAAAAGTGAGTAGAGGGAATTATGTGTTTCTAAAGAGGCTGTTTTGCACTCTGCTTGTAGTGTTTACTGTGCATGAAGAGGTACAAGCATGGTGCTTAAAAAAAGGGAGGGCTAGCAGGTATTCAACATTTCATTTCTTTTTTGCAGAATCCCAAAACCAGGGCCTAATGCTGTGATGTGCCTACTAGGAACCAATGTGCACAGTGAAAGCCCAGATGTTATAAGAACGGGTTTTCTGCACCTCTGTGCAAAGCTGCCCACTGCAGTGTCCTGTTGGGGTTGCTATGGTAATCTGGTGCAACTTGGCATTTACACACAGGCACACAGACACACTCTCTCACTTCAGGGCCAGATGCACTATTTAAATGCATCGATTATCTCCCACTCTCCCAGTCAGTGGGGTATGCTCAGAACCAGAGAAGGGCTGGTACTTATTCTTTCTGACTCAGTATGCTCAAAGGAAGAAGGAATGAATTTCAGTTTGGGTGGGTGGTTAAACAGATCTGGGCAGAAAGGAAGAGGAGTCCAAATTTATGGAGGATAGACTCAAAGGTAGTTTTGAATTTAACTTTTGTGGTCTTGATCATGCAGCTCTTGGCCAATGGTGAGGGCTGTAGTGACTTTGGTTTTGAGATTTCCCTACTCCTATCTTTGGAACCTTGTTTACTTAATCCATCTCCTGGAGGAATCTGAATCAGTCAATTCTGGAAATTTATTGAGTTGTACCTGCTCAGCACTCAGAGGCATTACTAGGAAACAGAAGTTAAAAAAAAGTCTCTTGCCCTCAAGTGGTCTCTAGTCACTGGAAACACAAAGATACCTGTAAGAGCTGTACCTACCTAATTGTGTGGTATGGCTGTTAAGGGGTATAGGGATGCTGTGGAAGGATTTGCTTGCATGACAAGAGCAGATTCCATGGTAATCATGGACCAGAAGCTTAGGCTAAAATCAGATCCTGTCACTCCTTTGAGTGAAAAAAAAAATTACAAACAACAAGAAAAACAAGCTTTGGCTTCCTTTTGCCTCTAGGATCAAGTCCTGTCACTTCACTGAGGCTAACTAGGGTCTTCTCATTCTGATTGCAGCCAACTTCTCCAGCCCTTTATCCCTCCAAGCCTGCCATGGCCTTCTGGACTGTTTCAAGACTTTGCACATGTAGCTACTCTGCCTGGAAGGCTCTTTGCCCTTTCTCTATTAGGTGGTATCCATTCTTCCTTCTAAACCATGCACAAGTCATCTCTCTATGAAGCCTCTATCCCATTTCTGTGCTCTTTGCATGGATTAAAACAGAAAACACTCACAAACGTGCAAAATTAAAGGTAGATTAGGCTTGGCTTGGACTAGGAAAGGTGAAGACATTTAAGGTCATGGAGAAAAGATGAGCAAAGGCATTTGGTGGTGGGAGTGAATATGGAAATGGCATGCATATGGCATAGTGTGGGGATCGGCCTGCCTGGACAGAGCCTTGTGACATGACAGTAGTGGGGACTGGGCCTGGCTCTGTAGAGTGGCATGTGGCTCTCCACTTCAAAACTAGGCAGAAAGGGCTGACTTGACATAGAAAGCATTGAAGTCTGGATCCCAGAGGTTATCTCAGCCATCAGCCTTGGCAGTTTTGCGTGTGGTATAATTCCAAGTAGAGAACAGGAGTCAATATCTCCTTTTCTCTGAGATGGGGTTTGCAAATTGTGATTCAAGGGCCCAGTATGACTTTTAGGTATGTTTTGTTTGACTACATATGGTTTTTAAAATGCTTTGAATATGAATGTTTTTAGTTAGGTCTAGATTGCTATACTTCTCACAGATACTGATGGTTCTGTGCCTAATATACTTCTTCGTAGTACTTACCTGGCAACTCTAAGCCATGTAATCTAAACCTAAACCCCTGCTTTCAGATGTGTGGTGAAAGCCTCAAAAGTGTTGCAAAATAACTGTCATTTCTAATTTAAAATATTTAGGCACATGAGCCTTAGCATCCTCTCAGGAGATTTAAGAGATTTGCCAAATTAGTCAACTAATATTTCATATCTGAACTAAAATTTCATATTTCAGCTTTCAAAATAGTAGACATTCCTGCTTTGGAGCATATTTGATTTGGAGATAAGGAGTTAACCTGAAGTGTGGCTTCCAGGTTTTCTGTGCTGTAAATAGAATATATTTTTATATCAGCCTCATTACTATTTGAAGGAGAAACCCTTCTATTTCACCCAACTGTTGAGCTTTTGCATATGTACAACTTAGTGAAGAAAGATGTTTCTCTTGTGCCTTGGCATTTTGCTTTAGCTGTCATGGCTTTTGATTGAAGAAGGTATTCCTGAAGATAAATCAATCAGCCTGCAGAGATGTAGTAAATTCCCACATGCAAGGTGCTGTTTAAAGTGTCTGGAGCAGGCAAGTGTGGCGGTTAAAAGAATAGGCTTTGAAGACAGATTTGCTGTCAACTTCTGGCTTTCTACTTATTCCAGCAGTGGAGAAAACAGAAGAATGGGGGAGTTAAATAACTTACTCAGGGTCACTTAGTGAACAGTTGATGGATCCATCATTCGAACTCAGGTCAATATGATGTTTAAGCCTTTCTCTGAGCTACTATTTTACATGCCTTAAAAGTTTTCAAAATCGTTTCTTTTTCATGGTTGAACAAAAGGAGCCCTGAAAATGGTTAAAATAGGGAAAGCACACTCACCTAGTTTGTATATAGGAGTCTTTTGTGATCTTTATGCAAATACTTCTTGAATATCCTTGCCCATTGAGTGATTTCTCACACCAGCCTTAATAACTTTATCAAAAAATAGTTAGCTAAGTACATATACTTTGCTAAGAAGAGTTTGGGAATTCTCACTTATTTATAGTTTTCAGGTTCAGGTAGCCATGTTTCCATGTTCCTGTGGTGACATGTATGGGACTCACAGTCTTGGTAAACAAGATAGGTAGGCTGCATTGGGGATGAAGGTAATATGTTCAGTGCTCTTCCTGAGGAGGGTCCTACAGAAATGCAAACTGAGAGTCCCAGAGAGAAGGCTCCCTTGTTAAATGGAGCTATCCAGAAGGTAATGTGGTTTTAGCTACTTGTCCAAAGCCAGTGATCTTTGTATTGGGTGGTCTTGTGCTTAGAACTTATTTTGAGAGCTCAGTGGAGCTGTTTAAATAGCAGTTACTGAGCTTTTCAATTGGCTTCAAAGGTAATATTGGACATAATGTTACTTATGGGTGAGCTTTGGCCTGATAGGAAACAGTTAAAATACCCAGGTATCCCCAATTCTTTTCACACATCTCTCCATCTTCCCATTTGAGGGGAAACTTTAAAATATGTTTCTTTTCCTTCTTTTTTCTCTCCACTACAGTGAGCTGCCTAGGTTAATAGTAAATGCATTTGTATAGATTGGCAGCCCTATCCAAGACATAGTAGATGAATGCTAGCAATCCTAAGGTAGGTTCTTCAGCACTTATATAACTCATGCTATCAGAATGTGCTCATTTATAGTATTGAGAGGGTTATTATTTACTGTTTCTCTACAGAAATTTAGATTTTTACAACAAAGGAATTATGAATATGAATGATGAATTTTACAACATTTTAACTGCTTTTTTAGATATGTTGATATGACTTGAATTCAAGTAATTAGAGTTTTTGAAGAAAAAATAAAATTTTAATTTTTTTTTTTTTTTTTTTTTGAGATGGATCCTCGCTTTGTTGCCCAGGCTGGAGTGCAGTGGCACAATCTTGGGTCACTGCAACCTCCACCTCTCAGATTCAAGGAATTCTCCTGCCTCATCCTCCTGAGTAGCTGGGACTACAGTCACCCGCCACCATGCCCGGCTATTTTTTTTTTTTTTTGTATTTTTATTAAAGGCAGGGTTTCACCATGTTGGCCAGGCTGGACTCGAACTTCTGACCTCAAATGATCCACCCACCTCGGCCTCCCAAAGTGCTGGGATTACAGGCGTGAGCCACCACGCCCAGCCAATTTTAGTTTCTTTATTCATCTTAGGAAGCAAGATTGAGGTCTTGTCTTATAGACACACTATATATACACATATATATCATACACACACACACACACACACACACACACACACACACACGTACTTTTTTCTTTCTTTTCTTAGAAATGTAATTAAACTTAAAAGGCTAGTAGTTTCTCACATCAGGGCCAGTTTATGAGAACAAACCTGGCAACTTTTCAGCAGGGACATACGAAGTCTTCATTTCTTCACTGTTAAACCAGTTCATGTATATGCACACAGATGGCAAAAAGAGCTCTGTTATGAGCAAGTTAATCTCCCAGGACAAGTTAAGGTCTATGGAAATTTCGAATGTACTATACAAATTGACACCTATCATCATTTTATTATTCTTAAAAATTAATTACTTTAAAAAAATTATTTCAATAGCTTTTGTTACATGGTCATCTATCACCATTTTATTCCTACTAAAAATATGAAATAGTTGATATTTTGTTTTTAATCATGTACACTTTAAAATTTTAATAAAAAACCCAAAGTATTTGTACAGATCTCTAGATTTCCAAGGAACAAACAATCAAATTGTTGACGGTAATCTAAACTGACATGACAACTTTTGTGAAACGATTTGGTATTATATAGTACAACTGAAAATGTATATGCCTGATGCTTTTGCAGTTCCACTTCTAGCTTTTCATTACACAGGAATTTTTACATGTATACATGAGAATATTTGTTGGGAATAGCAAAACCTGGAAGCAATCATTATCAGGAGACTAGAAATATACAAGGTGGCACCTTCATCAATGACATATTATCTAGCCAGGAGAATAAATGAGTTGTAGCTACATATATCAATGTGGGTAAATCTCACAAATGTAATGTTAGGTGAAAATAAGAAAATAGCTGAAAAAAATAGTACAATTTTATTTATATAAATTCAAAATAACATATTGTTTAAGAATACATACAAATGCAAAATTTTTATGAAAAGCAAGAAAACAAAAACAAAATAAAATACGAGTGTTACCTCTTGTGGAAAGGGAAGATTGTGTGAAGGGAGAGGGTGAAAAAGAGGGCCTCAAAGCTTCTAGCAGTTCCTGATACTTGTTTTCCTTTTTTTTAAAAAAAAATACAAATTAATTTTTAAAGAACAGTTTTAGGCCAGGTGTGGTGGCTCACACCTGTAATCCCAGCACTTCAGGAAGCCAGGTGGGTGAATGGCTTGAGCTTGGGAGTTTGAGACAGGCCTTGGCAACATGACAAAACCCCATCTCTACAAAAAATACAAGAGTTAGCTAGATATGGTGGCGTGTGCCTGTAGTCCCAGTTACTTGGGAGGCTGAGGTGGGAAGATGGCTTGAGCCCAGGAGGCGGAGTTGCAGTGAGCGGAGATCCTACCACTGCATTCTGGCCTGGGTAACAGAGTAAGACCTTATAAAACAAAACAAAACAAACAACAACAACAACAACAACAACAAAAAGAACAGTTTTAGCTTTATGGAAAAATTGGGAAGATAGTACAGAGAGTTTCCATATGCCCCATACCCAGTTTCTCTCACTATTAACATCTTATATTAATGTGATACATTTGTTACAATTGAAGAACCAAGGTTGATCCATGATTTTTAACAAAAGTCTACACTGTATTCAGATTTTCTTAGTTTTTATCTAACATTGTTTTTCTGTTCCAGGATCTCACCCAGGGTACCACAGTACACTTAGTCATCACATCTTCTTACGCTTCTCTTGGTTGTGACACTTTCTCAGACTTGTTTTGGTTTTGATGACTTTGACAGTTTGAAGAATACTAGTCAGGTACTTTGTAGAATGTTCCTCAATCGGTATTTGTCTGATGTTTTTCTCATGATTAGACTGGAGCTAAGGTTTGGAGAAGGAAGCTATAAAGTGTCATTTTCATCAGATCATATCAAGGGTACATTCTATCAACTTGACTTCTCACTGTTGATGCTGACCTCAGTCACTTTGTTGAGGTTGTATTTGGCAGGTTTCTCCACTGTAAAGTTACCTTTTTACCCTCTCTCCATTCCTTTGAAGGAAGTCACTGTGCACAGACTATTCCAAAGGAATGGGGAGCTATGGTCCACCTTCTTGAAGGCTGAGTATCTACATAAATTATTTTGAATTATGCTATATAAGAGAATTTTTTCTTTTCTTCCATTTATTTGTTTACTTATTTATTTATGTCCTATGGACTCATGAATATTTATTTTATACTTTGCGTTTTAATTCAGTACTACTTTATTGATTTTATTGCTCAAATTGTTTGTCTCAGCATTGGCTAATGGGAGCTCTTTCAGTTGGCTCCTGTGAGACTTTGATATACCCCAGTCAATGTGAGTTTTTGTTTTGTGAGCACCTTTTTACTTCCTGTCACTACAAGCTTCTCCAGGGTCATCTTGCATATTACCTGCCCCTATTCTAGAATCAGCTATTTCTCCAAGCAGCATATGGTGTTGTTGGGTTTTTTGTTTTTTTTTTTTTTGAGACGGAGTCTCACCTTGTTGCCCACGCTGGAGTGCAGTGGTGCAATCTCTGCTCACTGCAACCTCTGCCTCCTGGGTTTAAGCAATTCTCCTGCCTCAGCTTCCTGAGTAGCTGGGATTACAGGTGCCCGCCACCACACCCAGCTAATTTTTGTATTTTTAGTAGAGACGGAGTTTCACCATATTGGCCAGGCTGGTCTCAAACTCCTGACTTTGTGATCTGCCCGCCTCAGCCTCCCAAAGTGCTAGGATTATAGGCATGAGCCACCATGCCTGGCCCCCATCATTCTTTTAATTGGAGGATGATGTTAGAAACCAAGATCCGGGAACTAAGTGTGCTTGTTGTTACAGGAGTGTTGTTGCTTCTAGGCTCTCTCAGCTGACAGAGCAAGGAAATATGTGTCTTTACTAACATATGTATATATCTATCTGTAAATATTTCTATATGTAACCATATGTGTCTATATTAAGCTAATCATGAGTTCATACTGATGTCTCCAGCTTTAATCCATTATCTAATTATCATTACCTAATTAACATTAGCTCTCATCTAATTCGTGAATCATCTTGCTTCCTCCCCTTGCTTATCCTACTCCAACAATGAGTAACCTGACTCCCACCATCTACCATCCATGTATTTAATTTTTCAGTTTCACTGTGAATTTATTACAGTATTGGAATTGTTTGCCCATACCACCATGGGGAACAACTTTATTAGTTGTAGGGCAGTTTTTCTGTACAATTTCTTTTGTCTTTAGTCTTGCAGATTACTCTAAAGTTGCTTAGGCCAACACTTTCCCCCCAACCCCTTCCAGTGAGGTTGTTCATACATTTATGATATAGTTAGTATTTGTCATATTCTGCATTCATCCTGGGATCACTCAATCTCCTAAATGATTTCTTTTCTTTTAATTTGCACATATAAAGTTGGCCGTTTGTTCCCTAAAGTTAATGAATGTTCACACATGTATGGTGTAATATATCCACAGTTATAGAATCATACAGAACAGTTTGATCACCCTACAAAATCTCCTACCCTTCATCTATTTAATCCTCCATGCCTTACTTCCAAACTCTGGCAACCACTGCTCTTTTACCATCAATGTAGTTTTGCCTTTTCCAGAATGCCATATAGTTGTAATAAAGTATGTAGCCCTTTTAGACTTGCCTCTTTTCCTTAATATCATGCATTTAAGATTTATTGACATCTTTTCTTTTCATGGCTTGATAGCTCAGTTATTTTTATTGCTGAATAATATTCCATTGCATGAAGTACCATAGTTTGTCCATTTACCTATTGAAAAACATCTTGGTTGTTTCCAGTTTTTGGCAATTATGAATAAAAATACTATGAACATTAGTATGCAGATTTTTGTGTGCTTTCTTTTTTTTGTAATCTCATGCAGAGATTTGACTTAATTATATTCCTCAATTCACAGCATATTTTATTATAGGTCTCTGAAAGCCCTTACTCCTTCCAGTCGTTTATTGATTTGCCTATTTGCTTCTTTTCCTTTATACCTTCTCTCAGTTTTCACTCACTGTTCCCCATAGGAAAATACTCTAATCTCCCTAATGCTTATTATTTTTTTTTTGGTATGTGTTCTTGCAATAAGTCAATAGTTGTTCTGTGTTAATGTATTTTAAATTCAAGGAAATGGTGGTGTCATATTGTTATTCTGATACTTACTCTTTTCACTCAGCACTATATTTTTAAGATCTACTCATACTACTTAGTATAAATATAGCCTAGCACTGTCCAATAGGGATTTCTGTAATAACGGTAATATTCGAGTTCTGCCTTATCCAGTATGGTACTTTCTGGCCAAATGTAACTCTTGAACACTTGAAATATAGTTAGTACGACCGAGGAACTGAATTTTTATGTTTACATTTTAATGAGTTTAATTTTAAATAACTTCATGTGGCTAGTGACTACCATATTGAATAGTGAATATATAAAACATGCCCACTATTGCAGAAGGGTTTATTGGACAACACAAATCTTATCCATTGATTCTGACTGTTGCAGAACATTCCATGATGGTCACCTATTACATTTTGCCAGTCCTTTCAGTGATGGACATCCAGGATGCCTCCTGCTTTCCGTCACTACAAATAATACTCCAGTTATCATTTTAGTACATATTTCCTCAAGGACTTTTGTGAAAATTTCTCTGGGATACATAGCAGGAGCAGAATTGCTGGTTTATAAAGATTATGCATATTTAATTTGGCTAAATACTGCCAAACTGTGCTCAGAATGGCTGGATCAGTTTGTACTCTCATCAGTAGTATTAATATTTGAGGGTTCCTAAATCCTCATACTCCCACCGACACTTGGCATTGTACAGTGTTCTAATATTTGTCAATCCACTGAGTGTAAAGTGACATCTAATTGTTATTCCTTTCATATTTTTAGGAGCATTTTAGATACGAGGGAGGTTATCTCTTTGACTGTAAAATGAGTTGCAAATATCATTTTTCCCAGGTTATTGTATGTTTCTTGACTTTGCCTATGTTTTTGTTTGCTTGTTTTTTGTTTGGTTGGTTTTCCAGAAGTCTTTGGATTTTATGTAAGTGAAGATATTAATTATTTCTTTTTGACTTCTGTACCTTATGTCTTCACTGGAAAGGTCTTCTTCACTTTAAAGTTATAGAAGTATTCATCATTTTTTTCCTGAATATTCTAATAGCTTTATTTTTTGCATTTAAATACTTGGTATATTTTGAATTTATTGTGGTATGTAGTTTGATATATGGCTTTATCCAAGTATGCTATATGAAGCACCAACTTTAGCTGGTGTCTTCATCCATTTTGTGTCGCTATAATGGAGTACCTGAGGCTGGGTCATTTATAAAGAAAAAAAAGGCTTATTTGGCTCACAGTTCTGTTGGTTGGAAAGTTCAAGATTGGGTATCTGCATCTGGTGAGGGTTTTAGGCTGCTTCCACTCATGGTGGAAGACAAAGGAAAGCCAGAGTGTGCAGAGATTACCTGGTAAGATATCATCACAAGAGAAAGAAGCAGAGGTGCCAAGATTTGTTTTTTTCTTAACAACCAGCTCTTAGAGGGAACTAATAGAGCAAGAACTCACTTACCTCCAAGGAAGGCATTAATCTATTCATGAGGCATCCACCCCTACAACCCAGGCACCTTCCATTAGGCCTCACCTCCAACATTGGGGATCAAATTTTAATAAGTGGTGTGGGAGGACAAACATCCAAACTGTAGCAGCTGTCCACATGGTTACTCAGATGGTTGATTACCAGTTATTAAATAGCTCATAATCTCCCCTCTGATTTGAGATGTCACCTTTATCATATAATAAATTCCATAATACATTTGGGTCTATTTCTGAGCTTTTATTCTGTTCTATTACTATGTCTATATATTCATGTGCCTATACCATATTGTGTTAATTATTAAAATTCTGTAATGTGTTTTCATATCTCATAGGGCTAGTCACCCTTTGCTGCTATTCTTTTCTAGAGTTCTCCTATCCATTCCGTTTTTCCGTATAAACTTTAACTGGCTTATCTGGTTCTAAAAATGTAACAAGAAGAAGAATAACAAAAGCTAGTGGTATTTTTAGTCATAAACCTTGTTAAATTTTTAAATTAATTAAGAAATAATTAAATATTTAAGATGTTGAATTTTTCAACTTAAGAAATTTATACATTTGCATTTGTTCAAATCTTGACTGCCCTTTAGTAGAATTTTAAAGTTTTTTTTTTTCTCATAAAGTTCTTGCACATTTCTTGTTAGATTTACTTCTAGGTATTTTATCTTTTTGTGCTTTTGTAAAAGGAATGTTTCCTTTTTTATTTATTTATTTTCCAAAGGATTATACTTTCTGTATGTGAAAGCTATTAATGTTGTGTGTTAATTGACTACCTTTGGTTGAGGGAACGTGATGCTATACACGTAAACCACAGCAGTACCTGGTGAAATCATTTTACTGTTATCAGTTTCTAGGTGGGTTTTAAGTTCTAAATACAAGAAAATTCTGATGGTGAATCTGCCACACTATGGAACCTGTGTACATGTAGCATCTTTTGGAGTTATGCAATGCAAATCTGTGCACTTTCTGTGGTCCTGACTGATGGCTTTGGATTGTCCTACTCTCCCTGGGATATCTACCTTTCCCCAAATATGAATTCTGAGAACTGATATTTTTTCTTACTCATGTCTCCCAACATAGTCTCATCCTGTACCTTGACCTTATTATCTTTCCCATATGCCCTCTCCTGTCCTTCCTGATTTCTCTGACTGGCTCTTTCAGTCTACCACCAGTCAAGGACATAACCTAAAAAAGCACAATGGCAAAGGATGGCTGCTTTATTGAAAAGTTCCTTCTGTACAAACACATGGGAGGAGTGGCTATTTCCTTTTTCTCTCCACTGCTGCTTCTACACCACATGTTCTTAGCTTCATGGCCACATATGGGCTACAGAGTTAATTGAGTATAAAATTTATGCATAAGGGCGATTTCTTGAAAAGAGGGTCCACAACTTAAATCATATTTTTAAAAAGGTCTTGTAAGTGGCATAGAGATGAACTTTTTCTTTTCTGGAATAAAGAGTTCTTAGGAAGTGACTTAAAGAAGAAAAGCTTATTCTCTCTCAGGCAACAATTCTGTGATGAGTGATTCAGCTTGGAAAGACCCTACTCCATGAAGTTATTCAGAAACCCCAGATTCTTCCACCTTGTTGCTCTGCCATTCCCCAGGCCCTTGTCCTCTTCTGCAGAGTCACCAGTATGTGTGTTTACACTCACAGGAAGGGGAAGGGCAGTCATTCAGGGTAACAATTTTCTTTCTCTCTCTCTTTTTTTTTTTTTAAGAAAGTAAGGCAAAAGTTGCACACATCCCTTCTACTCCAATGCCATAGGTAAGAACTTTGTTACGTGCCTGAAATCCCAGCAAAGGATACTGGGAAAAGCAGTCTTATCTGGGTAGTCATGTGCTCAACTTAAATTCTAGAAAGAAAGAGAGAATAGATTTTTTTTTGTTTTGTTTTTGAAAAATAGCAGTCCCTACCATAAGGATTCGAAAAAAATTAAAAATCATTCTTCTAGGCCCATACAATTTCACTCTCCTTCCAGGAAACACCTCCTGTTTGAAAATATACATCTTTGGCTTGGTAATCTTCTGCCTCTCCTAACTACCTGTATTTACCATCTTCCAGGCCACTCACCAATGTGCTTAGTACTGCCCCTCTGTATTTTCTGCTATGACAACTCCTGCCTTTACACAAGAACGCATTATTAACTATATAGGCCTGTATCAAAACATGTTTTGTTATAGGGCAAGATATTAAATATTTTAGACCTTTTAGACCATATGGTCTCTGTTGTAACTACTCAATATGTCTTATACTGGGAGGAAAGCCACTGTAGACAATATGTAAGTTAATGTATATAGCTGTGTTCCATTAGAATTTTATTTACAAAAATAAGCAATTGGCCCATAGGTTGTATTTTGCCAACCCCTGAAGTACACAACACATTCAGCTTTCTACTTTATAATTCCTTGACTCCTGCAACTCCGCCTTCATAACTCCATTTTACTTACCCATAACTAGGGTCACACCCTTCTCATCCCTAAAAATTCTTCAACGCTGAAACTGGCCCTACTCGAACCACAAATTCTTCTTTCCAGCTTTCTCATACTCTTTCACTCTGCCTGATAATTGGTCCTTGGAAATTCACAGTTTCAATGCCACTTTTATTTTCTCCATGTCTATTAGAATGCTCTGACATCTTTTCCTTTACCTGAACTACCTTTTTATTAGAATCCTCAATTTCAGTGCTGCTTCTTGTCATTATACAGCATCTACCAGTCAAATGTCCAGAGGTAGATCAATTTCCCAAATTTACATGCTTTACCTTTACCCCCAGACTGAATGCTGAGATTTGTGTGTAGATTCTCCTGTTTGTGTACATTCAAGGTACCATAGTTATCTGGGTTCTAGTCTACATTTGGTCCTGAAAATTGCTTATTACTTTTTATTGACTTTGGTCATCCCTTCCTCTCACTTCCCCAAGTGACTGTTTCAAACCATTAATAAGGTAGTTAAGCTCCCAACTGAATTTCCTGTCTTTACACTTAGCATAAGATGTTGCCTTGTAGTTGAGGCTATCAGGCATATTATCTCCAATTTCATACATCTCCAACACACAAACTTGTAGACCCACTTTGGAATCATTCTTACTTTCTTGCCTCCAATTTCCAATGTATTTTGAGCAACTTCTAAGTAGCAGTCATGATACTAGGCTTCTGGAAGACAATGAGAAATAAAACAGACATAATCCTGTCTTTACAGAACCAGGAGTTTGATCTCTTCTAGGAACTTTATATATATATACATATATTTACTATATATATACACTGTATATATATTTACTATGTATATACACTGTATATATATTTACTATGTATATACACTGTATATATATTTACTATGTATATACACTGTATATATATTTACTATGTATATACAGTGTATATATATTTACTATGTATATACAGTGTATATATATTTACTATGTATATACAGTGTATATATATTTACTATGTATATACAGTGTATATATATTTACTATATATATACAGTGTATATATATTTACTATATATATACAGTGTATATATATTTACTATATATATACAGTGTATATATATTTACTATATATATACAGTGTATATATATTTACTATATATATACTATATATATTTACTATATATATACTATATATATTTACTATATATATACTATATATATTTACTATATATATACTATATATATATTTACTATATATATACTATATATATATTTACTATATATATACTATATATATATTTACTATATATATACTATATATATTTACTATATATACTATATATATATTTACTATATATATACTATATATATATTTACTATATATATACTATATATATATTTACTATATATATACTATATATATATTTACTATATATAGTATATATATATTTACTATATATAGTATATATATATTTACTATATATATTTACTATATATACACTATATATATTTACTATATATATACACTATATATTTACTATATATACACTATATATATGCACTATATATATGCACTATATATATTTACTATATATACACTATATATATTTACTATATATATGTTTACTATATATAGTTACTATATATATTTGCTATATATATATTTACTATATATATATATATCTCCTTCCTCTCTTCTAGATATTTACTTTTCTCTTCCTCTTTTTCCTAGATATTTTCCTTAAGCCTATAAGCATACTCAGCTCTCCTTTGTCTTAAAAAGTTAAAGAAACTTCTACTTACTTGTGTACCCTCTCACCAAGCATCCTATCAGTCTCCCCATTCATAATAGCAGTCACAGTTCTGTGTGCTTCATTGCACTGAGGTCACCATTGATCCTCTAATGTTAAATCCAAGAAACTTCTATCATCATCTCAGTGGCCTTCAGTTGCATTTGTCACTGTTGATCTTCCTTGAAACTGGTCTCTTCTTTTCTTGGGTAATGCACCATCTCTTTATAGGAAGGAAAATAACTTGTAAAACTGAAAAAAAAAAGCTAGTGCATTAAAAAAAAAAGAAGAAAAAAGAGAGTCCTTGCCAAATCAGTTGGGTGCCTTCAAAGGCCTAGTTATTTCCCAGCTTGTGGTATTTTGACTCTTAGAACCTGCCCAAGAATACCCAGAATTCTTAGCAAGGCATAAAAAGACTCTATGACTGATTCCTACCTCTCTAGCACTATCTCAAATTAACCTCATATTACTTTGAAAATTTTCCTTTTTTTTTTTTTTTGAGACGGAGTCTTGCTCTTTCACCTAGGCTGGAGGTCAGTGGCGTGATCTCGGCTCACTGCAACCTCCACCTCCCGGGTTCACGCCATTCTCCTGCCTCAGCCTCCTGAGTAGCTGGGACTACAGGTGCCCGCCACCACGCCCGGCTAATTTTTTGTATTTTTTGTAGAGACCGGGTTTCACCGTGTTAGCCAGGATGGTCTTGATCTCCTGACCTTGTGATCCGCCTGCCTCGGCCTCCCAAAGTGCTGGGATTACAGGCGTGAGCCACCACACCCGGCCTGAAAATTTTCGATTGTAAGACAAAATTCAACAAAAAGTGATGTAAATGATAAAGAAGATGCATAGGCTCAGGTCAATGAAGGTGTGGTCCAGCTTGCCTTTATTTGGGCTCCAACTGTGGGTCTCTGCAATTTTCATGACTTTGATCTCTGGGTGTGAGCTTCTTCCTCAGGCTGGTAGTAAGATAGCTGCAACAGTTCAGGCATCCCTTCCATATGGAAAATGTTCAGAGGAAGTCAGGATTGCTTATGAGAGAGCTCTCCTAAAAGGAAGGAGGTGTCTTTCTCCTAGCAGACTCCTGCAAGCTACTCCTTGCTACTTTTTGGCATGAGTTGACTTAGGCCTACTCTTCCTTGGACCAATCTCTGTGTTAAGAATAATGTAATAACTGGTCAGCTTGGGCTAATCAGAGTCCATTCCTGGAGCTGAAGTTACCCATGCAAGCACTAAGGTGAAGTGACAGCCTCAAAGTTACTTCAACAACTCTCCTCCACTTCATACTTCAGGAATAATGGGCTATTATTGGCTCTTTCATTTTTCCCTCTAATTCTTTTCATTCTGCCTTATACGTCTTAGGTACAATCTCCTTCTAGGAATCTTTTGAAGGCTGTTTGTACTCCTGTATTCTCAGCACTCCATGCACTCATATTCCTTGGTAATATTCTAATTCTAAAATAATTTTCTTCTCTATTTGCCTACCCCTGCAACTGTAAGCTCCTTAAAGGCAGACAGTTTCTTAGTTATCTGTGTCCACAGATTCTGGCACAGTGCTGTTTGGCATGGAGTACCTACTTAGTGAATGTATGCTGAGCTTGGTACCATTGAACTTTAACAGACTAACTCCTGGGAAGCCTTCTAAGTGTTCCATAGATCTTCCCAGGGACCGATGATACCCTTTCCAGGGTGTCTTTGTAGTGAAAACTATTTTCATCATAATATTAAGAAATCAGTTGTCTTTTTCACTGAATTGGTATTTACAATCATGGTGCAAAACAGTAGTGGGAAAAACTGTTGGTGTCTTAGCAGGAATTAATAAAACAACACCAAACTATACTAGCAGTCATTGTACTTTTCACCACTCTCACTGTTTTTTTTTAAAAAAATCCAGTTTCATTTAAGAATAACCCAAATAAAGCAGTAACAATTGCTTTATTGTAAATTGACCCTTGAGTACATGTCCCCTTAATATTCCAAGTGAAAAAATGGGGGGTACACACAGAAAGCACTTTTGCTGCAAGCTAAAGTGAGATTGTTTGAGTTGCAGGCTGAACTATTGACTTTTGTCTTGTAACACAATTTTTACTTGAAAGAACAACTGACAAGCTAACTATAATTATTCAGACTTAAGTATTTGGCTGAAATTTTTTTGAAAGTGAACTAAGTGATCTCGGAAAACAACTGACAGTGTGTGTTGCCAGTGATAAAATTCAAGCTTTCAAGAGAAAAATTAACATATTATGGAAACTTGTAAATGCCGTAGTGAGCTTGACAGCTTTCCAATACTTGAAGACTTTTCTGATGAAATCAGTAATGCTATTAATGGGTAAGGGTTTTTGAAATTGTGTAATGAAATGTACCAGCATTTGGAAGATCTGTGTAACTCCATGAACTAATATTTTCTAAGTGACCAATGCATGTTTCAAAACTGTGCATGTATAAAAAAAGTTTAAGTCTCAACATGGACAATGATTTTAATAAAGAGTGTACAAAATATTCAGTGTATGACTTCTGTTTCCACATTGCCAGTCACCTTTAAGAAATTAATGCTTGAGTTTTGGCGTTGTATTAAAGAATATCTATAATTATCTGAGGTGGCTATTAAAATATTACTTCCTTTTCTAACTTTATATCTGTGTGAAACAGGACTTTCTTCATCGATTTCATCCAAAATAACATGGTGTAGTGTATTTGCTAAAGAAGTGGAGATGAGTATCCATCTGTCTTCTATTAAGCCAGTATTTAAAAAATTTGCAAAAAAAGTTGGACACTGTTATTGTTCTCACTATTTTTCGTTTTGGAAAATATAGGTTTTTTTTTAATAAAATATATGGCTTATGTTAACGTGCAGTGGGTTTCTTATTACTGTAATGAAATGGATTAGTAAATATTTTAAAAATTTCTTAGTTCTGGCTTCAAATATGGTAAACATTGGTAGATATACCCCACATAAGCAAATGCTCTTTGTGATTCTCAATAATTTTTAGGAGTGTAAAGGATTGCAGAGGCCAAGATTTTTGGGAACTGCTGACCTAACTCCCATGGTACTTCAGCTGGGAACTGACCCTGATATTCCAGGGAGAATTAATTGTCTTGCATGTGAATGTAGCAGCACTTGGTTTATATCTCTATTACAACATTCCCACAGAATAACATACTAGTTTGTCTGCCTGTGAACTTGGTGCTGATGGATACCTGATATTCAGTGTTTAATAAATGAACAGACAGACTGACTGACTGACAGACTGACTGAGTGAATGAATAAGAGTTCCTGGTCTCCTCTTTCTGCCCCCAGGTCTGTTTTTGTTCCTGAACTGTTATGAGAGTCCCGTGGGTCCTATGGAGAACAGAGCTTTATACACACACAATAACCTCTTCTAATTAGATTTGCTGCCTTCAGCTTCCATTCCCTTCGGCCATATGGGAAATTTCTATGGGTCAGAAAGGAAGAGTGCTTGGTTGAGAATTTCAGAATTATGGAACTTAAAGAGATTTTCAGAGGTCCTTTCCTTTGCCACTATCTTGAGGGTTTTGGACATACAGTGAGCCTGGAAGGCACATTGTTATGGTTACTTAAAGGTCACAGGGGAGACCAATTGAGACACTCTGACATTTAAAGCAACTTTGGCATGTTTCCCAGGGGCCTTGGTATTAAAGGGTAGGAGATAGCTGTTGTTACAGAGCCACTTGGAAAAGTATGAGCTACTTTAAGACAGCACACCTAAATCCAAGATGTTTTTACCTTCATTTACCTCCAGAGGAACGGAGCTGAAAGTTGATTTTTCTGAGGTTGCAGGTTAAAGGAATCTGAGAGTTATCTGAGTTTCTCAAAATCTTAGAGATTTTGCTGGGCTAGGCAATCCTGGGGTCAGACACTAAGAAACTCAGAGACTTAAAGATTTAAGGCACCCTGAAAACTGCTAGGTCAATGCTTCCCAAACTTTTTCATGACAAGACATCCCTAAAAATGATGATTTTTCTCTATCTCCCTGGAGTAAATCATGTGTTTTCTTACGGTTGGAGGTGATGAGTTTTAGGGACTCGTGGCTTACGCCAGATCCCACCAGTTACCCCGAAGGCAGGGAGTGAATATCGCTGCACATTGAATCTATTTGCAGCAGACTGGGATGCTAGGGCATATCTATTGGGAAATCATTTTCTAGTCTAAAGCATCTGTGTGGGAGGGGGCTGCAATCTCATTGAACACTGTGTAGATTCCTTTTGTGTAGTAAGAAATCACTAATAACCTTCTCCAAAATTTTAAAGCTGTGGTTCCTCTAAATTAGACCAGATTACCTCTAAACCACTGGGGCTGTTATCTAGTATGTTAAACAAGCTCAGAGATAACTTAAAATCATTGAGTTCCACAGCTGGGCGCGGTGGCTCACGTCTGTAATCCCAGCACTTTGGGAGGCCGAGGCGGGCGGATCACGAGGTCAGGAGATCAAGACCATCCTGGCTAACACGGTGAAACCCCGTCTCTACTAAAAATACAAAAAACTAGCCGGGCGCGGTGGCTGGTGCCTGTAGTCCCAGCTACTCAGGAGGCTGAGGCAGGAGAATGGCGTGAACCCGGGAGGCGGAGTTTGCAGTGAGCCGAGATCGCGCCACTGCACTCCAGCCTGGGCGATAGAGCAAGACTTCGTCTCAGAAAAAAAAAAAAAAATCATTGAGTTCCACTTCCATCTCATCTCCGGACATGTTTTGGTAGTAGCCTTAGGGACTATTCCTATTTAGTCCAGTAACCTGGCAGGAAAAAAAAAAAAAAATCATGTTCCAGAATCTCTTATGACATCCGCACAAATTAGAGCATGTGAAAACATGTAATAGCCATTATTTCCACATGGATTTGATAAAGTTCTAGCTAACCCTAAAGGCAAAGAAAAGACATTTGTTTACCTCTGGAAACTTGTTCACTGTCAGTGTTGCCCAATAAATGGTAATTTATTATTTTTAAATAATATTAGGCTTATGTAAAAGTTGCATAAATAATGCAAATAATTCCCACCTACCTTTCACTTAGCTTCTCCTAATTGTCATTTTGCCAATTGTAGTACGATGATGAAAACTAAGAAATTAGCATCAGTATGAGAATATTTTTAGTCGATACTTGAGGTATCGTTTTAAAACTATAATATTTAAACATATATTAGAAAATATATGTATTAGAAAAATATAGGCATATGAAACCTATGATTTCATTCGTTTTGTCTCTAAAGTTCAGATTAAGCAAAAGTTTATTTAAAGTAAATTTTATTTAAAAAACATAAAAGTGACTTTCATTTCAAGTGGCATATTGACATGGCAAAATTAAGTTATGAAGATATTATTTGAATGACATTTCGGAATCTCTGTCAACATAAATGTGTGATTTAGGAATTTTAAGAACTTACCTCCTTTCCCTTACTACCTTGGTAGAGGCTCCTAGGACAATGGCTTCCCAAGATGGTCTTTACAACTTCAGGGTGCAACTTCTCAGTGATTTGCATTCTCCATCCACGATGGTTCAGCCCAGAATAAAGTCCCTGCGCGTGGCCATAGCAAATCTGACTTCCCTATAATTCTCACATTACAATGTAGATTGATGATTATGGTAGTGATGATGGAAGTTAATGTTCTTCCAAAGACTGGGCATTGACAACAACTTGGAAATGTTCGTACTAGAGGGAGATTTGAGAGGGAAATGTAAATTATCCAGTTAATGGGTTTTCTCCAACATAAATGCAAAAACTGCTTTCATCTTGAAGTCACCATGTAAATCACGCTGTCGCCTGGCAGTTTTATGTCCTCCCAGGTTCTGTGCAGAGATGATTGCTAAGAACTCCGGAGCAAGGTAGCTCTTTAGGGGTTGAGATGGCCATGAGGGCTGTGCAGATAGCTAGAAGGACTCCTGCTTAATCTGGAATAAATTTGCTGACCACATCTGCCTTATGAAGTTCAGTGTTTCCTCCTCACTCAGGACTCAAAGGCACTTAAAATAATTTGTGGCTCTTGAAACTCAGCACCCCTCCCCCCCTTTTTTTTTTTCCTCCTTGCTCCTTTCCTCTGGCTCAAAGAATCCTGATTTCCCATGCATGTTCTCATTGTTAGTGAATGAAGGTGGAATTCAGGTCACCACAATTTCATTGTCCTTATAGAAATCAGGAACTTGCTGGATTAAATAATGACTTCCAGATAGAGCAAAGTGTTTTTCGGTACAGGATATGCTTTTGGAAGTTTTTTTAAAGCAGAATCTTTCTTAGTGAAAGTAGACTCAGTCTACTGATTTTTAAGATCCTCTTCCTTTCCCTCATTTTTTTATGTAACATTTTGAATGTGAAGAGTAGCAGTGATGTATAAAGAACCATTTGATTGGAAGCTACTACTTGACAGTCTTCTGTATTTTTCTTGTTTATATTTGCCTGGCTTTCCAAACTACTCCACGTTGTCTGGGATTCTGAAGTACTTTTTCCAAGTCCTGGGGTGCTCTGGAATAATAGGATAAGTATTCTGATTTCTGAATGTCAAGCACATGAACTGTGGTTAACGTAATCCTCTATTTCTACATTGGATTTTGTTTATTAACACTTTATTTTTAGATTTTATTTCCTGAGTTTGCATATCATGTAACAACTGCTGGTACTACAGGCATAATTAAAAAAAAAAACAACAGCAATTTGACCACTGAGCCACATGCTGACCACCTTGCCTAGAATTTGTAAATTTGCTGACAATGTGTAATTATTATTTTTATTGCCTCAAATAACAATAAGTTCAGAAAAATATGACCAGAGGGAGCCATCTTCAGAGCATGTCTACATAATCATTAGAGCTGGGATTCATGGTATAGTGATACATGTAGTTCCCTGTAGTTTTTCTAATACTGCTAGAGACTGATACCACCCCCTGGATGCATGAAGGGCATCCAGTAAATTGGGCCATTTATTCATTCTAACTTGGCAGATGGGAGCTACTATACTTCATGTGGACTGTAATGTCTTGCTAACCACTGACACCAATACTAACAAAACTGTTGGGCTATTTCATCCAGTCAAGTAAGAAAGTATAGCACATAACTATGCTTTGGTTTTGCTCCAAGGTGACGTTTCCAAAATACTTATTGTTGGAGTTGAGTAGACCCAATGAATGTCACCTCTTTTCTCCACCTAGCTTCAGGACCAGCTAAGAGACAGAGATAAGAGCCAGGCAGTTGGAAATGAAAATATCCCTTTTATTACTGATCAAACTATGCTGGAAGTTGTGGCTTAGGTATGGTCAAGATGCTTGCTTAACATTCTTTTAAACTAAACTTATGTCTCCAAATATCAGGTTTCCATGGAAATAGAGCTGGCCCTACAAGTCCCCACAGAGTTTAGACAGCAGAGCAGAAAACACTTTATTTAGGCATGAAGATACCAAAAATACAGAGAGGAATGAAAAGGGCTGAGTGCTGCCAGATCAGTTTTTTTTCCCCCATATTCATCAATCAGATCTGTTTCTCTTCTTTTAACAATGTGTACAAGGGTAGAGAGACCAGCATGCTACCTTACTGGAGACTTATTATATATGGAAGCATGAATCCTGGAGAAGAGAAGTTCCCCAAGCCCCCATCATTCATTGCACGCCAGGTCCTGAGCTAAGTACTTTTCCTCTATTAGCTCAGGTACTACAACAATCCTAGGAAGTAAGTGCTCTTTGTTTTTTTTGTTTGTTTGTTTGTTTTTGAGATGGAATTTTGCTCTTTTTGCCCAGGCTGGAGTGCAATGGCACGACCTCAGTTCACTGCAACCTCCGCCTTCCAGGTTCAAGCGATTCTCCTGCCTCAGCCTCCCGAGTAGCTGGGATTACGGGTGCCTGCCACCACGTCCGGCTAATTTTTTGTATTTTTAGTAGAGATGGGGTTTTACCATGTGGGCCAGGATGGTCTCGATATCTGGACCTTGTGATCTGCCCGCCTTGGCCTCCCAAAGTCCTGGGATTACAGGCGTGAGCCACTGAGCCCAGCCAGTAAGTGCTGTTTTATTAATGTAGAAACTAAGACTTCATAAGGTAAATAGTTTCCCCAAGATAACACAGCTAAGAAAGTGAGAGAAAAAAATACATCCTTCAGTCTACCTGACCCCAAAGCCTCTGCTCTTAACTAGAGGACTATGAGGTCTCAGAAGTCTCAGCTCTAATAGCACTTCTCACCTTAACATGCACTCTGGTACCTTATCTCTCTATACCTTGTTTTTACTGTGTCCAATGGGGAGAATAATCCTGGCTTAGATGAGAGAACCCTTATAGAGAATAGATAGTAAGGAATGATTGCAAATTACAGTTAGCTATACACACATGGACACCCAATGAATCTACTTATAGGTCAAGGATAAGCACTTATAATGTGGATAACAGAATGTACCCAGGCTTTTTTTCAAAATTTTCTTTATCTGTGAGCTGATACATGCGGGATAAAGGAAGTTAGCCTTGTTTCCCATAAAGTGGTAAATTGGGTCACATTATACTTAGAAGATTATTTTATTCACTTATCCATCCATAAAACACTTATCAGGGGTCCATTCTGTTACAGGAGGCTCAGGGCTAAATTAGGAGGATGCTTTGATGGGATAAATAATGCTCATATAATCCAGGACTATGAGGTCCTGTACATACCCATAAAAAGAAAGATAGTTAAAAGATTATAATGTCTTTTCAACCATGGTGGCTTCTTGGCAGAGCTATTTTCGGCTATTATAACTTCCTCTTCTCAAAAATACATTCACTGCATTTGACTTCCTGTAGCATCGCTTTGATGATAGAATTCATTCATTCATTCAGTTACATGCTTGAATATGGCTCTGAAGCCATATGTTTATTTTTTAAGATTTTCTCAGATTGGGGCCAACTGGACATTTTTGAGTTCAAAATGGTGGTGTTTGGGGGATGCTGTCTCTCATTTGGTGATTAGTGAGCTTTGGCCTATTTGCAAATAGATTTTCTTCTTTTTATGCCAAATGCAAACATCTATCAGCTATATACAGAAAAAATTTCTTACAGTGATTGATTTTGTAGATGATAAAAATACCCTAATAAAGAAAGCAGTGAAAGTGCCTTGGATATCTAGATGGGACAAGCCAGAGATCTATGACCCATCCGGTTGGGAATGTTTTCTCTGTGGGGCCCCTGGAAGAAAAGCAAGAAAGATTAGTGAAGGTTTTCCTCACCTTGTCTTACCCTCTTGATGCTCTCTGTAGACAAAGTCACTGGAGTTATGAACACTTTGAGTCTTCCACTTTAAAATTAGAATAATACTTACTATCAGATAAATACTAAAAATCCACTAGGTTTTGCCCTTATTTCTAATAGATTGCCTGATTTTCAAAGTTCTCAAGCATTTCCACAATGACTGTGCTCTAACAAGGCTGCCTTCATCACTGCATCCAAGGTACCTTCCTTGATTTAAATTATATGCTTCTGTTCAGGACTTATATGCATTGGCCGTAATTTGGTTTACAACATGTCTTTCCTTATGAAATGCTCTTTTCTCCTTCGTTGCCCCTTGAAATAGTAGATTTTCTGCAAAGACCAGAATGAGTCCCTCTCTTTAATAAGTACTTTTCACATTTGCCCTATCTCACATAGATATCCCTTATATCAAAAGTCCCACAGTTTTTGTTATCTAACTTACATTATTTCATATTACTTAATTGCTCACTTTGCATTTATTTTTCCTCCCAGATAGAGGTAAGCTCATGTATAAGAGGTACCATCTTGTGTGTATCTTTTTTTTAGCACCCTTGTCTTCCTTAGATCCCCAATGCTATGCTCATCTAAAAGTCTCAATGAATAGTTACAGAATAAATGCATGAGTTCTCATCTGTTGAGATTCACTAAATCCTGAGCTCTGTTGTTAACTCACACCAGGAAAGGTTTTTCAATGGACTCTCTTTTCCTTCCTCAATTTTCTGCATGGCGGAGTGGAAAGAGCATGGGCTTTGGTGTCAGAGAATCCACCACTTATTTTAAATGACCACAGCCAAGTTTTATTCAAAGCTCCTGAACATTGGTTGTCTCATCTGTATGGGAGAGATAGTACTTTTCTCACAAGAAAGCAGGAAATCATATTTTAGGGAAGCTGGCACAGTTTTCGGCACCAATAAGATCCACCCAGGCTGCACCCTGTCCTGTGCCTTCACTCAGGTAGCACCCAAGCACTCTTTCCTTTTCTGTTCAGTGATATCCTGATTAATGAAAGCTTTCTAAGGAAGCTCAGCTTGGTGCAAACAAACTCACAAAACCTCTTCTAAATCTTGTGAAGCAGAGCTGTCCGGGTACATTAACATGGCAAAACCACCTCAGGACACAGCTATTTGTCCCAGTCCAGTGGAAGGTGGAGCCATGTTGGCTCAGCAAAATGACCAAGTGTTCTAAATATATCTGGGTCAGCAGCCTCTCCTTTCTGTGCTTTCCCTTTTCCTTCCACTCCTCGGCAACCAGAGATTCCTCAATGGCTTCCCCTCCACCCTACCACAAAAACGGAAGTATCCGATGTAATTAATGCTCTTTGATTAACTGATTGTAGTTGAATGTGAATGAGTTTCAGCTAGTGTATTATCCCAACCAGCAGTTATATTGTAGGCCTTTTATGTCTATGGTCCCGTGATAAGAGATCTCTAGCATCAGCAAGCAGAGAGATTTTCTGGGGCAGGAAAATTCTACAGTCCCAATCTGCTGGCTGTAAGGTTGACCTTGAATAGAAACCAAATTTAGCCTTTTAAGGTGATAGGATATGTTGGCTCAAAAGTGGCATCTTTCTTTCTCCCTGATGGTTGGGTTCCCTTTTCCCCTAGGGAGAGTTGATCTGAGCACCAGGTCTGGAGCTTGTTTTGGTTATTGGCAAGGGGGTGGGTGGAAAAGTCAGTACCCTATTATAATCCTCTTCCAGCCTCTAGAGGGCCGTATTTCCTGCCCTTGGTACCCTGGATGGCACCTTCTCCCTCCTTTAAGTGCTGATATTTTAACCTCATTCTGAACCCTATTCTCATCATTTTCTATTCTAAGACCCATAAATGCATGTTTTATGTTTTCCAATACACTGGATGCTATTTTAGTTAGCATTTTATTAATGGACTTTCCATATTATAAAAATCACCATAAATCACAACAGGCAGAGTGGCATGGTAGAGTTTTAGGCTAAGAGGCAGGAGACCCAGGTTCAGTTTGGCTGGACAGCTATCATTGGCCCTCAGTATTTTCCAGGCCTAGCTTGGGTGCTGGGCATCCAAAAAGAGTTAATGCCAAGGCTGAGCCTTCACAGACCTTGACAGTTTGTGAATTAGCTCCACCTCTAGGTAACTGTGACCTTGAACAAGTGCGTTTACCTCTCTGGATTATGTGTATAATTACAGCATTGGAGTAGGTGAATCTAATGCTCATTCTAGCTGCAGATTTTATGAATCTATGTTCAGCAGACCTGCCTCTGGGAATTAATACTTCAAAGTAATATTTTCCTATTGTAATAACCCTTCTTGTCTGATATCCTTGAACTCTTTTCTTTGTCTCTTGCATTATTTTCATCTTAGTTAATAATGTCTATGGCTGAGAAAAGCCTGTGATGAGGACCTATTCTCTTCAAGAAGAGATGTTGGCTGGAATTAGACATGGCCTGTTCCAATTATGTTTTCCTTTTTGAGTCATGTGTCTGTCTTGATCCTTTCTCCTGTCTTCACCAGCCCTTTCCTTGCATGTGTTATTAATACCTCTCTGTTTATTTCATTATATAATTGTTCAGCATTTGTGTTGTGACTATTTAGAACCACATCCCCATAAACTTCTTCCTTATACTTTCCTGCTTGTTCATACCAGTGTTTTCTAACCCAACAGTTCTCTGCCAGGGATGATTTTACCACCCCCTCCCATTTGCAATGGCTGGAGACATTTGGTGCTACAGGCATCCAGTGGGTAGAGGCCAAAGATTCGGCCAAACATCCTGCAATGTGTAGGGCAGCCCACACAACAAAGGATTATCAGGTTCAAAATGTCAATAATGCTGAGGTTGGGAAACCCTTGGAAAATTATTTTTAATTTCTTTAAAGCAGAAACCAAGTATAATATGTCTATTTCCATGTGAATAGAATGCAGCACAGGGCTGCACAACAGGAAAGAAAAGACATTGCTTATTATTGTTTGACTAACTAGCCCCTGGGTAGGTGAACAGAGTTACCATGGCTCAGTGATAGAATTTAGCCATGTGCCATCTTATAAGAGCACAGCCAGGAAGATGGATAGAAAGGTCTGACTAAAACCACAGCCAGGCACAGTGGCTGACGCCTGTAATCCCAGCACTTTGGGAAGCCGAGGCAGGGGGATCACCTGAGGTCAGGAATTCAAGACCAGCATGGCCAACATGGTGAAACCCTGTCTCTACTAAAAATGCAAAAATTAACTGGGCGGTTGTGGGGTGCACCTGTACTCCCAGCTACTCAGAAGACTGAGACAGGAGAATCACTTGAGCCTGGGAGGTGGAAGTTGCGGTGAGCTGAGATGGCACCACTGCACACCAGTCTAGGTGACAGAGAGAGACCCTGTCTCAAAAAAAAAAAAAAAAGGAAGAAAAATAAAAAAACAAAAAACACAGTTACGATATTTCACATGATACTTTGAAACATGTAGAGACTATTCTATTGGGATATTTAGTCAAATGCAGTAAGACTGAAGACCCTAAGGCAATCCAGCTGGGATATGTTCACAAGAGGACACTCCACAGGAGAGTAGCCACAAAGTCTGTCACAGTGACTTGTGAGGCATAGGGGTGCCTACTGTGAGTGAAAACAAAGAGCAAATTATTCAGTAGGATGGGTTTTCATTTGGTGGCAAATTTTAGCACAGTGTCAAGCTCTCTTAATGAGCAGTGGTACTACTTTCTTCAGGAAGAGAGGTCATCTAGTTTGACATTTGTTTTGCTTCATTTTATAATTCTCAAGTTAGAGCTGGTGCTTCTCTATAAACCTGTGATAAAATATTCTAGAACAATGCTTGTAAAATTTTAATGTGCATATGAATCACCTGAGGATATTGTTCAAATGCAGAGTCTCTTTAGTACTTTTGGGGTGGGGACCAAGAAGCCACATTTCTAACAAGCTCCATGCTACTGGGTCATGAGAACACTTTGAGTGGCAAAGTTTTTAAATATTTAAGCTGGAAAGTGTTTTAAAGGTCATTTAGTCCAAGCCTGTGTATCACAAATGATGAAACTGAGGCCTGGAGACTCTAGAGCAGTCATGGACAGAGCATGGTGAACAGACATCCAAGCCCAGCCCTGTCCCCTTGCCCTGCTTTCCCCTCTTCCCGTACCCCCCAGCTTTTCACTTTGCTGCACAATTTTTGGCAAGCCACTTCCTGTTGCTGGGCCTTGGCTTTCTGTTTTTAAAAATGAGGGGGCTGTAGTCCCTGTGAATTCTGCTGTAGCTGGGGCTGTCGTTTCCTCCATGCCTCTGTCATTTGGATGCCCATGGTCACGTTGCTTGTGGCTCTTTTCCTGCTGCCTCCAGGGAGTGAATCTGGAGAATGCAGGAAGCAGGGCTCGGTGGGCAGAAGATTGCTGGGGACTGTTGGTGGGGTATTGGCTGGATTAGCAGGTACTGTCTTCATATGGTGAGTGTACTAGGATCTAGTATCAAATATACTCAACATATGAATTAACTAGGATCTAACCTTGGTCACAAATGAATTCTAGCACCCATCGAGCTGGTTCAGGGCCACTACTGATGTGATGAAATGCACAGAGCTTAATGGGAATTGACATTTCTTGCTGCTGAGAAATGAGGCAACAAAGCAAAAGCAACGTCCCATGGCAGTAAGCACATCCACCTGCCCCTCTGCATGTAGAAAAACTTCTCTTAGAATCCTAGGGATGGCATTTCTATTAATATTGCATTGAAGGTCATTGAGGACAGGAGAAGGAAGGAGAGAGAGGAGACCTGTGCCTTCATTCACTTGAACCTCTTCATTATTCATCTGCTATAATGTCTTTCCTGGCATCCTGTTCTTTTTCAGGTCATTGTTATAACTAACCAAAATGGGTAGCTTTGGACATCCCTCTGGGAATTCCTAAGGCATTTCTCAAAACTTATCTGAAAATAATGATTATACCTCTTCTCACAGGATGATCATTATTGCTGAAGTTTCCTCTCCCTCCTGTATACATTTTTACCACTTCCTCTTTGCATTCTGTAGAAGCACACAGTGAAGCCATTTTTAAAACTTGGAGGAAAAATCGATATTTTAAGCAATAAAGATGCATTGTTTTTCACAGGAGTTTTTCTTTGAGGATTTTTGCAGACATCAGACAATGAATCTCCTTTGTATCTCTTTAAAGCATTAAGGAGGATAGCCCCTTTCATTCCCCACTGAATAATAGTAAGACTGAAGCATAGCGATGTGGTCTTTGCCTAAGTCCACTCCAGTGGGTTGGTGGGGAACAGACCAACATCAAGAATAAAAATCCAGACACCTTGTGATTCTCCACTCCAGTGAGATTGCTCCCAGTAGTCCATTAGGCAGGACTCCAGGGGTGGAAGATCAGTGTTCTCTAACAAGATCAGAACTGTAAGAGCTGATTAGACCCGTGCAATGGAGCAGGAGTAGATAATGAGTGGTGGAGAGGTCAGTTAGGTACTACTGCTTTCGGGAGCCTGCATTTCAGAAGCAAAAAGGCACTCAGTGAAATGAAAATGTAACTCATTTAGTGTTGATGCAATGACATTCCTGTATTTGCAATCCATTACTAATCTGTGGATCTCAGTGCTCCTTGGAAGCATGGGGGCTAGCTATGTACATGGAATGATGAATTTTGTAGATGTTAGCACAATGGATTGGGATTTGTGGATCCAGAGATCTGTGCCCTCATTTCTGCTGCTGTTATTTGCAATCGATAAATGCTTTCAACACACATTCCCTGGGTGACTACTGTAGGCATAACACAGTTCTAGTTCCAGATAATTTTGTTTCCTTAGCATCTGATACATAGTAAATATTCAAGATAAGTTACTGGAATAAATAAATGTCTGAATGAATTAATGTATGTG
Source organism: Homo sapiens (assembly GCF_000001405.40). NCBI lineage: Eukaryota > Metazoa > Chordata > Mammalia > Primates > Hominidae > Homo > Homo sapiens. The sequence continues at coordinate 177,133,875 of NC_000001.11, read as the reverse complement.
CTTAGGCAAATGTGACCTGTTCCTTCCCTCATATAGCATGCGATCTAGAGCATAAGCATACAATCTATAGAAAATTAGTTATCTTCTTGAGTTTCATTTTCCCCACTTCAAAAATAAAAATAAACTAGACCTTTACAGGGCTAAACTGTGAACTTGTTTATTCCCACCCTTTTGGATGAGTGGAGATGCTTACCTGCAAATTATTGCTAGATGCATAATAGAAGGTCTTTACATTAGCAGGACTATAGGTAAAATAATGGCCTTTGCTCTGATGATATCAGTGTGCAAGTATTATTAATGACAAGATATAACCCCATTCCTGCCCCATCATGATGCTTTTACCATCTTGGTCTATCACCACCTAAAGAAAAGAGAAAGGCTTGATGAGTTTGGGATTATGGGGCATTCATGCTTACATGGCACACGGACTTTGAGCCATGTGTTTTTGATACAGAGGAGAATTCTTTCAGTCTATTTAAAAAACCTAATATTTTTAAGGTGACAAGATGTTGTGGAAAGAGAAGAAGAGCTTGGGCTTTGCATCTAGACAGACCCTGTTTTGAATTCAGTCTGTGAGTGACTGCTATCCAGTTACTCAACTACTCTGATCCTCGATTTTCTTTTGACCTCTGAGAAGTTTATAAATGGCAAAGTGCCTTGCACACAATTATTGCCTAATAGTTCTTCCAGTTCTAATTATTATTTAGGTCAATGCTTAGAGGCATCTTTACAGATATCTTAGTTAGATAACTAAGGTGATACATGTGATAAAAGCAGGATTCAGCTGGACAGGCACAGATATTATGTCGAAATATTAGAGCTACTTTAAAGGCTATCTTTAAAATTATAGTGTATGAATCATTGTGATTTATGAACTAACCAAAAAGAATTCTTTTTCTGGAGAATCTGACCCATGCTGGATCACAAGGAGAGGGAAACCACCAATATTGGAACATCTCCCTCATGTTTTTACCCCCTTCTCACTCTGAGTATGAGTATCCCTTAACACATCATTTTACTTGGGAAATGCATAAGCAAATGTGTGTGATTTCAGGTCTTCAGTGAACAGCTTTACTGGCATCATAGCAGTTTAGACCTGCTAAACACAGGCAGTTTGCTAAGCAAGTGCTAGAAGGTATACCAAGGCAGGATACGAGGTGGCTTGCAGAGTGGAATTTTATTAGCTCTGTTTTTTCTGTCAGGGCCTTTGGAGTTCAGTCCCAGGTAGATCCTAGCCATTACCCAGTTGGTATTCAAAACTTGGAGGGATTCTAGATTATAGATTACAGCTTCCAGACTTGGGATGTTCCATTGACATGATTATCTAATGCAGAAAGGAGACCCTGCTGCTGGTATATCTGCACCTTCCTCCTGATGAGTGGGCTTAGGAGATATTGGGTTCAGGAAAGGGCATGCAAAAATTCAGCTGCAGAATCACAAAGTTACCTGAATGAAGCCACAGGATGAGAAAAGCAGACTGCCATCATTCCTCTATGATGACTTCATTTGGTACCTACTCATCTCTACTGGTGACGAAGTCCAAATTGAAGATAGTAACTGGTAACCTAAAAGGCAGACGTGAATCTTCTTAGCCAAGATAAGAATCTTGTGTCCTACTCAGGAGAAAGGAATTGATTAGATTGTTATTTGTCTTTGTTCACATGTTTTTAGAAATGCAATACTTTCCTCACCTCCTTCAATTATAAAGGTAATATATGTTCACAGTATTGGTTTTAGAAATGATAGGAAAGAATAAAGAAGGGGAAAATCACTAATAACCTTACCAACCAGAGGGAACCTGCTATGGTTTGGATGTTTGTCCCTTCCAAACCTCATGCTGAAATTTGATCCTGAATGTGGCAATGTTGGGAGGTGGGACCTGGTAGGAGGTGTTTGGGTCTTGGGGACAGATCCCTTATACATTTCCTCCAGGGTGAGTGAGTTCTCACCTTATTAGTTCCCACAGAAGCTGATTGTTAAAAAGAGCCTCGTGCTTCCCCATCATCACCCTGGCTTCCTCTCTCACCGATAGCTCTCCTTCTGCTGGTTTCTGCTGTGAGACAAAGCAGCCTGAGGCTCTCACCAGATGCAGATGTCCGGTCCTGAACTTTCCATCCACCAGAACCATGAGCCAAATACGTCTCTTTTCTTTATAAACTACCTGCTCTCAGGTATTCTGTTATACAACACTAAACAGACTGACAGAACCCTTCTGACACGTAGGTATGTTTTCCTCTTTTAAAGCCTAATTTTTACCTATTGTCTGTGTATTTTAAAAATCTTGGTTTTTCATTTAAAAATTTAATATACACAAATTTCCATCCTATAAAAATCTAAAAAAAAAATGTAATTTTATGAATTCTGGGAAGGCAGCAGATGGGTTTACTATTAAATTCTCAGTTCCTATCAGTTTGTGACACAACATAATCTCTCAATATATAGTTGTTGAATAAAATAAACAATGATATTCTAGCATATGGATGTTAAGTATTCTATTGGATAATACTGAAATTTCACTTTTTTTTTGCAATTATACCTAATGCTGCAGTGAACATCTATGGTATAACAGAGTTCTTTTTGTATTTCTGATTATTTTCTTGGGATAGATTCCCAGAAGTACAATTACACACTCTGTCAAAAGGGTATGAGCATTTTAAAGTTCTTGGAACATATTACCAAATGGCTTTCCAGAAGGGTTGTATTAATTTATATTTCCACCAGAAGTGGATGAGAGGCACATTCACTGTAGCCCAGGCAGACAGGGAGTAAATACAGCAGTAAGGACCACTTGGGCAGCTCCATCCATCTGGGAGGATAGACAAGAGCAGCTTCTGGTGACTTGAGGGGAAGGTGCTTTTTAATAGGATTTGAAGAGTGAAATTTGTCATGTCCTTTAATTAAAAAATCCAATAAGTGCAAACTTGGTCTAAGGATAGAAAAAATAACATTTTAGGAAAACTGAAATATAAAGCTTTCTCCTTCTCAAGGGACCTAACAACCAGCCTCTGCAAACCTCAGAGAGAATGCTGCATGCCAGGAGCTAATGGTAACCTTGTCTGCCTCCACCACTTAGTGTCAAACACTTTAACGTGGACCAGGCTCATGCCAAAGTCTCTAGGTGATACTAATTCCTGATTTAATTACCCTTGACAGTGTGCGATGGGCCTTAACAAGCTGGAGTCCCTGATGAACTGCAACTTGGGGGTTTAGAGCATTACTTGAAGGGTGTGGCCCTTACCCAGGCTAACTCTGGTGGGTGCAGAAAACCAGATTACAGCTCAGGGATTCAATGAAAATGACAGCGCACCATCCAGTGACCTGCAATGTGACACTTTTAAGTGGGGGAGGTGAAGCACGGTATTTTTCTGGACCTAAATCATTAGAAAAGAAGCACTCCAGGAGCGATTTTAAGAGTATCAACATTAGGTAGGTGCCATGCCACCTCTCATACCATAGAGTCATCATCCTAGACTGTTTTACTTTGTTGTTGTTCATTTCAAGCCTCCTGTTGAAATACGATAGGTCTGCGGCGGGAGGGTACACTTGCTCACTACTCTGGGAGGATATCCTAACCTCATAACCAGGGTCACACGGACCACCCTGCCATGCACTGCCAAAGCCTAGTTTTATCTCTGGCCTTCTTTGTTGACTGAGACAAGGTGGCTGTTTTGTAAAAGGAATTTAAACAGGAAGAAATAATAGTAAAAGAAAATGTCAATTATATTTGCAAAGGTAGATGAGTTTACAAAGTAAGGTTTAGCCATGAAAGGGATTGTTCACTCATAAGCTCTGTGACTTGGGGCAAGTTAGTTAACTTTTCTGAGCCTCAGCTTTCTAATCTGTGAAATGCAGGTAATAATACTCACATTGAAGTGTTCTTTTTTAAATTCTTTTTTCTTTTTTATTTTTTTGAGATGGAGTCTCGCTGTTGCCCAGGCTGGAGCGCAGTGTCAAGATCTTGGCTCACCACAACCTCCACCTCCTGGGTTCAAGTGATTCTCCTGCCTCAGCCTTCTGAGTAGCTGGGACTACAGGTGCGTGCCACCATGTCCAGCTAGTTTTTGTATTTTAAGCAGAGACGGGGTTTCACCGTGTTAGCCAGGATGGTCTCGATCTTCTGACCTCATGATCTGCCCGCCTCGGCCTCCCAAAGTGCTGGGATTACAGGCGTGAGCCACCACTTCCAGCGAAGGGTTCTTGTTAACATTAGAAGATGGAATGCAAGGAAGAGAATATAGCATGACTTTTAGCACGTCACTGGGTCTCAAGAATGTTAAGTGCATTTTTCTCTTTTTTTAAGTGGTTATTATTTTCCCCATTCCTTTCTTTCTGTTCAACTCTCTTTCTCAGGTAGAAGCTAAACAAAGATATTCAGCCTCTCAGGCTGAAGAAGATTTGAGTTGACAGTGCTTCTAGATCTGGCGGTGGCATTGATCCCTCCCAGCCTCCTGCTTCCTTGCTTGGTGGGTTCCTTGCGACCTACAAGCTGCCTATTTCTTCACATTTCACCTCCCCAAGCCTTTCCTCTGTCCTTACACTTATTTGTAGTTTGATTTTGAAACTATAATGATCTCTTCCATTCATGAGTGGTCCCCAGTTTCTCACCTGGAATTCATGCCAACTTGTTCTATGAACGCAGTGATTATATAGCCCAGGAACTGACACTCTTATCCCTTACATATGCCTACTGGGAAATTTTTACACTGCTTGGAGTGTATTCGTCTGTTGTTTTCCCAATAAGATGAATTCCACTATATGGTGAAATGTGGTCTGGTTTCTTTCATCTATCAGTCTGGTTTATCATCTTCATCTATTGGTCTGGTTTAGAATACTGACCTGGTCTTCTTAAAATAATCCTGATGGTAACACCATCCTTTCTTGGAGCTCGTTGGCACCTTTGACAACCACAGGCTACTTCCCTCTTTGTTCTTACATTCATACTTCTTTTTTGACTGTTTATCATATTCCTATGTCATGGATGATAAGAAATTTCAATGCTCATGTCATATACAGAGTGGAGATAAGTGATTGCTATCTCCTCAGGCCAGTGGCTGAGCCAGGCTTTGCTGGGTCAGGTTGCTAATTCTACCGACTTCTCCAAATTCTTTTCAATGCATTCTATAAAATTAAACAACTCTTTCCCTCAGTTGCCCCATAGGAGATTAGTCTTTTAGATTCTTGTCTAATACCCAAAGACCATAAACACACTTTTGAAATCACAGAAAAAAGGGAAGAGTGATTTTCTCACAGATGTTTCTTCTAGATTTTGATTTGGGAGTCACTTAGAGATCTCATATTTGGTGCATACACATGAACAGACATGCACCAATTTCAAAAATAGCAGTAGTACTGTTAGTTCTCCAAATGAAGGGTAAGAATATTTTTAAAATTGTGAGCTTGTTCAAAAGTAACTCATTTGACTTTTGAAAGAAATATATGGAGAATTTGAGGGTAACAATTTTAACTCTAATAATGTTTTGACTTTTAGAATTTTGATTCAATTAAGCAAACATTAAATGCAATTTGGGTCTTTGAACTCACCATAAAAAGTCTAATACTAGGCGTAGAGTCTGTCTGATGCATAATAAGAAAATTTGGGGTGAGGATAGCCTATGAAGCTAAAAAATAATCTTCAGAAAGGCTTGTGAGAAAAAGAAATGGATACTCTTTTGTTTTCTTTTTTTATACAGTGCTTCTAAGTTATGACTCCTTTTCAAAATTATCTTGTTTTCCCTAATTCATCTAAAGACAGAAAATTATGTGAATAACCTTTAAATTCCTATACAGGGTTGTAATTAAGAAAAGATGAAGCCCCCCAAACCACTTCTGCTAGTTAATGGAAACTTACATTTATATTATTATTATTACTGTTTTATTTTATTAGAACCTGATGATTGCTTCACTAGGGCATTGTAAGTTATTATTTGTAAAGAAATTGTATCTCTCTGGAATAAAGGTCATTTTCTGTTGCTGCATAAGTTGACATGAAAAATTACATCTACAGCAAACATTTACGTTTTGCATCATATGCGTACAGGACGCTGTTGACCTGACAAACTGTTTAAATAAATCATCAAAATGCGATGCCATCCATCCAACAGTTTAGAAAGAGTTTGAAAGTAAAATTGTAACACTGTGGGCCAAATATGTCAGATGGCTCCTGAATGAGAACCCTGAGTCACTGGCTGCCCTGCACAAGTATCGGCAATACCCAGGGATCTTCAGAGGGGACCTCTGGGCCCTCAGGTCACCTTCCATTGAAGGACAGAGGTGAAGCACTAACCAAGAAAGTACCACTGAATGGGCACAAACCATAGCCAGAGTGGAAAGATAGCATGGTGGTTAGAGCCTTGGGCTTCAGACCCCAATGGACGTGGTGGGTGAGGTGTATGGTAGCTGCTCAGTTATGGAGAAGGCATGGGCATGGGTGGAATAGTGGAAAGTATTGTGACATGGGTGAAAAACTGGTGTAGATGCCAAAGAAGAGAATAAATGAGTGCTTCTCGGAATAAAAAGCATTAACCGTGGGGTCTTCTAGAAACCACTACTTCAAATTTTTAATTTAACATTTTAATATTTTTATAGAAGAGAGAGGTCATAATGAAATTTCTTTAGTGTGCAATCGACACTAAAGTCTTCCACATACAGGAATGTAAGCCAATGGAAATAAATTTCAGAACTATCAGAGAAGCTTAAATGAGAGAATTGAAGAATAATTTCTTTTTTTAAAAAAAAATAAAACTTCATTTTTTGCAGCCCATGTGAGTGTGACCTACCTGCATAAGATTTGTCTGACTGTTCCAATGATTGCTCACCCTCTAAAAGCCTTTTATGCTTATTGTTTATGCTGTCTACTTGGCATGGGGGCATATGTTAGCTTCAAAATGTTATTTATCTTTTTCCATATACATCTTGACTGCTCAGTAACATTGTATTTTTCCTTCTGGTATCACCAGAATCTACCACAGAGCCCAGAAAGCACTGGATCATCAATGAACCTTTGGAGTATTCTTGATCATTACCTTGGCCCAGGTTCCCTAGAAAACAGGGCTTGAGGCATGCACTAAATTATGTTGCTTTTAATAGCAAGGCAAGGACCACAAAAATGAAGAGAATGAGCAGTGAGCAAGGAAATAATGAGAAGTGATGCATGATGACACGTTATCATAATGGCCTTTGCTTCAGGATGGCAGCAAGAAGACTTAGCAAGTCACTTAGTATGCACATTTGCTTTGCCAAATGGGAAATCTTTGGACAGAGGTATCCCACTCTTTGGGGCCGTCCATGGAAAAGAGGAAGGAGCAACTGTTTATCCACTTGGCCCCTTCCTTTTTCCTGTTTTCCATTCGTCCTTTATTAACTCTCCTGTGCTACTGGGTTGCATCACCTGGCTCCTGCAGTGGCCACTCAGCAAGCCAGATCTCAGACCCTAGAGTATCGCATTTCATTTGATCTGGAAGTTGCAAGAGATGCTAAGACACAAGGGGTACAGCTTGTTAGCCTGGTGTATGTCTCTAGCCAAGGGAAGGAGGATCTGTCACTCTCAGTCAAGTAGCTATTCCTAAGCAGCAAAGCCATGCTGGCTCAGGTCAACTTCATCAGTTACTAAGGGCAGCTAAAATGGAGCAAGCAGCTGAGGGTCTCAGAGGTGGGAAGCCCAAGGCAATCAGATGATGGTCCTAAGATATATCTGATAGGATAATGATGATGATGGTGATGATAAAATAAAAGCACTGACAGCAAGGAATGAGCCAAGAAAGCACCTGAGGAAGCAAGCAAGAATAACCAAATAGGTGGAAGACATTTTTAATGTAAGGACAGATTAAACACTCTTCAGTTTAGATAGGTGGGGGCCAAGAGAAGTCCTAATTAAATGGATATAGATTTGTTCATAACATCTTGGAATATTAGAAATAAAGGGCATCCTTTGAAGCTTGAAGGAGAGTTAATTTGGGAGAAATGAAAGAGAGTATTATTATTACTTAATATAGTGGGTGGTAAACACATAGAATATATTATCCTTTGAAGAGAGGTTGTCAGAAAATACAAATTGGTTGAAGAATAATCGAGGTAAGTTCATATTTTATGGAGCCATAATCGGCAACTATGAGGAAATTAAGGGTGTTTAGGGTACTAGTGCTAACTTTTTGAGATTGAGGTCCCAAAATACAGTAATGTCCTTCGTGTAATATACTTGGTGTCATTTTCAATGACTGAATCCTGGTCTGAATGGATCATTGGTCTGAGCCAATACAGTGTTTTATATACCTATTTTTATCATTAATATCCATAGTAATTTCAGGGACTTTTCCCCACAAGGGAGGTGTGAGGGGTTGTGAAGGATGCATCAGAATTTTTGCCTCTACATCTAGGTAAGCAACCTACATTCTTATAAAGGAATGGTGTTCACTTTAAAGACTACTTGGCCTTTGTCAATACTTCATCTATTAGCATTTAATTCTCCTCTACAAACCAGTGAGGGATTAAATGGGCAATCAATCCACTTAATCTTTGCATAGTCATTTGAAACACAAATATAATATACATTAATTTCATTATACTCATTCTGAACTCTAGCTTTTTGCCTAAATTAATCTCTATACTTGGATTGCCTTCTCTCTCTGTTTATCCAATCCATGCACCAAAAGACTCAGGCAAATTCCCATTTCTTCGTAAAATCTCTAACTACTTCATTCCTTGTGGCCTTTCACTGCTTTAAATCATTTGGCATTTATTGTCTTTCTCATAAATACTGTTTTATGCTGTCTTGAATTGGTTGCTAATCACTTTGTTTATACATAGATCATATTACTCTAACTATATTTTAAGCCCTGTTAAGATCAGAAGTGAGGTCTCACAGCACTGCTATCTTCTGCCAGCATCTGGCACAATGCTAGGCACTTAGCTGATGCTGGCTGAACACTTGCCAAGTGATGGGTTGGCGTGTGAGAGGAGAGCACGGACTACCACACAAGCAGACTTGAGATAGTAGGCAGCTCTCTATAGCCCCATGTGAAAATGCTTTCTCTTTGCATTTGGATAATGAAAGCAGTCCTTAATTTTCACTGAGAGTAATAAAAGTTATTGCCCCTTTTAGTGGTGCTAACTTACTCCCACTCCTCCTCCTCTATCAAAACATGCTGGTGAATCCTAAAGACCTACTAATTGATAATAAAGAGAACTTAATCTCCTACCTGATTTTTAAGAAGAGAATTTTCTGTTCCTGTGTTTTTTCTTTGTTCCTCTGGGCAGTGGCTTCTGTGGTAGCTGTTAGCAAAATGCTTCAGGCGATATACATCAGACATAGAAATCCATCATGGCTAAGTTCCTCCCAAGCTAAAATCTAAGATGATACAGTGTTTAGCCAAAGCGCCATGAAGCTCACACTCACGCCCTTACTAAATCTCTCATATAGGCCTTCTTTATCTCATCCCTCCTGGTGAGAATTTTGTGGGAGAGGATTCATCTGCAGTAGAGGCCTGAGGAAAGACTTGGAGTGAGAATGACTTGAATAATTTGGCCTCAAATGCGCTACTGAACTCTATCAGCCTCAGTTTCATTATCTTCCAGATGCTTCTTGTGAGGATGAAATGAGATGAAAATATAAGAAATGCTTGGGTAAATTAGTAGAGTAGACGCTCCACTGCCAGGCTGAGGATCCTAACTGGGATTTCAAATGCTGGCTACCTGCTTGAAGCTGATGTACTCATCCTAGTGGGGAAAAGATGCTGAGCTAGCACCCTGTACTTCTTAGAAAGAGAAATGTGGTATACCTGGAAGCAAGAGTCAAGCCCTCCATGGGAAGCAGCTCCTAAGCCCTGTGATAATCAAAAGTGTGGCTGAAAGTCTTCCTCAAAAACGGCTCCATCAGAGAGAACAGAATTAAATGCCCTTA